>NT_187567.1:0-374415 GCF_000001405.40 Homo sapiens
ATAATTATAGATGAGAGCAATTGCTTCTTTTTTTGTTCTTACCTTCATTTCAGTTTATCTTCCTGAGCTATAGCTACCTCTGTAAGGGTTAGGAAAACATTTAAAATATCTAAACAGTGATTCCTTTCTCAAGCGTTCGGAAATTGATGAATCATCTTACTCTGCAGCATTCAAAGTAACTGTGTGCTTGACACATAGGAGGAAAAGTGGGCTCTTTGAAATGTGAGCAGAGCACCGATCGTGTCACCTGCCCGGCGCGTGACCTGTTCACTTTCCACCTGACCCTCTGTGCCCAATGTCACCTGGAGCCTGAAACCTGGAAGGGAAAAGTCCTTGACTGGAGTCAGTGGAGAGAAAATCATCACCTGCTTGGGCACAAACATGCCTGGTGACTGCGTCACTGTCTGTTAAGTGGGATCAGCTAATAGTTGCACAGCGGGCCTTCAAAGCATCACGGCAGAACTGATGAAGTTCCTGTAATGCATTCCCTGTGTGAAGGCCTTGGACTTTAGAGCTCAAGTGCGCCAGGAGCATTTTGAGCTTGCCGACAGGCTCTCCCATGGATTCTATTTGGTTATACGGCAGTGGAAAAGAATTGACTTTCATTTTCGTCACTCTCTGCCTGAGTCTCTCGACTGCAGCCACACTTCTGTTTCCCGTATATTGCATAGGCTATTCCCTCTACCTGGGACACCCTCCCCTCTGGATTGCAGCAAGATTTGCTTCTATGTTTCACTCAGTTATCTACTTACAAATCACCTCCTTAGGGACCTTGCAGGCTGCTCTCTTTCTCCTTACCTGGCTTCATTTTCCTTCACAGCACCTGATACTATTACACATATTTACTTAGTTAGTAGTCCATGCTTTTTCTTCCCCACTGGACCATAAGTTCTCTGAAGGCAAGAGCCACATTTGTGTTTTTCCACTGATCTGTCCTCAGTGTCTACAATAGTACTCAACCCACAATATAACCTTGAGAAACATTTCTTAAAGAAGTGAATAAATGAACGAGTGAAGGAGTGATTTTTTTCTCATTTTACAAATGAAACAAGTCAAAAACAAAGAGGGGAAGTAAGCTAGTCCAGCTCTACAACCATTTAGTGGCACAGCTAGTATTAACATTTTGATTTCCTAACTCACAATCTAGGATTTTATTTTCGTTTTATTCCATACAACACTGTTCTCCAGAAATTTGGCAACTCAGACGGCACTTGACTTTTCACAAACACATTTCTTGCTGTCTTTAACCTGTTCATGTCAATGAGAATGACTATAACCTCATGAGAGACAAGTGTTTACTAGTTAAGTTCTTACTGAAGTGATTGGTCTTAGAACTCCCTTTCAAGGGCAAAGACGATTGAAAATTAGTTATACAATTACATTTTTAAAACATTTTTGAGTATAATGATTTTAAGCATTTGTTGTATAAAGGTGGATATGCATAAAGAACAGGTAAAAATAATAATCATTATAATCATATATAGAAGTCGTCTTGGTACATTTTAAACATATTTAACAATTGGAATCCTGCTGTATGCCGAGTTTTCTATCTCTGTTTATACACATTATATTTTAAACATTTTTCTAATGTCACTAAAACTAACATTGTTTTAGGGATAGTATTTCAATATATAAGTGTGTCACAATTTCACAGTTTTAGTTGATCATTTTCCTCTTATTTATCATTAAGATTGTTTCCACTTTTTATTTATTGGGTTTCTAGGTTTTAGTCCTTCATATTTCTGGGTTCAGTTATTCTATAAACATTTTCAAAACTATGCAGAAAATAAATTGTCCAAGTTTGTACTTAAAGTGCTACAAATAATCTAAAAAAAAAATCAGGGTTTCAAGCTCAAAGCTTCTCTTCAAATCAATAACTGTTGAAGATTTCACTTATTTGCATTTTTAGTCTTTGAGGTTTAGAGTGGAGGGTGGGGATCCGGGGGCAGTGGGACAGGAAACATTGACCAATTTGAGAACAAATAGAGGCTTGGAAAATTTGTTTACATTCTGTTCTATGTGTGATTCTGGCCTTTGTAACAAGGAGGATAAAAAGCCAGAACTCACTTTGGTGGCGCCTGCAGACCTCTGCACTGTAATGACACGAGTGCAAGCTGCACTGGGTGCAAGTCAGCATGACTCAGCCACCCTCCCCACGGGGTGAGAGGAAGCAGTGGTGGAAGGCCAGCACTTGTTCCTACCTCCGCATGTACAGTGGTGAAGAGAAGGCTCACAAAGGGTTTCTCAATCTGAGAAGGAACCCTGTATTCAGAGTGCAGCTTAACCCAATGGGATATTCCAGCTATAATTCTAATAAGGGTGATGGTCCCACTACATACCTAGCATATTTATGAATCTCAAATTGATGCCACCTCTTGTACCTTGCACAAGTAATAATCACTGCCATTGATCTGGCACCTCCTACGTGACAGCTTACTAACCTAGGCACTTTCAGCTGGTCAACTAATTTAATTCTCAAAACAAGTTTGCCAGGCAAGTATTATTGGCTGCATTTTCCAGATAAAGACATTGAAGTTTCTAATGAACTTCAGGTAAAGTTTATTCCAGATAAACTTCACTGAGGTTCATGCTGTCCAAAGTCACACAGCGCTGGGATTTAATACTGGTCTATTTGTCTTCAAAGCCTATGCATTACTGCACACCTATGAGGTTCTGCAGAGAAAAGGTTCCTCCTTCTGCTCAGTACCTGCAATTCTAGGGACAGTTGTCATGGAAAAAACTGTATTAGAATAATCTATTGATCAATAATCTCATTGACTAGCTATTTAATGAGCACTTACTTTGTGCCAGGCTCTCTACTAGTTTCCACTGACAGAGTTGAATAGAACACATTTCTGATCATAAAACGGGAGGAGGGCGAGATTCGAAGGGCAGGATTGTGAGATACATAAGCCTCCACTCTCAGGACATAGAATACTCTATTCACCACAGGGATTAGCTCGTCACAGAAACTCAATAATATTTGTGGAAGAAGACAAAGATCAAAGGATGGGTGATAAATTATAAGGCGCTTAAAACTTAGTCTAAATACTTGGAATCTATTCTCAGGTTTATTCTGTATTCACTGTGCAACTTTTGGAAGTTTTGTGTAGCCCCCTAAGCCTGCCTCCTTACTTTTAAAAGTGGAGATAAACATCTTTGTCTGATTTCACTCATTGGATCACTGTGGATCCAGGGGATCAGGGGATCAACTATGGGTATCAGAGCTACTAAAAAGGTAAACATCAGTTTCCAAGTATCAGGAACTATAATATTTGTTGGCCAAATCAACCAATCAATATTTATTGCATACCACATGCCAAGTATAGGACTAAGGACTTCACAAACGCTCTACATTTGTGCCTTCAACAACAACACTTGATTAATGAATGTCTCCATTTTATAGATGAGAAAACTGAGGTTCACACTGTTTAGATAGCATGCTGGAGATGACACAGCTGGTGAGGGGAGAAGCAGGAATCAGATTCTCATTGCCTGATGCTGATGTCCCAGCTCTTATAACTGTGCTTTCACCCCAGCAGCTGCATGTGACAGTCATCCTACTAGAAATATTTCTGCAGGAATTATATGCCTGTTCTTAATTTTCCCCTACTAACTTAGAATCAGTCACGGGATTCCTCAAAAGTTAAAAATAGAGCCACCATATGATCCAGCAACCCCACTACTGGGTGTACATTACAAAGGAAATGAAATCGGTATGTCCAAAGAGATGCCTGCACGTTCACGTTCACTGTAGCATTACAGTAGCCAAGATGTGAAATCAACCTAAGTGTCCATCAACGAATGAATAAATTTTAAAAATTGTGGTATATATACAAAATGGAATACTCTTCAGCCATAAACAAGAAGGAAATCCTGCTATTTGCAGCAACATGGATGGAACTGGAGGACATTTTGTTAAGTGAAATAAGCCAAGCATAGAAAGACAAACATTGCATAACGTCAGTTATATGTAGAATCTAAAGAAGTTAAATTCGTAGAAGTTGCATAGAATGGTGGTTACTGGGGACTGGGGAAGTGTGGGTGGGGGAAAGTTAGAAAGATGTTGGTCAAAGGACACAAATTTTCAGTTAGGAGGTATACATTCAAAAGGCCATTGTACAATATGATGACTATTGTTAGTAACAACATATGTATCTTTAAAAAATACGAACAGAGTAGAGTTTAAGCATTCTCACCACTAAAAATAAAAACTAAGTAATGTCAATTAGCTCAACTTACTTATTCCAAAATGTAGATATATTTAAAATATTATGCTGTGCATAATAAATATATACAATTTTGTCATTTAAACAAAAAGTAATAATTTTTATTTTCCTAAAATAAAAAACAATCAGCTACAGGAAGTCAATTCACTTTCTGAAAATTCCAAGCTGCACTGCTTTCAGAACCCGGAAGTCTTTTTTTTTTTTTTTTGAGACGGAGTCTCGCTCTGTCGCCCAGGCTGGAGTGCAGTGGCGGGATCTCGGCTCACTGCAAGCTCCGCCTCCCGGGTTCACGCCATTCTCCTGCCTCAGCCTCCCAAGTAGCTGGGACTACAGGCGCCCGCCACTACGCCCGGCTAATTTTTTGTATTTTTAGTAGAGACGGGGTTTCGCCGTTTTAGCCGGGATGGTCTCGATCTCCTGACCTCGTGATCCGCCCGCCTCGGCCTCCCAAAGTGCTGGGATTACAGGCGTGAGCCACCGCGCCCGGCCAGAACCCGGAAGTCTTGTGTTACCCTTAGGTCTTCAGCTTCTGACTCCTTTTATTTCTGAATCCAAGACCATCTTGTTCCAACACTGTCCATACCCCTTCATATGTGCTGGGGGGTGAGAGGAGAAGGGTCCATGCCTACCAAGTATGAAATGAAAATAAGACCCTCCACCCAGACCCTCAGATGCTCTGAGCAAATCCTGAGATTTGCTATAGAAGCAGCTTCCTGTTGATGCTTCATGCCAAACACCTTTTTGACCCACATCCTTTCATCTTTTTTTTTTTTTTTTTTTTTTTGAGATGGACTTTCCCTCTGTCTCCAGGCTTGAGTGCAGTGGCGCGATCTTGGCTCACTGCAAGCTCTGCCTCCTGGGTTCAAGAGATTCCCCTGCCTCAGCCTCCGGAGTAGCTGGAACTATAGGCACGCACCACCATGCCCGGCTAATTTTTTGTATTTTAGTAGAGATGCGGTTTCACCTTGTTGGCCAGGATGGTCTCTATCTCCTGACCCCGTGATCCGCCCACCTCGGCCTCCCAAAGTGCTGGGATTACAAGCGTGAGCCACCGCGCCCAGCCAGCCTTTCATCTTTGACCTTTGAAATTCCCTCTTGACTGATTCCACTACTCCCGTGTCCGTGTTACAGCTCTTCCTTTATGGTGCTACCTGAGTGGCCTTTGTTGAATACAACTGAGCTTTGTCTTCCCTGCGGCCTCTTTAGTACAAGAGAGAGGCATGGTGTTCACTAATTTCATCTCCATCTCCAGCTCTCAAACCCACCCTTGCCCCCAGCAAATCCTTACATGCCCTATTCATAGAAGGCTTTTGAAGCCTGTTGCTGGTCTTTGAATTCTCCATGGTCTTTTCTGGATCTCTTTGTGCTTCTTGATATCTAGACCTGGACTCAATTTCTGTTTTCCATTTTGCTTGGTAAACTGCTAGTCCTTCAAGAGCAAGCTCAGATATTGTTGTGTTTGGGTCATTCCAGGGAGCACCACCTCGCTTCCTCCTCTGTGCTGTTGTGGTTGTTGGAATCTAAGTCAGTTGTGACACATCTTATTTTTCTGTCACCATTTGTATTTGTGCTTATTTCTTCTGCTGGGTCATGTACTCTGTAAGAACAGAGATGGTGTCACACTCATGTTTACATGCTGTACCTAGCATGGTGCCTGGTACATAGTAGGTACTCCGTAAATGCCTGCCAACTTGAATTGAATCAAGAGCCACAGAGATAAAGAGTAGCTGGCAATGACTGTGTAAAACCTAAGAAAGATTCTGAATTGTCTCCAGCAATTATTAAAGAGTAAAAAGTGATTTTAAAAAAGATCTTATGTTGGGTTTTAAAAGATAAATTTGGAAGGTATTAGAACACTCAAAGCAATGACCACTTTTTGTGCAAGTGAAAAATTTTTAGTTTTAGTCTTTCCCAGGACTTTGTGAGAAACCAGATTCTAATTATGTATTTAATCAACCTCTATTCCCAATGGTTTCTTATGATGACTTTCTGTTTAAAGGGTTTACAACACTGGATTGTCCAGAAGCCATAACTGAAGCTGGCTTAGTTAAATTGATTTCCTGATTCCCTAGGTTTACCATTAGAATTGTATTTCTTCATCAGGCTTCCTTCTCTCACCTCTTCAGCTCTGCCACCTCCAGGCCTTACCATCTTCTTGGTTTCTGGTGATGCCATCTACAAGAGAGGAAAGGGAAAGTGAAGAGGGAATGGGAAAGGAAGGAAAAGAGGAAGAGTTGTGATACTTCGGAATTACTTTTTGAAAATCACAACAAACCCATTTCTATTGTTGGTATCAGTTGTATTTCAATTGCCTTGGTACTTACTGCTGAATTGCCTTTGAAAAGACTTTTTAGCAATCTACACTTTGAAGATTAATAAGAATGGCTATGTGACTACACTCTTGCCAACACTAGATAGTCCCATTTTATTTAAAAAAACTAAAAATTGTATTTAAAGTCGTATTTATTTGATTACTCAGGTTATTTTGCCATATATTTCTTAACCAATTGTTTTTCCAATTTTATGAATGTCCATTCAAAGAATTAGATAGGTTTTTAGTACTATATTTAGACCATTGTCTTTGGGGATTTAAAACTACAGAATTTCTCAAAATGTACCAGAGTTTCACTGTAATACAATTGAGTAAAATTATTACTTTCAGCTTTAAAATAGAGTGAGTTTCTTTAATAAATATTTGCCCTTTCAGAATAGAAATAGTCATTTTTCTCATATGTTAGGTACATAAACATAATGAAACATGGTTCCTCAACTCCAGGAGCTCACAATTTCATAGGAAGAAACATCAGAAAAATCAATTACAGCATATTATGATAGGTGCTTGGATAGAGTGAACACATTGTGCTGTGGAGCCTAGAGAAAGTTCATCTTAGTAAAATATGTAGCAATAAGAAAGGATAAGGCTCAAAATAAGTGCTATAGCCTGAAGGTTTGGGTCCCCACCAAAATGCATATGTCGAAAGTTAATCCCCAGCATAAGAGTTTTGGGATGTGGGACTTTTGGGAAGTGATTAGTTAGTGTGGGACTTTAGGGAAATACCCTCATAAAAGAGATTAATGCTCTGGAAAGGAGACCCCCAAGAGATCCCTCACCCCTTCCACCATGTGAAGGAACAGGAAAACGATGGCCATCTATGAAAGAGGAAATGGGGCCCTCACCAGACAGTGAATCTGCTGGCACCTTGATCTTGGACCTCCCAGCCTCCGGAACTATAAGAATAAATTTCTGTTTATAAGCTACCCAATCTGTAATATTTTGTTACAGCAGCCGAAATAGACTAAGATAATAAAGCAGTACTATGGTAATTTGGAGTGAAGGGAGAAAGCAAGAAAATTGTGAGGTAGGATTTAGGACTTGGGAGTGAAGATTGAACATGTGTGTTGACTTCCAGTTATAGGAACTCTTCTTTCTCCCTAATTTATCTTGTCTATTTCTTCCCAGTGGATGTGGCAGGTAAGAATTGTTGTTGGGACTTCATTCCTTTCTGTTCTCATCTCTGTTGAAATAGGAGATTTGAGGGTCATAGAAACACATGAAAGACAATCCATAAGATGTGATTGTTATTAGCAAAATATTTTTAAAAAGAGTTTGAGTGTCAGTCAGGAGGACCAGAGACAAATTGAAATTTCTGTCTTGGGCCTTGGATTTAAGAAGCCTCAAAATGAAATGGGAGTAAGTGAAAAGGGCATTCTGAGTGAATCTGGACTCTTAAGGAGAAAAGTAAAGGAAGGTAGAACTGGGGAAATCCATTGAAAGATGACAGCACTGAGTAAGGGAAATGATTAAAATGTTTCCATTATTCCCTGGAATTTGATCATTTTTCTCTTCAGTTACCAGCAGACAGAGTCTTGCTCTATCACCAGGCTGGAGTGCAGTGGCACGATCTCGGCCCACTGCAACCTCCACCTCTGGGGCTCAAGAAATTCTTGTGCCTCAGCCTCCCAAGTAGCTCAGCATCTGAGTAGGGATTATAGGCTAAACACCACGCCCAGCTAATTTTTGTATTTTTAGTGGAGATGGGATTTCACCATGTTGGCCAGGATGGTCTCGATCTCTTGACCTTGTGCTATGTTCACCTCGGCCTCCCAAACTGTTGGGATTACAATGTCTTTCTGTATGTCCCTCCAGCTATTCTTTTGACTAGATTACACACATACTTAAACAAAAAATTAATTAATTTCAATTGCAATGATTGCTACAAAGTAGAAATGTAAGGTGACTTGAACTTCCTAATCTAATCATGGAAATCAAGGAAGGCTTCCCAGGAGAAGTGAAACCTGAAAGACAGATAACTATGAGTTATATACAGCAGAGTTCCTCAGCCTTGGCACTGACACTTGGGACTGGATAATTCTTTATTGTGGGGATTAGTTCTGTGCACTGCAGTACGTTTAAAGAGCAGCATCCCTGGCTTTTACTTACTGGATACCAGTGGCACTTTTGCCCAATTGTGGCAAACAAAAATGCCTCCAGACATTTTCAAATGTCCCCTGAGGAGAACAGCTAATCTAGAGGGATGGGGCGAAGTGCAGCATTCTCAGCAGAGGAAACCACATGTGCAACTCTAAGGCAGGGAACGTGAATCTGAAGAACTGAACAAGGCTACAGTGTCTAGATCATGAAGCCTCAGTGGGCTAGTGGTACTAGGTGACATAAATAAGGTAGGGTTAGATAGATCATGCACAACCTCATGCATGTGAAGATTTGGGAAGAATGAGATGAGTAATGTATACAGCATCCTTGAATTGTGAAAGATCCATACTTAACAACGTACCTATTTGGATTGTTCCCCCTCTAAAATCCATTTACCTGGTCATTGTGATGGACTCAAGCTGTCTGCAAACCTTGAACATAATTTGCATTTTGGGTCACACAGTCCCTATAGAATTTGTAGGTTTTGCTGGCTTTTAATTTTATTGCCTATGACATTTAACTTTCAAGCTCCACTAAAGAGCTTAAAAAACAAAACAAAAAACTTCTATTTACAATCTGTTAACCTTTTCAGCTATAATCTTTTTTTTTTTTTTAACCTTTCCTTCCACACGCCCCACAACACATATTGAATCTGATGCAATGACTTACCCGTTACTCCTTCTTGGAGTCTTTGTGTCATCACAAAGCCTCTCAAGCCAATGTCTTACTCCTTAGCTGGCTTCCTTTTCCATAAGTTTGCTGCTCATTTCCCCACAGACACAGATGGACATTTCAAAGATTTTACTGTGATTTGTTTTCTAGAATTAATCTCATCATGAACTTACTGTGCTCTGTGATGGCCAATGTAGTAGCATCGTGGAAAAATGGCCCTGTGTAGAAAGGATAATTCTTCTTCGTGGTTGCAGTGGATCTGTCTTCGAGAGATCGTGCCAATTAAATTAACACGTTTATAGCTCTTCATCTTTTAAATTCCACATCATTCTGCTTTTCATGCCTTCACTTTATCTCAACTCTTGACTCTACTTAGTCTTTCCAGGAAAATCTTCTAAAACTCAAGTCTAAATTTCATTAGGGTGAAGTTTCTCTCTTATTCTTCTCTGTGCCTATAGATCTGGGATTGCTTCCTGTTAACTAAATTTGTTACGGTGGAGTCTACCTTCTTCTGTTTACCTGGGCCATAACTGTTTTGCCACAGTTGAAGTAAGCTGAGCTTTTAAATAGTGTTCTGATAGGGCTGATGGGGATCAGATTTTGGAGTAATGTTAGGGCATGTACAATAGGCAGTAGAAAACTGAAATAAACACAGTGACTCCTGCACTGGCCATGTGACAGGAAGTGGTATACCTCATCGCTACTTACCTGCCATTGGCCACAACAAGTTGCATGGTCTATCCTAACTTAGAGGGTGCAGGGAATTGCAATGCTACATTTTACCCAGATATTGGTGAGTGAAAACATCAGCTATAGTTTTAGTACCTACCATGATTAGCAGAAGCAGAGAATCCCCGCCCTTATGGCTCACATTGTCCATTGGGACAGCCATGGATCAAAGTACAGAGTGATGATCATGAGGAATGTTTTCAAAACAGGAGTGTATGGTGCCCATGAGCACATAAAATAAGCAGACTTGACCATTGAAAACTGAAAGGTAATATGGATTAACTAACTGAGGATGGAAATAAGAATTAACTAAGTGAGGATGAATGCAACCCGGGCAGCAGAAATAGCATGTGCAAAGGCCCTGGGGTTGGAGAGAATCTGGCATATTCTAGTAGGGGAAAGGCTGCTATGACTGGAGGGTGGAAAGTGAAAGGAAGGCTTATGGAAGATAATGCCAGAAATGTAAGCTATGACTTTATTATAAACCCTTAAAATGTCTGAGGCTTGAGAGTGGTGGTTTTGTTTTGTGAAGTCAAAGAGAAAAATTTCAACCAAATGGAAAGGATGGAAGGAATGTATTGAGCACTGAATCAAGGGGTCAGATGTTAGCTGGAGAGATAAGGTAAGATAAGCCCAGGAAGATCACAGCAATGACCCTTTGTGCAAATGCTTCCTTTAAACCAGAGCTGTGACTGAAAGGAAACATACCATTTAGATGGTAAAGAGGCAACATTGTTGGGTGCTTACCAGAGAAGTCTTAGTTTTTTTCACCCACAGTGATGAAGAAGGGAAGTAGCATCACCTAAGGTGTTTTGTGCATATCTCCTGAATGTCCCACTTAATCCCGCAAGAGGTTTAAAGTTCAGAAAAATTATTACACAAGTTACAAGGGTAGATCATGGTGAAGCTGAGATTCTAGTATGTTTTGCAGTGGGCAGGCATATGCACATCTTCTTCCCAAGGCCCAGGGGGCTGAGAGGTTGAAGAAAGAGGCTGACATATCCAGTTTCCTTGAAAGAAACATTTAATAAAGACCTACAAACAAAAAGCCGAGGGATAAGATGTTGGATCCCCATCCAGTTACCCCCAGACCCAGGGCTTATATACCATAGAGAATTTGCTTAAGGGCAGAGTTTATGATAAGTACGCATTTACAATAACATCAAAGTTGTTTCGACTTAAGGGCTGGATTTACAGTAAGTATGTGAAAGTAGAAATCTTAGAGGCATTCCCAGAACTGGAGTTGATCAGAAGTCAACATGGTGGATTAGCATCCAAGATGAAGTTGCTTTAGCCTCCACACAATATAAAACTCTTAAATGGGTACCATATTGCACCTTGGAAAAAAGGAGGGTTGTTGGTGTAGATGATCTTCAAGGTCTAGCTATGCCTTTTTGAAAGCTTCATACTTTTCAGAGAAGGATCTGGGCCCCCAAACTGCATGATTTCTTCTCTTCATTTGTGTACTTCACTAAAGCTCTGTCACCCTTCTTTATGCTGAATTTTCACCAATGAAATTTGAAGATAATTTTTCTGAACAGGACTTTTAAAATCCACAGTGTAGCATACATCATCAAAATCAAGAATTTGGCCTACTGTGTGTGTGCATGTGTGTGTTGATGGTTTTATTCCTCTTGTCTTTGATCTCAAAAAGCTTAAGCTTTACTGATAACACAGTTGGTTAACATATATTTAGTATGTTACATGTATTATATACTATAGTTTCCAAAGCACATTACCTAAATTGCTAACCTATCTTGTAATTTGCTTACTACCATTCAGATTTTAGAAGCTGGCTCATTGACTGTGCCCACCCAATCAGCAAAAGGCTAGAATATAGCTGCTTCTCCAGTAAATAAATGGGAAAAGGAAGATTTGTGTTTATCTTTGCAAGTCTCCACTGTAAATCATAATGTCAAGGCGATTTCATGTGTCTAAGCAAAAAGATGACAACATGGCATTTTGAGCAATTTTCTTCTTTCTTCTGAGCATGCATATGGAGTTTAATTCACTAATGTATTTGTCAGAGAATGATTAAAAGCATTGATTAGTTTCCCAGAGAAGATTTTAAGTTTTCATTATAGATTTTTATTAACTTATTCTGTATTAGATATGGGCTAAAAGACCTTTCATGTAATGTCTTTAGAAACACTGGAGTTTACCAATTTATTTTAGCAGCCATTCTATGTGATAAAACTGGTACATACATTTATTTGTACAGTGTAATAGTTAAACCACAGGCTTCAGAGTCAAGTTGCCTTGGTTTAGTTCTTGACTGTGCCATTTAACGATTATTTTAAAATTAATCAAATTATCCAAACTTTCTGAGCCTCAGTTTTCTCATTTGTAAAATGGAGGTAATAATAATACATATTTCATAGTGTTTTTGCAATGCTTGCATGAAGTAATACACAGGTAGTTTTGCTAATAAGGCTAGATATTGTTGTTATGTGTAACACACACAAACTCGCACACACACACTCAAATAAACAAGCATGAAGGAGTATGTACCAGGAGGCTACTTATGAAGTCATTGCTCTATCCAGGACGCATGCAGGAAACCGGGTGTCAACCAAGGAAAACCTCGGTGTTTCAGTAACTGAAGGTTTAATGAAGATACTTTGTGTTGGGCTATGGTATCACTAGATACATAAGTCATAATGCCTGCCCTCAAAAGTTGGGATTCTAGCAGGAAAGACAGATCACAGAACTCCTGCAACAAGGAGTAGGAGGAGGAGAAAGAGGAGGAAAGGAGGGAGATGGGAAGAAATAAGGTGCGGGAGAAGGAGGAATAAGACAATGAGGAGGAGAGAATAAGACGATGGCAGGGAGGACAAGAATCAACCTGTGGAGTTTGTTTTGTCTTAGAAGAAAACCTATTTTCTACTTATGTGAAAAGTCATGGATCCAAATTAAAAAGTTGACACAAGTTGAGTTTAAAAAACTATGATTTTAAAATGATTTAAATAAACTGGGGATATGTCCAACAATGGAATATTACTCAGCAGTAAAAAGAAATGAGTTCTCAACCTATGAAAAAACAGTAAGAAAAATGTGTAAATTACTAAGTGAAAGAAGCCAATCTAAAAAGGCTGCATGCTGTATGATTCAAGCTACAACTGGCCTTTGAACAACACAGGGGTTAGGTTGCTGACCCCTGCACAGTTGAAAATCTGAGTATAACTTCTGACTGCCCAAAAAGCTTAACTGCTAATAGCCTACTGTTGACCAGAAGCTTTACTGATAACACAGTTGGTTAACACATATTTTGTATGTTACATGTATTATATACTATATTCTTATGATGAAGCACACTAGAGAAAAAAACAATGCTATTAAGAAGATTATAAGGAAGAGAAAATACCTTAATGGTGTCATACTGTATATGTCAATACTGTAGGTGTATCACATCTGTTTATAAGATGAATCTTCTATCTGAAATGGGAAATCTGAGCAGTAGAACCTCAATCTATGATCCATATCAAACAATCTGACTTTTACTTGTAACATCATAACTTTGTTTCTTGGGAACACTTCCAGTAACATTAGTGGCACTTTGTATGGATCCCATGGTATTACTCAAAATTTATGATATTTCACTAATCATGATGAAAAATCCCTGAGAGCCATGAGAGATTACTTTTTCACTTTGATCCACAATTTTCTGGAGAGAACTGCTCATAAGGAGAAGATTAGTGTCACATGGTGTTTTAAACAAATACCTGCAACACAAGCTCACCACAATAGCAACAGAAGGTAGCTGTGAAATTATTACAGTAGTATAGTAGGTACTACTGTTAATATTATGCAGTTATGATTTAATACTGCATCTTTATATTTGTTTACATTTCTCTCAACTGCAAGCAGCGCCATGTTTGTCTGTGAGTGTTGGTGTGCATAAATTTTGCAAAATTTTAAATTTTTATAATCAAATTTGATAAATTTCCTTGTGATGGAACCAGGAAAGTGTAACACCCTTCCCTACCTTCTCAAAATTTTTGGAAATATTGACAAGGCCCTGGAATTTACTCCAGAACATTATATCTCAATTCTATGTTAATGGAAAGGCTTGGTATTTTGGAGTTGGCCAGGTTTAACAAACCGTTAGAACACAGCTTCACATATGTCATAACAGCTACATGTCTAGGGAGCTGGGCAGCCACAAATGAAGAAAGGTTAGTCAGATCAGACAATTAGAGAAGACATTCTTAGAGACAATGGATTTGAATAAGTCTTTGTTTGTTTTTAATTTGTTGTTTCAGCTCCATTTATTGTAAAGACTGTTCTTTTGCCCAATGCTCTCTGATAGCATTTCTGCAATACATCAGGGGTGCACATACATGCATAAATTGAATCTGTTTATAGTTTCTCCTTCATCTTCTGCTAGTTTATTTTGACCTATCCAAAAACTGCACTATCCTAGTTAGTATATTCTATAAGCCTGGAGGGTATCTTTCTAATTTTTATCCAACAGTAACTTTGCTATTATTTTCCAATTGTATCAGAAACTAATACACATTTTCACTTATTTTTTTTTCACTTATTTTCTTTTGAAACAGCGTCTTGCTTTGTTGGCCAGGCAGGAGTCTGGTGGTGTGATCATGGCTACTGCAGCCTCAACCTCCTGGGCTCAAGCGATCCTCATGCCTCAGCCTCCCAAGTAGCTGGGACCACCGGTGTGTGCCACAATGCCTGGCTAATTTTTAATTATTTTTTTTGTAGAGATAGGATCTTCATATGTTTCGCAGCCTGGTCTTTCTTAGGCTTAAGTGATCCTCCTGCCTCAGCCTTGCAAAGTGCTGGGATTACAGACATGAGCCACCATACCCAGCTACATTGGTTTTAAACATCATCCAACCAATTATTGCCAACCACCTACTATGTAGCAGGTACTTGGCTGCATCATGCAGTAAAGAGACAAAACTTCCCATCCTTGTGGAGCTTACAAATTAATGTGTGTGGGGAAGAATAGGCACAAACAGTAATAAGAAATAAATTATATTATAAATAATACCAGAAAGTAAAAGGGCTATACAAATTATAGACAAGGCTATGTGGGATTGAGATGGTGTGGTAGAGGGGTTTGAATTCTAAATAGGTTGATTATAGGAGGCTTCTAATCAGCCTGTCAAATTCTTGAAAACATTGCTGATATTCTAGTGGAGAAGACCGATGTATCTATATTAGAATAAAATATATTTGAACATTATATCTAATCTAAAAACTTGGCTCATTTGTCACTCTACTAGGCTTTGCTTTTATATCTATAAACTAAGTATTCAAGTTTTCTCTATGAAGGTCTTACTTGTATTTAATTTCTGCATACTTTTTAATGAAATTGTAATTTTTAAAATTTGTTTTCTATTTATTGCTATGTGGGTAGATATTTAATTTTTAATTATCTGTCTTGTTAAATTCTTATTAATGATAATAATAAATGTGTAAATTGAAATAAAAATATATATGAAAATCATATGTGCTGTCATAATTTTAAAAATTCAATTCCAATATCATTCATTCATTCATTCACTAATTCATGGTTTACTATGCTACCCAGGACCAAACGTCAGTGGCAAGAGCACACAACCTGGTCTTATTCCTAAAACCTAATATTATTATAGGCCAGGGAAGGTGGCTCATGTCTGTAACCCAGCACTTTTGGAGGCCAAGGCTGGAGGATCACTTGAGCCCAGGAGTTCAAGACCAGCCTGGGAAATATAGTGAGATCCCATCTCTACAAAAAATATAAAAATTATACATATATAAATATTATATAAAAATAATATTACATAAAGAGAGAGATATGTATGTTATATGAAAAGATATACTTACATACCATACACATATATGTATACAGCCACATGTATATGTGTGTGTGTGTGTGTGTGCACATATATAGAAAGATTTTGAGGAATTGGCACACGTGATTGTTAGGCTTGGAAAGCTCAATATCTGCAGGGCAGACCAACATAGCTGGATCTTATTTTTTTAATCCAACTTGCAACTCTGTGTACTTTAAGTGGAATATTTAGACAATTTACATCCTAGGATAATATTTATATGTGTGGCTTGGATGAATCCTAAAGGATGAGTGGAAACTTTCTATGCAGAGAGATTTAGTGGGGTTAGGAGGGTATCACTGGTGAAGGAAACAGCATAAGTAAAGGCATCATGGCATGAAATAGCTTGGTCTGATAGAAACTGTAATAAAGCAGACAAAATGAACATGACTAAATTTATTGTTGTAAGCTGTACTACACAACCAGGGGAGAATCCAAAGAGGCCCATTCACATTCTAATTACCTGTTATTTTCTAGAAAATCCAGACAACTTAATCCTCTGCTTTCCTAAACCTTAGGAAGTGGTAGCTGGGTAAGAGAAGGTGGCATTAGAGACAGGTGCTATCCAAGGAAGTGAAAAATATGTAATTACTTCAATAGGTTTGGGGACTGAGAAAGAAGCAGCTAAGATCTTGCTATGGTTTTAATGTTTATGTGCCCTCCAAAATTCATATTGGAACTTAACTTCCTATGCAACAGTAGCAAGAGGTGGGTCCATTAGAAGGTGATTGGGCATTGAGGGCTCCAACTTCATGGATAGTCTTATTAAAAGTGTTGAATGGAACTAGCTAGGCCTCTTTTTGCTCCACCACCTTCTGCCAGGTGAGGACAGAGTATTCTAGGTGCCATCTTAGAGTAGAGATTTGTCCTTTACCAGACACTAAACTTGTCAGCATCTTGATTTTGGACTTCCCAGTCTCCAGTAATGTGAGAAACAAATTTCTGCTATGAATAAATTACCCAGTTTGTAGTATTTTGTTATAGCAGCACAAACGGATTAAGACACAAATCTCTTCAGTTTTTGATTTGTTAGTGGGCGAACAGCACTGCTGTAAATGGAACGTTGCATTGGGAAAAAGTCCTGGCTTGGAAGTCCCTGTAAGATAACCAGGGAGAGATACTCAACAGGCATTTGAGCATCTGAAGCTCAGGGAAAGGTCTGAGAAAGTTATATAGATTTGGGAAATTAATGACTGGTAATAGTCATTGGGACAATGACAGTGAAGAAATTTGCCTAAGATTCTACAATTATCCAATGACAAGGGATGTCAACTGGGCTCAGAATCTTAGAGAATACCTACGTCAGGCAGTTGAGAAAACTCATGAGAACAATAAGATGACCTCTCTGCATTGAGTCCTATTCCTCTGATACCGTGCCACGTTTGTACATGCCTCTTCAATGTTGGTGGCCTGAAGTAAATAGACATTTTAGGTCCAGAATAGAATTGAACTTTCACCTATCTTATTTTAGCATCTATAATTCTACTAATACAGCTTGTGTCTATGCGTGTCAGCCATATTCACTGTTGACTCATTTTGAATTTATAGTCAAACTAAAACTCCTGAGTTATGTTCTTATTAACTGTTATAAAGCTAAGTTTCTGTAACTTATGCTATTTCAGTATGTTTTTGACCTTAAATATAAGCCTTGTCTGCATTAAATGTTTTATCTTTTGTTTCTTGTTTATCTAAATTATCAAGAAAACAATGATTTTATGTTTTATTCCTTCAATATAAAAAGTAATCTTCACGATATGCTTATTTCACATTGCATTCCTGTATAAAAACATCTCCTGTACTCCATAAATATATACACCTACTATGTACCCACAAAAATTTTTAAAAAACAATATAAGAAGTGATGTTAATGATTAATACAAATATCATTCAAAACATTTTAGCTAAAAACTGTGATTTAAAGGGTCAAGCTTCAATTATCTGGGTAATAAAAACTTTTGTCATTCTTTAACTTATTCTATAAATATCTTCTAAATGTCTGCTATTTGCCAGGCACTATACTGGGGGCTGGGTATTTAGGAATATAGATGTTCTAATATCTTTCCCCATGGGGTATGCTCTCAAGTGGGAAGACAAACTGTAAGCATATAAACATAAACATATAATTAGTATCATTTAAATTCCATAAAGGGAAATTACATCCCATGAGAAAAAGTATCAGGGGGTCTACTTTAGACAGGTAAGTCAAGGTAGGCTTACTCGAAATGCAGAAGTGACATTAACCTAAACCTGGAAGTATGAGTCGGTCTTAGCTAAGTGGAGGTGCAGTGGATGGGAGAAGGCAACAAGAGAGTTTGGAACAAGTGCAATATCCTGAGGCAGGAGAGTGCTTGTGCCTGAAGACCCAAAAGAAGAATAAAGTGATTGGATGTCAGCAAGGGGGTAACCTTAGACATGACTGGTAAGAAAGGGAGAAGCCAGGCCTTCATAGCCTGGTACATTATGTTACAGATTTTCTTTTTCCTTTCTCTCTTTTTCTTTTTTTTTTTTTTTTTTATTTTTTGATTCTGAAAAATGCAATGGCATGCTATTGTAGGGTTTTCAGAAAAAAATACATTTTTGTTTGAGAAAGATGACTCTGGGAGATCAATTAGAAAATTATTGCCATGATTCAGGTGAGTGACGCTGATGGCTTTCAATAGAATGATGGCACTACAGGTAGGAATATTCTTGGTGGGTTTTGAAAGGGTGTGTTGTGGAAGGTATAAATAATGAAGGCCAGGTTTTTGGTCTGTTGATCTGGGTAAATGGAGGTAACATTTACTGGAGTAAGAAAAACAAATGTAGCAACAGATTTAAAAGTCAAGTCAAGGTTTCTAGTATGGGCACGCTTAGTTCAAAAATCAGATAGTTATATTAACAATTTTGAATTTAAGAAATCACATTAAGGGCTAGAAATATAAATTTTAGAGGTTTTGGCATAGAGAAGAACTTTAAAGTCAGTGGATAAGGTTGTGCAGGAAAGGATCTAGATCAAAGACTGGCTTGAGATAGACTGTAGGAACTTCAACATTTGGAAACTGTGTAGAGAACTCAGTTGGCCAAAGCAACTGAGAAGAAAAAAATTGAAAGAGAGAAAGAACATCTGCAGTATGGTTTAACTGAATACAAAAGAAATGGGTTTCAAGAAGAATGTGATTAAATACTCTAAAAAGTCATCATGAATACAGCTGCATTATGTGCTTCTGTTATAGGTAGGAGATTCTTCTGGGTAGACAAGACTTTATTACTTTTGCCACCCTAGACCTTGCCTAGTGTTTTCACATAACACATTAATAACAAATTTTTGCTAAATCAATTAATGATTAAGATATCAAAAATATGTTTCTTGTCACAATTTGCAAAATATTTTTAAATGAACAATGTCATAATCACACAGCGAGGTCATTACTATCAGCCCCATTTTCCAAATGAGAAACTAGCCTCCTGGAGAAGTTACGTTTCTTGCCAAAAAATCAAATATATAGTGTTACGATAAGGCCAGAGTAAGTCTGGTGTTCTATATGGACATCTCTACTCACTGACAATGATGGATAAATGAGGTCACATAACTGTATGTACTGACTTATACTAAGATATAATATATTACATATGTCAAGATAAATATCTTGGAATTTTTTATATGGTTATGTGTGTTGATATATCCCCAAACTCGAAATATGATAGCGACAAAAGCTGAATTGGCAGTCAGCTCACAAAGATGGTAGACACCTTTTCTATAATAGAGTGGGAGGTGATCCTAAGTGGTACACCCTAGGTGGTGAGGTAATTGATGGAAAGGAAGGGGTTGAGAGTGTGAACCAACAGCTGCAAAGAGTTGACAGTGAATGGAGTTGTAGTCTAACAGCCATAATGACAAAAGAACTATACATTGCTCATGCAGACATTATATAGAACACAGACTTAATATGCCCTTGATGTGGAAGGAACTTCTGTTGCAAATCAAGAATTCTAGCCACATTTACACATGGGAAACGAGAGCAGCTGCAGTGACATCTTCAGAGAGTGAGTACAATAACCTAAAGTGAGGGAATTAGTCATTCTTCACCTTCTTTGCGTCACATTGTTGATTTGCTATTAACAACGGTTAACGGACGAAGAGATTGCCAACCCCCAACCCCATAACTTCCTATTATATCTGTAAATCCACATTAACCAGACCAAATTGTGGATTTGTTTATGGAAAGGCAGGACATCTAAGATTCAAGAAGTTTTGCTTCAATTCAATGAATTTTATCACAATTTTATATCTACAGACTGCTTCTTCTATAATCTTCATTCTCTTGAGTCCTTCCCAGGTGTTTTGGGACTGAATGAGTTCACGAAGAATTTCTTCTCCTTTAGGCACACATTGAAGAAAGAAAAGATCCTCATGAGGACTATTTATTATTTCCCAGAATTTTGATGCCTATAAAGTTCCAGTAGAAAATCACAAAATGAAACATAAAAAGTTCCTTTGTGGCTCCTAGGACCTACATTCTTAGAAGATGAACCCTGAAGCTCACTGCATAGGCCATTTCTAAATTCCTGCTTTCAGGGAAAGGATCCTACTGATGTTTTCAGATAAGCAGAAATCCTTGAAATAAACGCAGCATGATCTACCCTCTGTGGGCTTCGAATGGCTTCATGGGTATAGGCCATGTTTTCTCAGCTATACCTTAAATGCCTTGAACAGTGGGACTGTGTTATGAACCAAAAGGAGCTCAGCCTCTCTTTGAAATATGAAAACCTCAGGAAATAGCACATAATGGCAAGCTCAGAAAATGTCAGACAGCATTTCCCAACATGTGCTGACTCTTATGAGTGGCTCCTCATAGAAAGGATTTCACGGACAAAATACTTGGGATATAATCCAACCATAGGCTCTTCTTGACTAATATGAAATCTCATTCTTGGTTCTAAGAAAATCTCACATGTAAGAAACCAGTTAACTTTTATTCCATACTTTCCAAATTTCTTTGACCACAGGACTTGAGTTTTTTTGGTTTCTTTTTGCAATAGGACTGCATTCTACTGAACACAGATTTGGCAAAGTACAAGTATTTTCTATCTTGGGATGACTTACTGCAAATCCCGGCTCTGCCATTTTTCTAGGGAATTGCCCTATCCACTTACAATTGAGTGAGCCTAAGCCAGTCATTTCAAATTCAGAAGCTCATGAATACAGTAAGACATGCTTCAACAATTATTGCAAGGATAAATGAGATAACATAGATGAGATGCCAATCACAATGCTTGGCACACAGTGAAAGCCTACAAACACTAGCTGAGTCTGCATCTGAATTTCTGCATTGAAGGAATCAAAATAAAAACAAACAAAAGCCACTTCTCATAATGATGAAGACTCTCGTGACAGGCTTTGTGAAGCACCAAATAGCACACAATCCAAGACTGAATATCACTATTTACTGTCTAAGTCTTTGTAGCAGGTATCCATAGTAGAAATGCTTAAGTAACTCAGTACACATCCTTAAACGCTTTCAGGTTTATTGCAAAGCTAAATTAGTAAGGTAGCCTGAAAGGCAGACCTTTGTGTTGAACTTCTTGAGGAAACACATCTTGGACCTGAGGTGCTAGAAAAGCTGTTCAAATGTTTTCCTGGGGGATGCAAATCATTTTCCGAATATTAAATAGAAATATCATGACATTTGATTACAACATTAGTGCTGGTCTGGCCACAATGCTGAACATTTATTTTACGCTGTATGCAATAGAAAAGAAAAACATTTTGCTAAGAAAGCTCTTGTGGCCTGATAGGTTCAAGTTTAAAAGGAAGTCTGATTTCCGGCTCTCTTTCACTTTTCAAATAACTGAGTGCATTAATTTTAAAACAGCAAGGAATTGATTTTCCATTGACTTCTAAACAGAATCTCCTTACACTAGGGAAGTCCAAGTCAACCCTGTATTTGAAAATTAGCATACATTTACCAGACTTCCAATCAGAATGGAAATCCCAAACCCATCTTTCAACTGCACAGCACAAGTTTGTCTTTGAAAACAGTGAAGCAGCTTTCTGGGAAAGGGTTATCTGGTCCCAGACTGAAACTGGAACACGTTAGTCACCATTTTACCTTATTAAAATCTAGCAAAACAGTGGGCAAAATAAAATCTCTGACTGGTCCACTTAATTTGAATAGAAATCGTCAGTTAGCATCCTGAGAACAGTGTGAATCAGGAGGAAGAGAGAGGCTGGATTCAATGGGCGAGAAACACACTCAGTAATGACTTATACCTTCAGATGTTTCCAATAAAAAGGGGGTGGTGTTTTCTCTAGACAGGTCTGGAGTCTGGAGAAGATGACTCAGATTCACAAACTATTTCTCAGCCACTTTTTTTGAAGGCCATGAATCTGAAATGTGAGATTCAGTGTCATTGCAATCAAAAAAGAGCCATGTTAGACACATGAAATGCATGTGAGCATGATAAAAGTGAACCAGGTTCTAAAAGAGGGTTTCCTTCACGCATGAAGTTTGCAGCTATTTTGTGATGAAAATATGTCCAGTGTTTACAATCTAAGCACTTCAAATATGGGCTCATTGAACTGGTTTTAGGACAAATGTCTTGACCTAAAACTTCACTGAGAAATGTCATTACTCAAGTCTTCAATTTAGATAAATTAAAAACTTTGACGTATGAGTTCGAAGAAAGGAAAAGAGGGTGAGGACATTAGTATTTATGTAGCACTTTCTTCATTCCTGGGAGGCACAGTGTTAGTTCATTTGCACACACGCTTTCATTAGTTCCTATTACAACAGCATGAGGTAGGCATCATAATTGCCTTTTTATAAAAAGATGGAGAGAGGATAAACAACTTCCTAAAGATTACACAAAGAAAAATTCAAATTCAGGTGTTCTGATTGTGAAACCAGGACTTTTTCTTTCTTGTCTCAGTTATCTGCAACATGTGTTTTATAAATCAGAGGCTTGGGTGTTATTTAGTAGGATAGCATTGTCGTTCATTTTCTGGAATGACTTTAGCATGTCAGTCTTCATTCTTCTAAGTTAGAGAAAATTATCATAGCAAATATTATTGAATGACAGAAAATGTGCTAGAAACTTTATATATATAATCTCCTTTAATCTCTAGCAAGTCTAGGACAAGTTTTAGTCTGTATTTTACAGAGAAAATGGGAATGCACAGCACACTTTGCTCAATAGCACATAGTTTGGAAGTAACAGGATCAGGATGTGAGCCCAAGTAATATGAGTCCAGGTCTGTTCCCTCAGCCATTATTCTATGGTTAAATATGCATTCATGCTGTATGCATTTGCTTTACAAAACTATTCTGACCATGGTCAGGAATATTCACACTGTCAATGGAATCAATACATAACCTCACTTTTTGTCCACACAACATACTCTGGCTATCTACTTCCCAAATGATGAGACTCGATCCTGGGAGTGTAGTTGCTTTGCAATTGAGTATCTCATTCTGGCTGATGGGCTGTTATTAAGATCATGAGCCTAGCAGTCAAAGACAGTGTTCTGCAATGGACTTATTTATATTTGCAGATCAATTATTTTAAAAAATCAAGTATTGCTCTATAGAATTGCACTTGCTGTGAAAGTATAAAACAAAGGACTGCAGTGGGTAGCTTGGATGCACATTTGAATGTACTAGACTTGAACCACAAGCATGATTGCCTATAGTAAGGATGAGTAGTGTGCCCTCTTCAGACCCTTCCTTTACAATAGCAAGCTTATGTGTGACCAACATGAAGCACACTGACGTATAAAGTTCAATTTTAAAAAAAGCAATCTCCCATGCACTTTGATGCATTTATCATCATTCTTAAATATTATCATTAATTGCTCAAAGGTTATTACAGTTTTGTTCAAATATGTCAGTCCAACTCATTTGGAGAGTTCATACAGATTTTAGTTGTCCCTTCAATCTGCATAAGAGCAAAGAAGGTATATTTCTTCTCCGGCAAAGTCCACAGAGACAATGCAGTCATATAATTACACACTGATAGTTAAACTTTAGTCTTAGTAATAAGAAGAGTGATGTTCAGTGCTTTAATAGAAAAGAGATAATCTGCTCAAAATGAGTATAGCTAATAGAGGTTCTCTCAACTGTTTTTACAGTTTTATTTAAAATATTTTATCTTTTTAATATCTGGATTTGCCTCCAAAGGTAGCCTACAGCTTTTCTTTTAAAAAAATACTTTATTTTATTATTATTTTTTAAGTGCTGGGGTCCACATGCAGGATGTGCAGGTTTGTTACATAGGTATACGTGTGCCATGGTGGTTTGCTGCACCTATCAACCCATCACCTAGGTAGTAAGCTCAGCATGCATTAACACTTTTCCTTAATGCTCTCCCCTAAGTGCCCTCCCTAGACAGGCCCCAATGTGTGTCGTTCCTTTCCCTGTGTGCATGTGTTCTCATTGTTCAGCTCCCACTGATAAGTGAGAACATGCGGTGTTTGGTTTTCTGTTCCTGCGTTAGTTTGCTGAGGATAATGGGAAGCCTATAGCTTTTCTAGTTCATTTTCTTTCTTTCTTTCTTCCTTTTCTTTTTTTTTTTTTTTTTCTGACATATTCTCACTGTAGTGCCCAGGTTGATCTTGAACTCCTGGGTGCAAGGGATCCTCCTGCCTCAGCCTTCCAAAGTGCTGAGATTATAAGTATGAGCCACTGCACCCAACTGCACCCAGCCCTCCAGCTCATTTTCTTTGTCAAAAGAGTCTCAGTGACTGTTCCCCAAAAAGGCCACAGTGTCTTTGGCAGAGGTCCCATAGCCCTTGCCTGGGAAGGGCACTTGGAGGCATAGTTAGGCATGTGAGGCTAAGTCTGGCCTATGATCATAAGGTACACAGTTCAGAGAAACCCGGAAGCTGGATTTGGAGTGAAGGTAGGTCCAGGAAGTATGAGGAGTTCCTAAATATTCATTCCCAATGGATATATTCCCATATCCCAATGCACACTGAGTGTTCTTGCACACCAAGGCAAGTCTTAGGACACAAAACGTGGAGAGATGCCCTGAGCAATGAATGGTCAGTGGCAGGACCGGAGCCATTCAAGTTAGGCCAATGTATTTTAACAAGACTTGCAGGTAAGCCACAGGCTTGTTCACGCATTCTTGAATGTAAACATTCCCAAATGTTATTGAACAGAAATTAGACAAGATTTTGTGCTGACATAAGCTATTGTATCACAAATCAAACTTGTACATAGCAATTCTCTGTTTTAACCCGAGTGTCTCCTCCCACATTTTTAATGCTGAGATATTTTGTCCTGATCATCGGCCCTCCACTCAGGCGCTCAACTCTATGGAATATTTTTCTAATCCTTCTCATAATGCCAACATAAAGAGTTAAAAATTGACAATAAATTATAAGCTAATATGTATGTGTCATAATAAACACAATACAGAGTGTGGAGGATTTTTGTTTCTTAAATATCATACTTTATTTTGGTGCAATTTTTATAACTTTTAAAACCCTTTCATTGTGTTCCAAAAACTGAGCAACTATTAATTAACATAATTGGTTTTGTTTTTCAATTACATGTTTGTGTTTCGTAAGTAACATCATTTTGTCTGCACTTGGACAGGCCCAAGCCCCAAATAGAAAAGAAAGAGTGTTCAGCCTAGCCTAACCTATGTTCCTGCATGCAGAAGTTCTTCAGGTCTGGGAACAGCTTACTGGGTTCAACTTAATGAAGGACAAAGATTCCTCAGAAATATGAAATCCATAGATCATAGCAGAACTCCCTTGCAGCTCACATTTTAAGTCCTTCCCCCAAACCTCACACTCTTGTCCAAGAGCTGTAACAATTAAGAAAAATAAATTAGTAGGCTTACATTTTTTCTACTGAAGTAATGTAGATAAGTGATTGTATTTCGTATCAGAAACTCTGGGATCAAGATCCATTCCCCCAGTGATGGAAGTGAGCATGGAAAAGTCATATCATCTCTAAATCGTCACTTCCTAATCAATCAAATAGGGGGCAGGAATACTTTCTCTACCTTGAATGTCTCACAAGATTGCTCCTTAGAGCCACCAAAATATTATGAAATACAGTAATTCAGTATATTGCAAAGCACAAAGCAAATGTAATAACTAGGGCTGCCAGGCTTGGGTAAAGAGGGGCTGCAGTCCAACCTGAGGTCGGCTGACAAAACCAACCACTCTGGCATGGCACTGCTTTACTTACTTATTTTTGCTATTCACACAAAGGGACTATTTGGATTAACAGAGACCTGGGTGGTATAAAAGAAAACAGAGCTCTGTGAATATTACATAAATATATTTATAATATCATTCAATTACATCCATCTCAAAGTACAGAATTTATAATAGGGAAGCCTGGACTCTAGTCCTGGCTTTGCTGGAAATCAACAATTTTAAGTTATTTCCTTAGCTACTTTGAGCTTCTACTTGCTCATTTGTAGGATGAAGAGGTTACCTTCTCTCTAATCTGGATAATTAAATTAAATTCATATATTTCTTTAATACTCTAAAAATGTAGACATGTTCATCATTCAATGGATGCTCTAACTGCATCTGATCTAATTATCTCCCTTATTAAAAAATTCCTGGCAATCTGTAATTGGTTCATAAGAACAACAAACTATCTTTAAAATCCAGAAAATCTATGTAGTCAGCCACCACAGGGTGCAAATGAGGCCAGGTGTTCTTTATCCATGGCAAAGATCCACACCCACCCTTTATCTTCTTTCTCCATCACGTTTGGTCTCCAAATTCCCTTACTCATCTCATTCAAAAATTACTTGATGATTATTGTGTAAAAGATAATTGATTTAATTATTTTAGCCTAAACCAACAAAGCTAAACATCACATGACAGTACTACCTGCTGGCCTCTCCAAGGGCTGAAGTTTTAAGGCTCTTGATTTAAATTATACTTGCACTTAAAACAGTGGCTTCACAGAATCATGAAGAGTGTGGTGACAAGGAGGCTTGGGGAGCATCCAGTTTGTCTTCCTTGTTTGTAGAAAAGGGGCTGGGGCTCTAAGTAGAGCAGGGACTGGCCCCAGATCACCTCTTCATGAGTGGCAGTGTCTGAGTAAGAAACCAGGATGTAACTTTAGGTACATCGCCTTTCCAATGACATCATGATTTGGCTTTGCCAGTCATACCTCTTGCCATTCTCCACCCTGCTCTCTAAGCTCTTGGACCTTCCAAAGCTGCATCTAGTGCCTGGACAAACTAAGAACAAGCAGTCCTTCCCCTGGAAGCCCATACACCAGGGCACACAGCTTCATAAACAGATCATGAGTGGGCTTACCAGAATTTCTCCATTTATGCTAAACTTTCCTCCACCTCAAGGCCTTTACATTGGCTGCTCCCTCTTCCTGGAGTACAATTTCTCTCTCCATAGATTCCCATAGAAGTCTCTTTATCATCCTTCTCGCCTTCCTCCTTCCTCCCTCCCTCCCTTCCTCCGTCCCTCCTTCCCTCCCTTCCTTTCTTCCTTCCTTCCTTTCTCTCTTCTTTTCTTTTTGACTTCCTCTCTTCCTCCCACTCTCTTCTTCCCTCCTTCCTTCCTTCCCTTTCTTCCTTCCTTCCTTTCTTCCTCCCCTCCCCTCCCCATTTGTCCCCTCCCCTTTTCTCCCCTTCTCTCCTCTCCTCCCCTCCCCGTCCATCCCCTCCCCTTTTTTCCCCTTCTCTCCTCTCCTCTTCCTTCCTTGTTCAAATGATGCCAGTTCTGAGAAGCCTGTATTTATCACCCTATCTGGAATCTTTGATCCCACCATTATTCTCTTCACCGTTACTGTGCTTTAATTTCTTCATAGCACTTATCAGTCTTCAATATTATATTTACATTGCTCATTTTTTACTTGGTAATTTTCTAATTTTTCCCTCTCAGCATGTAAGTTTCATGAAAATGAGATCTTGTTTCTTGTATTTATCACTTCATTCTCATTTCCTATGTAAGTCTGGGATCTAGTAGGTGGTCAATACATATTGCTGGATGGTCAGATGAATGAATGAGTTTATAAATGAGTTATACGTCTCAGTTTCCAGAGGGTTCTCCTTTTACTCTCTTTCAGCAATGAAGCTTGTTGGTTTTGATGCTTCTAAGAAACTAGATTAGCCTAATTCAACCCCAGTTTAACATTTTTTAAATGTCAGCTCTCCTTTCCTCTATTAACACTAAATTATTTTTATTCTTTATGATCTCATCTTACAGGGCAGTCCACTATAGATAGTAATAGAATCTCCCAAGTTTCATCTTGGATAGAACAAAAGATTCAGAAGTCAACATGCTGTTAGTATATTTTATTTGTTTCAAACTGGTGGGAAACTTAGCTTGTCTTTATTAAGTATTTGTAATTGTAGATACTTTGTTCATATTGTACTGCTGACAAGTATGCTCTGAAGCCAGAACTATAGTTTTTCATGTCTGTGGAGTTCTCAGCAAGTGGTGTCATGCTAATTACTTTGTCTTCTGTAAGCCCAAAATATTAATGGATAATAGGTTAAGGATCCCAGCGGAAAAATACTGGCAAGACTTCTTACCTATTATGACATTTTTATTTAGCTCGGTCTTTATTTTCCAATCTACTTTCTTTAGAGTTACTTCATGTAAGAGTTTATTATTCATAGTAAGAACATTTTTTTTTTCCTGTGGCAGAGAGAGTAGTCTAGAGAGTTCAGTTGATGCAAGGGCAAATTCAAAAGCAATCCAAGTAGACTCTGGCCTCTGTGTAGAGCCAAATCCATCAAACAGAGGAGATGAGACAGCAAAATGTACTCTTTCATTAGTTTCTACCCACAGAGAGTGGTTTTTAAGGGGGGAGGGAACACTTGGTTGCTTTATAAAAGTGTCTTCTTGTCTCTCCAGGATTTCCTGTTGCCTTGAGGAAAATTTGTTTGTTTGCAGATTAGGTCTATTCTTGTTTTAATTTGATAGAAATTTTAAAGTAGGTGTTTTTAAAAAATCCTTTTTAGAGACCTCATTTACTTACACATTCACAAGGCTGGACTCCAAGGCCTTCAAAGAGCAAAAAGTACACTTAATTATTATTCAGAGTTTATATAGCTCCTAGCATAGTTTCCAGCATATAGTAAGGGCTCTCTAAGTGTTTGTAAGTGAAAGAATGGATGAATCAATGTGTGAATAAGTAAATAAAGTAAATTAGTAAATATTTTTCCTACCTGAATATTGATAATAAGAAATTAATAATTCTATTTGCATAATTATTTGAATGTATCTCAACTCCCTGTCTCAATCTAAGAAAATTCTAGAGTTCCCTGTAGATTCCCTTGAGGCCTCTGTTGCAACTGCATCATGGTTCACCTTTTATTGCCTAATCCTGCTTCCAGCTTTTCCTTACAGGTGTGGTTCCCAAATGCAGTTCCCAATAAATATCCCGCATGCAAAACTCTCCTGCAGAGTCTGTTTGCAGGAAATCCAACCTAAGGCATCATTCTGAGACTCAATTTTCTGTTTTTAAAATATGAAAGATCCCATTTATCCTATAAGACTGTTACGAGGATTTAAATAAACTGTAGAAAAGAAATGCCATTTTGGGCCTTCAATAAGTGTTAATTTCCTTTTCTTTTTCCTCAAATTGTGTCCACATATGAAATCCTTTGCTGCCACAAAATAAGTGGTCAGCACATACTTGTAGCATGAGTAAAAAGTATAAATGTTCCCACGTGTCCTTTTATTAACCTGTGGGGTGATATCATGAGTAAAGGTCAAGATGCTCAAAGGCCAAGCCATCTCATGTGGATTCTGTAAATGAAACCTGAACGTTTGCATTTAATATCATTTGCTTGCAACAAGTTTGAGTTTCTCCCTTTCTTAAAGGTAAAGAAAACTCCAAAATCAAACTAGGCTCTTTTTTCCCCCTTTTATCAGGGGAAGAGGGGCTTTCTCCTTTTATTGGGAGCTCAGAATTGCCTTTCTCCTTTTATTGGGGGCTCAGAATAGCTTTGACCAACAAAGAAACTAGGTTGCCTGCCCTAGTAGTGGTTGTGAAGGTTCTTCTAAGAGTCATTTGGTGACTCTTTTTCACCTGCAATCTTAAACCTGACATTTACGTCTGCCTCCAAAGAAAAGCCACTGGGGTCTTAGGCAGAAGCCCAGCCAGCTCTCTCCATGTATCCAAACATCTTCTCTTCTTTTGAGAGAATGCTGAACATATTTATTGAGCTTTCATTGCATGTTAGGCAGCAGTTTTTACAGGCAGCAATTAACCCTGTATGTTCTATATATTAGGGTGGACTTTAGGCATCAAGGTGCAGGTTCATGCCTCAGTTTCCCTCCCTGTAATGTGGAGGTACATACTCTTTGGTGACGGAGAAGTAGAATATTTTGTTTAAATACAGTGTAGATATGTATTCACTCAAATACACAACCCACTTTTAATGGACTCTTGATACCAGGAATAGAAGAATAAGAACAGTTAGATCTAGCGTTTACTGAGATTCTTTCATGTGCCAGGGCCTTATATTTGGTATTAGTCAGCTGTTGTTGCAATAATGCTGCATAAAAGGAAACAAACTCAAACAAAAGGCTTATGATCAACAATAATTTGTTCTAGGGGTCATGGGGTTGCACTACCACTTAGCTGATTGAGGCTGAGCTTGGGGGGGGGCTTTGCTTCAAGCTGTAGGTTTGCTGGGCTTTGCTCCAAGAGTATGCTCAGTACATATTTGCTTTTTGTATGTTTGTTTGGGGGCCAGGGATGAAAAGGCCAAAGCTACCTGAAACACTCTCCTCCGAGGGAAAACACACCCCCTACACTGTGATTCTATGGTGTTTCTTGCTCTTCTCCATCATAATCTGCCTATAATTACATAGCAGGTGTTTGTTTACCAGAGCTTTTGAGGGACAATAAGTCCTTTTACCTGAGCTTTTGAGAAGCAATTCACTCATTTCTGAATCCAATACTTCAGAAATTTCATGGCACACAGAAGGAGCTCAATAAATGTTTTTGAGTTAACAGATGCATAAGTGAATAAAATCTTTATAGATCTGTACTAATACCTTCTAAAAGGGTTGTGCTAAAATGATGAATGGTTGAGTTACAATTTGTAATTAGGACAAGCTTGACCTGCTTGGGCAGTCACTGAATCTTTTGAAGTCGACATCATGGAACACAAGTGACAAATGATCCTTTCATGTCAGCATTGGTGCTGTACACCGGGTAGAATGAACCACTGATCTGACCTCGTGGGTTTCTTTTTTGTATTTATTCATGGGAACATGATTAAGTAATTGAGAGATTTCAGCAATCATCCACACATGGTTTTGAGCCCTTCAAAACACTGCATTTGGAATTATTAGAATAAAAGTATTTATTATCTACAAAATGTTAAACAAGAACATTTTCCAGTAACTCAGCCACCTACTCCCTGGAGAGAAGTTCAAAAACAATTTCATAAAAGCAAACAAAAGGCATTCATGATGAGTCTTCACATCACAGTAGCAATAGAACTGGCTTGCAGAATCTCAGCTTGAGTGGGAAGTAAACTCCCATAGAAGCCATGGAAGTTACAAAGTTTTACTAGGTTCTTCAACTCTTAGAAGTGAATGATGCTGGACATGTCACTTAATTTCTCTGAGTCTCCATTTTCTCATTTATAAAAGGGACATAATAATACCTAAATGCTAGGTCTATTACGAAGGTTAAATGGGACAACAGACGTGCATTGCTTGGTGACTTCTTCTATTTTTTGAGGCAACATCATTTTGTTTTTTAATTTCAAGACTGTCTATTATGTGGACTATTGATGGCACTACCATTTTCTTCATGTAACTTTTCTTTTGCTATAGAAGTATAAAATTATTTTACTATCTATCATTATCTAAAATCTATCCATTATCAGTATGATGTGTGTAAGTTGCATTAAATTCTTTATTAGATGGTCTGAATTCTAATTCATTTATGGCCACTAGCAATTTCTGTGGCTCAGGCTTTCTGAGCCACCATTTGGTTCACGGGACATTCATATTTAAAGCTTATTGAAAGTATGAGTCTACAAATTCTATTATCTCTCTATCAGTCTACCAGTCACTACCTATTTTGTTATTTATGTGTCCACCCATCTACTCATCTATCTGTCCGTCACAAACACTTTTCATGCCTGACATGGTTTGGCTGTGTCCCCACTCAAATCTCATCTTGAATTGTAGTTCCCATAATCTCTACCTGTCATGGGAGGAACCCAGTGGGACGTAATTTAATCATGGGGGTGGTTACCATCATGCTATTCTCGTGATAGTGAGTTCTCACCAGTTCTGATGGTTTTATAAGGGGCTCTTCTCCCTTTCACTCGACACTTTTCCTTGCTTGCCTCCATGGGAAGTAGGACATGTTTGCTTCCCCCTTCTGCCATGATTGTAAGTTTTCTGAGGCCTCCCCAGTCCTGTAGAACTGTGAGTCAATTAAACCTTTTTCTCAGCTATGTCTTTATTAGCAGTGTGAGAGCAGACTAATACAATGTCATTCACAAAATCACCTTATATAGTAAATGGATCATTCATATTAACTTGAGGCACTAGGTAAACCACTAATATTAACCAAAACATTGCTGAAACTGAAGCAATCAGGGTTAAAACTATTCTAGTGAATGAGAGATTGCCACACACATTATTATATACCAAAGTATATTATCTGACCAAATAAAAGTGAATTTGCAGCAAAGATGTCTAAAATATGCTTTAAGCTAACCCCAAATATGAAAATTTATATGAACTATACAAGTAAGTTAGAGAGTTATTGCCTATATTGTAATCAGTCAACACCAGAGTATTGTAAACCACAAGCTCTTCTGACATACTCAAATGTGATTTACTTTATAAAAATCTAATCCACATACAGATTTTTCTCAAGATCATATGTATGCCATATATTAGGCAAAGGTAGTCTTATTTACCATCCCCATTAAATATGAGCAATGTAGATGTCTCTATTTTTTCTTCAATTTATAGTTTCAGATCTTAGTTGTATCTACTCTGAATTCAGCTTCAAAGATAGATTCTTTTCTAGCTTCCTCTTCTGTTCCTACTGTTCTTGCCACTGTCTTAGTTCAGACCCATACGATTTCTCTCCCAGGGATTTGCCATGGCCTCCTAACTGGCCTCTCTGCTTTTGAAGTCATCTCTCTTCAGTTCAGTTCATCAGCCAATCTGGTGATTATTAAAGATATAAATTCAACTCTACAAATCTACTCCAAGATTTTCTATTTCCCTTAGGTTAAAGAACAAACCTCTCAGCATAGCACACATCACTTTTCCTGCCCCACCCATCCTCATTTCTCACAACCCAATCACCTACATCAACATGGTGGTAAATGGAACTTTTGTACTCTTCCTTAAACTTTCTTATCCCTCTGTGCCTTTCCATAAGCTCTTTTTTTTATTTGTAGAAATGTATGGGGTACAAGTATAATTATGTTACATGCATACATTGTGTAGTGGTGAAGTCGAGGATTTTAGGTTATTGATCACTGAACATCCATCACACAATTAAGTAATCTCTTACCATCCACCCTCCTTCCACCCCCTCACCCTTCCAAATCTCTGATGTCTATTATTCCACACTGTACATCCATGGGTACACATTATTTAGCTCCCACTTATAAATGAGAATATGCATCATTTGACTTCCTGTTTCTGAGTTGTTTCACTAAGATAATGGCCTCCAGTTCCATTCACGTTACTGCAAAAGACATGATTTTATTCTCTTATGGCTGAGTACTATTCCATTGTATATATATACCACATTTTCTTCATCTAATCATTCACTGATGGATTGATAAACACTTGGCTTGATTCCATATCTTTGCTATTGTGACTAGTGCTGTGATAAACATAAGCACTTTGCCCTGTAGAAAATAGCCTTTTTCCCTTAATACAGCGGAATTCTATTTCTTCCATTGGTCAAATGCTTTTTCCTCCAGAAAGCAACCTCTGATCTCATCATGCACCTACCCTCCTCTTACCAGTCTTTTATAGAGGGTCTCCTTCCTGCTTCAACAGTCCCTTGCTTAACATACTTGATGCCTAACACTGTACTCTAATTATCTGAAAATATGTCAGTCCCACAGTACACTGTGAATGGCTGAGTGCAAAGATCCAGGAGCCTAACATAGTGACTGGCCCATGTTAGGCATTTAATAAAGTTTGTTAGATGAACAAAGTGAATAAACTTTTTAAAGCAGCAGTCACTTGGTTGTCAGGCAAAAAAAATTCAAACGAGAAAGAAAATTACCATACAGGATGATTTGTCTGAGTGCTTTGTTTCCCCGTCATATTATGTCAGGGATCAAAGGATAGCATTTTTCCCTCTTCAAATTGAAAATAGCTTTGTTTTTACTGCTTTTTTGTTCCTCATATTAAAAAGGAGCTTTTGTGTTTGGCTTTAATATGACTGGATTGTCTCTACATTCATATCCCTCGATACCTGGCTTTTCACCATAAGTCAGCAAGATCAAAATCTTCTCCTAATTACCTTCACTACCTGCTGAAATATCTGCTGCTGGGAACATGTCAGTTGCTCCAACAATTATGCTAGTGGTAACGGCACACATTCTCACGAGGCAGGGTGGTGATACCGGACTTCAAAGGGCCTATGCCAAGTGGTGATGTATATTGCAGTTCAATTAAAGCGTAATTAAAGTGGCATACTACATTCTAACTTCTGCTTGTGTCGAAGATAATCCATTCCAATAGTGCATGCCATCACCTCTACAGCAGATCCTAAGTTACAAGGACAGGAGCATAGCTCTAACTCCTTCAGCATTCACCCACATGAAGATGACATTGCGTGGTCGAGGGGGCAAATTTATTGCAGTTATGTGTAATGAGCTGCTGGTTTGTGCCAGGTGAGGTATCCTTATGAACAATATTTCATCAACTCCTGGTGGCAGGTATTATTTTCCTCATTTTCCAGAGGGGTTAGCTAAAGCTCAGGAAGGTTCTATGATATACACAAAGTCATGAGAACTTTCACTTACTAAGTGTATAACCTTGAGCACATTTTCTAAACTCTGAGATTCAGTGTTCTAATTGAAAAGGGTGAATGCCTTTATCACTGGTCACATACATACACACACACACACATATATACACACACACATAAATATGTATTTATGTACACATATAGATACACACATGCATACATACCCACATCTACATGAGGATATATATACTTGTCTATATCTATGTGTGTGATATATATATACACACACACACAGATATGTGTGCATAGAAAACAAGTTGAGTGATGAACAGAATAGGTACCCAGTAATTGTTTTTAATTGTTGCCATTTTGTTTTTGTTTTCAAAGGCCTCCAAAGCAAGTGATTCATTCAACCTTCCAGTGTTCTCATGCCTTATGACACATTAACCTTCATGAACTTCCTATTCTTTCTGTCAAGGAGCAAATGGTAAAAACACCAACACTTGGTGGGGCCCCAAGGTGACTGAGAAAGACCACATGGAGACTCAAGTCTTCTCATGTCTGTCTCATTCATGCAACAGTAGTCCAAGGGCTGATGGACTTGTTGGATACTTGCAGGTGCAGGGGGTCCTTGGGACAATCTTGGAGAGCTGTTTTTTTCCTGATCTCTCAGTAGTGACCTGTTACAAGGAACTGAGTTGTTTACTGTGGTTAAGAGCACAAAATCAGAAGTTAGAGAAGTATGAGTTTACATGCGTTTATGACAGCATTATTTACAATAGCAAAGTCAGGAGTTAACCTAAGTGTCCATCAACGGTGGATTAGATAAAGAAAATGTGGTACATAAACACTGTGGAATAGGACACAGCCATAATAAAAAATAAAATCATGTCTTTTAAAACAATGCAGATGTAGCTGGAGGCCATTATCCTGAAGTGAATTAATGCAGAAACAGAAAATAAAGTGTCACATGTTCCAACTTATAAGCGGGAACTAAACAATAGATACACATGGATATGAAGATGAGAATAATAGACACTGGGGACTCCAAAAGAGAGAAGGGAGAGAGAAAGGGGGAAAGGGGCTGAAAAACAACTTACTGGGGACTATGTGCCCTATCTAAGTGATGGGTTCGCCAGAAACCCAAATTCAGATGCCTCAAAAACCCATTTAACAAACCTGCATGTGTACCCCCAAATCTAAAATTTAAAAAAAGATAAAAGTATGAGTTTATACTTAGATTCTGTCATTTAGTAGTTGTGTAAATTTAAGCAAGTTACAAGACCTATCTAAGCCTCAGTTTTACCATCCAGAAAACGGGGATGATGATAATAACTTACCTCATAGAGCTGTCAAGGGAATTAAATGAGATAATGCACATAAAGTGCTTGGCACTGTCGTGTTCTTATACTCCAATACATAAACTTATTATTATTATTGTTATTACTCTAGCGTCCTTTCTTACTGTCTCTCCTAATCTCATCTCTTTTTACACATACATACTCTCATCTACTCTGAGGCTCACTCAGATTTTCAAATATTTTTGAAGGTGTTATTATGCAGTGGACTGAGTGAGTGAACACACAGGCTATATGCAAACTACCTCTGGAATTCATTCCACCCCTATCTTTGCATTTCAATCAGATTCACATTTCAAAGGCCCAAGCCATGTCTGACAATTCTCCTGGCAATAGCTACAATGAAAACTTGAACATAGCCTCTAAGCCTTTCTAAAAGCAAGATTTCCCAGTTATCATAATTAACCATATTTCAGAATATACAGAGTGCTATCAGTGAGCAGTATCAAACCTTCAGAATCATCAGCATAAAACTAGGTTGAGTTGCATGGGAGAGAACTCTGAACCTGATTCTATCACTTCCTGTCTAAAAGTGAATCAACCATACCAGAGTGGTGACTGCCCCAGTGTTTGGGTGTAACAATGTGTCAACAACTTCTAGGAATAGAATTTATGTTTCAACTGCAGGGCAAGATTTAGTGAAGTATAAGCTTGAAGTTTTGATATGCAGATTTAAACACAGAGAGCAGAAGACCAGATAATGGAGGATAAAAGAGAAATAAGGAGGAAGAAAGGGAGGAGTGAGAAACAGAGAGACTTAGATGGTTGTCATGCAAATACTTGGTATTGCAAGACTCTTTTCTAAGTATTTGCTATCTGTTAAGAACTTTCATTTTCCCCTGATATCTACTATATCTTTTCAGCAAAGGATATTTTAAAAAATTCCAAATGCTTAATGAATTCTCATAAAAGGTATTAAAATTAAGAAAAAAAGATTCTCAGTTTTTGAAGAATTATAGTAGGTCCTTAGAAACTTAAATAGTTGGCAAGCTTTCAGATATTCCAAATTTACAGTAAAACCCCAGTTTTCTAGAAATAAGTGATTCTGTGGGGTTAAATTTTCCTATAATTTAGTATTCATATGATTGAACGTTTTTTCCACTAATATATCTCTCCTACTTCCTAGCTTTATGAAGCTCTGATGTATACTGTATCACGTACTTTTAATCTTTCCTTGATGCCTGAACATGTTCATCATTATCACCATATAGTGACCAGGGTCAACGTGAGTGTCTGGTGTATTTCTGCCTTACACTAACTGGCCTCAGACTGCTGTGTGGTAGTAATTCTGACGTTTGTTTTTAAAATGGATTTCTGTCCCTTTCTTCTCTGTAAGGTGTTCAGCAATTACACACTGTTTTGGGAAACATGTCTGCCTGTAATAGAGCATTTGGCTCCTGTCTATTATGGCAAAAAAGAAATAAGAAAGAAAATACAATAATTGAGTTTTAATTTATTTAATTTCAAAAACATGGTGAATGTCTACTCCATGCTAGTCATGTGTTAGAAGATGGGGATACAGAAATGAATAAACCCAAGTAGCCTGTGGGCTGATGAAGAAACAGGCATTTAAAAATCAGACACAATACAATGCCATAGAGATTCTTACAATGGTAAGAACCAAGTGCTTTATAGGGATCTCAAACTCTGATTCCCACAGAGATTGACAGGTAAGATGAATGAGACAGGAACATAGGTTGCAAAAGAATATAGGAAACTGTCCTATGGGAGAGGCTACAGTTATGTCAGCTGCTACTTAGTTCCAGTTCATGTTTATCAGACTGATGTCGAGGGTCCAGTGTGGCCAGATCCTCATTGTTTAAATTGTAATTTTCTTATTTTAAAATCACTGGTCAGGCCAGGTGCAGTGGCTCAAGCTTGTAATCCCAGAGTTTTTGGAGGCCAAGGCAGAAGAATTACTTGAGACCAGTCTGGGCAATATAATGATACTCCACCTCTACAAAACATTTTAAAACCTCGCATGGTGGTACCCAAGAGGCTGATGTGGAAGGATCACTTGAGGCCAGGAGTTAAAGGGTACAGTGGACTATTATCACACCACTGCACTGCAGCCTGGGCAACAGAGCATGACCTTGCCTGTAAAACATGAAAATACAAAATACAAATAAAAGCACTAGTTGGACTTGATCAAGGGATGCCCATTTGAGATCCTTGAGTATAATGGGAATAAAATGAAAGATGTTTAATTGTGACTGTAAGGTTACAATTGTTACCTCTGAACTGAGCCTTACAAGGTGAGCGCAAAGAGAAGGAGTGACAGTCTGTAGACTTACACTGTCTAGCATAGAGTATGTCTCCTTCATTTGTGTGTCTGTTTCTCCTCTCCTTTCTCAAGGTCAGGGATTTGGGGCATTCAATACAGACTGCAAGGGCCAAGACCGTTTGCCTCCTGGAAGTTCAAAAATTACTAGCATGAGGCCAATTGATTAACAGGAGGAAAGGCATACAAATTTATTTAACGTATATACATGGCAGTCTTCACAATGAAGACCTAACCTCTCAGTGAGGTACAAACTTATAAAAAATCTTGAGATTACTGGAAAAAAAAAAAAAAAACGAGCGCTTTGATCTTGGTAAAACAGGTTACAGGGGCAGGGGGAAAAGAGAAATTCTGCTAAGGGGTAATAAGTGATTACTAGGGAGAATGACTGGATTGGGAAACAAAAAGTAACTTATAAATAATATTCTTTGGAATTTCAATGTGTATGAGAAAGAGGCATTATCTTGTGAAAGAGTCTGTGCAGGTGTGGTTACATTCTCGGTCTTTTAGGGAAAGAAAGAAAACTATTGCTCTCTTTGGCGGGTCTGGATCTGAGACAGATAAAAGAACCTCAGCTTTTTTGGGAGAGACTATGAAGGTTGTGGGGGGATGGTCTGAGAGACCTTTAGGTTTCTTCAGTTCAGCATGTCCATTTGTCATATTACGGGGTGTCAACTTCTGAACCCCAACAATAGCTATTTTATAGATTTTTAGAACCTCAGAAAAAGGTAATATCATGTCAAATATAATGTGGATACGGGCCGGGCGTGGTGGCTCCTGTCTGTATAATCCCAGCACTTTGGGAGGCTAAGGTGGGAGGATCACTTGAAGTCAGGAGTTTGAGACCAGCCTCGCCAACATGGTGAAACCCCATCTCTACTAAACATACAAAAATTAGCCTGGCGTGGTGGTGTACACCTGTAATCCCAGCTACTTAGGAGGCTGAGGCAGGAGAATTGCTTGAACCCAGGAGGTGGAGGTTGCAGTGAGCCAAGATCGTACCACTGCACTTCAGCCTGGACGACAGAGCGAAACTCTGCCTCAAAAAACAAAAAAACAAATATAATGTGGATATAAACATGTAAGATGTAGTGGGTATAAGTGTTTGACTTTTCTTCCTTCTTCTTTTCACTTATTGAACAAATGATACTGGAGACAGCAAGAAATTATTTCGGCAGATAGCGAAGGCAAACGAGGCCTCGGCAGAACTTCCCTTCTAACAGAAAGCAGCCAAAGTAATCATTTCTTTTCTAACAAAAGGCAGCCTGAAAGATCAAGCTGAAAACATAGGTAAGAAAGCTGGAAGCTTGCGTCGTGGGAGGCCTGCAGCTGCACCAGTAGAAAAGGGCTACCTGAGGGCCAGGCATGTTGATCATGGGGCTCCACCTTCCCTTTTTTGTTAGCAGGTGTACAATGAGAAAAAGGGCAACATGGAGAAGCTCAGGAAGAGAACCCACCTGCATAACAAAAGATTAGGGTGGGGGCTGCAAGTGATTCGCACCCTTTGCAGATGAAACACTTGGTCCGAACCGGGTTTTTGTGCCCTGTGTAAGTCAGACACCACCTCCCCACTAGCTCATCTATAAAACCCCTGCTGCATTTCACCACAGATTGGCAACCCATTTTTCCAAAACCCCTCTCTATAGCAGAGAGCTATTTATTCTCTTTCTTTTGTCTATTTCATTTCCTCTCTTAACCTCACTTTTTGTGTGTCCGCATCCTTGATCTCCACCGTCATGAGACAATGAACCTCAGTGTCACCCCAGACAACAAGACCACTTCACAAATAAGTGTTAAGAGTCTACTATGTGCCAGACACTGTTTTGTGTACTGGCAATATAGCAGTGAACCAAGCAGGCAAAGCCTCCATTCTCATGGCACTTACAGATGAGCTGGGAAAACACAGGCAATAAACAATTAAGTAGACTCACAATGAGCATACATATGAGTGATTTGGGTTTATTCAATGTATATCTACTCATTGTATATATATTGATCTGCTTATTGTCTATATCTTTCCAGCTAAAATGTAAGCATACTGTATATATGTAAGCATATATAGATACCACATATAAATATATACACACATATTGATATATATGTGTGTATATGTATGTGTGTGTATATATGTATATACATACATATATGAAATAATTGCTATGGTATAAAATAAAGCAGAGAAAAAGTTACAGGTTGTGCTAGGCTAGGTGTGAAAAATATTATTCCTAAATATAGGAGGTCAAGGAGGATCTTACTATTTCAATTAGAAGATGACTTTTAACAGAACTGTAAAAGTTGCATGTATTTCCAAGTGAAGGATGGTCCAGATCGAGGGGCCTGCAAATGAGTTGAGAAAATTCTTGGAAGAGCACAGAGGACAATGCAGCTGGAGAAGATGGGCCAAATGGAGAGCAGTAGGAGACAAGCTCAGGGAGTCAGCAGGGGCCAGATCCCCCAGGTCCTCCTGGCCCCTGTAAAATGAGAAGCCCCTGGGAGCTTTGAGTGGAGGAGTGACATAATCTGACTTAAATTTTGAAAGGATCACTCAGTATGTTGTGTAAAGAATAGAATATAAAGAGCAAGGATGAAATCAGGAAAAACAAAAAACTGTTAGGAGGTACTGCAGTTAGCCAGGAGAGCCATGAGAGTCGTGACAGTGGTAAATATTAACAACTGCTCAGGTTCTGGAGATATTCTGAAGGTAAAATAGTTAAGATTTGCTGACAGATTGGATATGGGTTGAGAAGAAAGAGAAATGCAAAGGATAATATCAAGATTTTTTCCTGAGAAATGGAAGGGTGGAATTGCCATGTACTGTGGTGTCAAAGATTATGGCAAAAGCAGATTTGGAAGAGATGAGATTAGGAGGTGATTTTGGCCATGATGAATTTGAGATGCCTACCAAACATCCAAATGGAGGTGTCAAGTAGGCAGGTGTATACGCACATCTGGTGTTTGGAGGAGGGGTCTGAGCTGGAGGTATAAATATAGTAGTTATCAGTGTGTGGATGGTATTTCAACATTTTTATCTAGTAAGATCAATTGAAGAGTAAGTTTAATAAAGAGAAAAGATACAGGGACTGAGTCTTGGGTCACTCTGTTACACGTATTGAAGACAGTAATAAACCAGGAAAGTGAGGTTGAAATAGGAGGACAACCAGGAGACAGTGACTTTCTGAAAGACAAGTGAAGAAAGCATTTTCAAGAAAATGAGGGGATCAACTGTGTCAAATACCATTAAGTAGGTCAAGAAGGAAGCTGAGAATGGTTCTCAGATTTAGTAAATGAAGGTATGTAGTGACCTTGATCAAAGTTGTTTTGGTGAAGACCAGATTGGGAAGAGTTCCAAAGAGAAAGTGAGATAAATTAAAAACAGAGCTTCCTGTAAAGGAGACAACAGAAATGATATAAATGTGAGTTCAGGAGGTGGAAGATATTTTATTTTTCAGCATACTCCTGGATGACAGGAATGAGTCAGTAGAGACGGGATACAAGAGAAAGGAAATACCCTGAAATGACATCCTTGAATAAGGAGAGAAGGCATTTAGGAAACAAGTAGAGGAAATGATCTTGGATCTTGGATTTGCTAAAGGATGATGAAATATGTAAGTTCAGAAACCAGTAGATTGGTATAGATGATGGTGTACGTGAGGAAGTTCTCTTGTAATTGGTTCTATCTTCATTAAAGTCAGAATAGTTATTAGCTGAGAGTGAGGAAGGGGGAATATTGGAGGTAAAGGAAGAGAAGAATTAGACAGTTATTTAAGATATTGGGAAAGTGGATGGATTATGGAAATATTGCTGGATTGTCAGGTGGCTTAATTGCCCATTTGAGATTAGGTCATGTTATGTGAAACAAGTTAATATGCTTGTATATTTTTCACAAGCCATTTCAACTATTCAAAGTACAGGAATAAAATAGAAAAAAATGTTAGATTTAACAACAAATTGAGATTTTGCTAAGTGAGGACAGCCATACATTTTACTGCACTTTCTTTTATTATGCTTCACAGATATTGCATTTTTTACACATTGAAGGTTTGTGCCTGCATCAAGCAAGTCTACTGACACCATTTTTTTTTTCAACAGCATATCCCCACTTTGTATCTTTGTCACATTTTGATAATTATTGCAAGTTTTCAATTTTTAAGTTATTATTATATCTGTTATGGTGATCTGTGATCAGTGATCTTTGATGTTACTATTGTAATTATTTTGGGGAACAATAAACTGCACCCATATAAGACGGTGAACTTAATTGATAAATGTTGTATGTTTTATGACCACTTCAACCACTGGCCATTCCCCTCCTTCTCTCTCCTCAGGCCTTCCTATTCCCTGAGATCCAACAATATTGGAACAAGAATAATTAATAACCCTGCAATGGCCTATAAATGTTCAAGTAAAAGGAAGAGTCGTATACCTCACACTTTAAATCAAAAGCTAGAAATGATTATGCTTTGTGAGGAAGGCATGTCAAAAGCCTAGATTTGATAAAAGCTGTATATATTTGTCCATTCTCACGCTGCTAATAAAGACATACTTGAGACTGGGTAATTTATAAAGGAAAGAGATTTAACTGACTCATAGTTCCACAGGGCTTGGGAGGCCTCACAAAACTTAGTCATGGTGGAAAGGGAAGCAAATACATCCTTCTCCACGTGGCAACAGCAAGGAGAAGCGCTGAGCAAAAGGGGGAAAGCCCCTTATAAAACCATCAGATCTCGTGAAAACTCACTCACTATCACAAGAACAGCATGAAAGGAACCACCTCCATAATTAAATTACCTCCCACTGGGTCCCTCCCATGACACATGGAGATTATGGAACCTACAATTCAACATGAGGTTTGGGTGGGGAGACAGCCAAACCATATCACTAGGTCTCTTGTGCCATACAATTAGCCAAGTTGTGAATGCAAAGGAAAACTTCTTGAAGAAAGTTAAAAGTGCGACTCCAGTAAACACAGAGATGATAGAAAAAAGAAGTGAAACATTTTTACTGCGGATACAGAGAATGTTTTAGTAGTCTGGATAGAAGAACAAATCAGACATACCGTTTCCTTAAGCCAAAACCTAATCCAGAGCAAGGCCCTAACTCTCTTCAATACTCTGAATGCTGAGAGAGGTGAGATAGTTGAAAACTAGCAGAAGTTGGCTCATAAGGTTTAAGGAAAAAAGTTGTCTCCATAACAGAAAAGTGCAAGATAAAGCAGTAAGTATTGATATAGAATCTGCGGCAAATTATTCAGATGATCTAAATAAGATCACTGATGAAGGCCACTACAGTACACAACAGATTTTCTATGTAGACAAAACAGCTTTCTGTTGGAAGAAGATGCCGTCAGGGACTTTGACAGCTTCAAAGGAGAAGTTGATGCTTGGCTTCAAAGTTTCAAAGCACAGGCTGAGTCTCTTGCTAGGGCCTAATGGAGCTGATGACTTTAAGTTGTAGCCAGTGCTCATTTTCCATTCTGAAAATCCTAGAGTTCTTAAGAATCTACTTTGCCTGTTCTCCATACATGGAGCAACAAAGCCTGGATGACAGCTCATATGTTCACAGCATGGTTTCCTGAATAAATGTACATTATTGACTCATAATACTCATAACAGACTCATTGTTGTGACCTACTGTTTGGAAAGATTTTTTTCAAAATATTATTGCTCATTGACAATGCACCTAGTCACCCAAGAGCTGTAAGGGAGATGTACAGGGAAATTAATGTTGTTTTCATGCCCATAAATCAAGCAGTAGTTTTTGGCTTTCATATCTTATTATTTAAGACATATATTTCATAAGGTTATAGCTGTCATAAATTGCAATTCTTCTGATGGATCTGGGCAAAGTAAATTGAAAACCTTTGGAAAAGGATTCACCATTCTAGATGCCATTAGTAACAATTGTGATTTAGGGAAGAAGGTCAAAGTGTCAACCTTAACAGAAGTTTTGACAAGTTGATTCCAGCTCTCCTGGATGACTTTTAGAGGTTCAAGACATCAGTGGAGCAAGTCACTGCAGATGTGGTAAAAACAGCGCAAGAATTAGAATGAGAAGTGGAGCCTGAAGATGGGACTGAACTGCTTCATCTCATAATAAACCTCGAACTTATAAAAAATTGTTTCTTATGGATGAGCCAAGAAAGTGGTTTCTTGAGATAGAATCTACCCCTGGTAAAGATGCTGTGAACACTGTTGAAATGACAACCAAAGATTTAGAATATGGTTTCTGCTTAGCCAGTTGAGCAGTGGCAAGATTTGAGAGAACCGACTCCAATTTTCAAAGAAGTTCTACTATGAGTAAAATGCTATCAAATAGCATCACATGCTATAGAGAAATCTTTGTTAAAGGAAAAGTCAATTGATGTGACAAATTTCATTGTTGTCTTACTTTAAAAAGTTGCCACAGCCACCTTAACCTTTAGCAACCACAAGTTTTATCAGTCATCAGCCATCAACATCGAGGCAAGATATTCCCCCCAGCAACTTACTGAAGGCTCAGATGATCATTAACAGTTTTTAGCAATAACATTTTTAAAATTAAGATATATATTAGACATAATGCTATTGCAAACTTAGTAGACTACAGTGTAGTGTGAACATAACTTTTATATACACTAGGAAAAGAAAATGTGTGTGACTCACTTTATTGAGATATTTGATTTATTGCAGTGGTCTGGAACTGAACCTACAATACCTCCAAGATATGTCTGTATAAGGAGAAAGGGGCAAAGGATTTGAGAGTTTAATGAGCATGATCTCAATAATGGGCTGTGGAATATAAGCTTTCCTCCTTCCTCCTGCAAATGTTTAATGATAGCCTGTGAAACATCATGAGAATTTTGGGGCTAGAGAAATGAACAGACATGGTTCTTGCTCTGAGAAAAGAAATTATATTATAGTCCATTATTTCCCAAACTGTAGTCATTCAAATGTCCCATCATATTTTTGTTATATCTTTGTGCTCCCTGTATTATCATATAGTGTTTTTTAAAATTATGTACACTTTTAAGTCTTAATAAACTTATTTGAAAAGACATTATTTTTGGTCTCAATGAAAAGCCAGTCTCATTTGCCACAAATAGAAGGTAATTGTTAAACCCAATACAATTAAAACAGTATATATAACTAAATTCAACCCAGCTACTTTATTTGCTGAAGGCTCCAAGCCTAGATTTGCTGTCTGTTTGATAAAAAAGGAGATTATTAAATACGAAAGAGTTGTTAAGGACATACTAGCACAAAACTTAGCCCTTCTCCAGTCATTAGAAGGACTCAAGGGAAGGCAAAGGAGAATGTTTTCCACTTATCCTTAACTGTTATGAAGTGCACCATATAGTACAACGTAAAAGCAACTCTCATCTCTTTAGCGATGCACATCCCGTGTTTAAAGAAATACATATTCAGTAGGAAGACAGCCATACAAACAAGTACAATATACGTGGCAACGATGAGAAACAGATTCTAGCTACAGCATAGATTGTGAAGAGCCTTGAAGACCATAATAAATCAGCTCATCTTTCATTAAAAAAATTAAGTTTAGAAATCAAGAGATGACTTGAGGATGAGTGTTCAGGGAATTGTGTTATTGTTGAGTTAGAAACTAAATCTGCAAGAGTCAGACTCCATAGAAAGTATGCCACATGGTGATGGATTATCCATTCAGCTGCACCACAGATGGCCATAGAAGGCTCCACCACCAGAATGGGGTTAGTATCATTCTCTTACACTGAGGCTTGTTTGGGACATGAACTTCACCTGCTCTTTTTTTTTAAAAACATTAACTTTCCATTCTGTGCTAGAGAAAAGTAATGTGAAGGCAGAGATGCCAGTTAAGAGAGGAAGTTACCCAGGTTGGAACCTATAAAGCCTAAAATAAGTTAGTAGAAGTTGGAATGGGAAGATAGAGTTGGAGATAAAAAGCATTTGACTGTAGTATCTGTAGGGCTTAGTGATAGATGATGGATTAGGGCAAATACGTGAAAGGAGGAATGATCCTAAGATGATAAAGTAGTTTGCTGATATTTAAGAGTATGTGGAATGTGAATTACAATTTAAGAGACTTGTGTTGTCAAACTTCGTGAACTATTTTAGCTGGAAAGAGGCTTTTCTGGCTTATTTTCTGCTTCTTACCCTTGAAGCTGCAGACAAACGAAATTGCCAAATATAAAACTTTCTTATTTATAAGGCGTGTCTGAACTATGAATTAAATATTAGAACATAAATAAAATTACTTTTTATTTAAATTTTAGATTTCTAATAAAGGCTTAGCCTGAAATTTGGCATGAGAAGGCTCCATTAAGTGGTAAACCCCATGAAGACTGCAATAATATCTGTTGTTCAATAAATAGCTATTTAATAAATGAAAATATTCTAAATCTTGCTATGTCAGTTTTTTACTTGATCAAATTGTTTTATTTGTTTCATTAAAAGTATTCATTGTGAACTACTTTCTGCCAGGCAACATGCTTTATAATCAAACAAAAACATTGTCAGTTTTCACAGATCCTTCTAGAGGATGAGATAAAGTATAATAAAACAACCACACAAATAATTTTTAAATAGCAAATGTAATTGCATGCTACTAAGGCAGCTATGAGTTGTTAGGAGAACATGAATACATTCATTTACTAATTCAATAGTTATTGGTTGAACCCTAATGTGTAATAGGCACTAGCGATATATATATAAGGTTAGTGCAAAAATAACTGCAGTGTTTGCAATATAAAATAATGGCCAAAATCGCAATTACTTTTGCACCAATCTAATACACACACACACACTCACACACACACACACACACACACACACACACATATATATATATGTTAGCTCATGCAAAGGTGATATATTAGCTTTTGGTAAATAGGAAAAGGGATAGGAGTGCAAAGGAGGTCATGATTTTAGACAAAGTAGCCTGGAAAGGAAGAATTCAGTGGGAAGGTAACTTTAAGTAGGTGAAAAAAGCCATCTATTTAGGCTTTCTCTCTCCTGCATCTCAATGCATAACACTTTAAGAAACCAGGGTTGTTGCGATGATCAAATGAGATAACATAAGAGAAACCATCTAAACTAGGACCTGGAGTCAGTTCCCAACTGAATGAATCTATTCCCTGGATTCAGAAGAGGTGCTGAAATGTGGTCCTCATATGCCTACATATTCTCTTCCTTGTTCCACCCAACTTCTAAAACAAATAAATCAGCCTCCCCAACTCATTCTTAATGTGATAAGTTGTATTTGCTTGGAACTACTACTTTTGTACCTAGGCTTGCTCCTGTTCATTCAACTCTTTTACCTCTGCAGTGCTGCAGAAGCCAGACTTGCAATATACTCTTGTTTTTTCTATGCATTGCTTGAGGCCTATAGAAAGGTAAGACAAATAACATTCAGTGGCAGTTCTAGGTCAGAATGCAAAACACCCTGGACAAATTTCCTTGTGTGGGTTACAGTGTCTGTAGCTAGTCGTAGCAGATTGGATAGCGCTCAGTTTGTGGGGCAACTTTGGTAAGATGCATACCCTTTTTAAACCTGTCTTCTCAGCCGCAAAACAAGAAGAAAGCTAACCTTTTCTGACCCCTTCAAAACATAAAGAGAGGGAAATAAGTTAATGTTTGGAAAGGCCTGTGTGACCCTTGAAGCCAAGACATTATCAAAGTACAAAGTAAATTACAAGAACTGTTTGCTATCCCATTAGTAACTCAAATAGTACAAGGGGCTCCACCTGTCAAATCCTAGTTAGGCTTGTAGTGCACACTTGCTTTGCTCATGAGGATAAAAATGGAAATAAAAGAGTTGGAAACTCTCATTGGGCTCATTTTTAGAAAGTTTTGCAGTAGAAATCCTTATAGGCACAGACAGGTTCTCTTTCATAGGTGCATTTAGCCCCAGTCCCTTCACTGAGCCTTGGAGCCTGGAAATAAGGTAAGGATTGGAGCTTGGAACCCAGAGACAAGATGTGAGGACTTTTGTGACTGTAGTCTAGTTTCTTAGAATCACCGGTTCTCTATCTCTGGACGTGTAAAATGAGAATCATCATCACCAACATCATAATTACTTTTTGGTTATGATGTCTCTTTAACATAATTAAATAGCTAAAATATATGGACTGTTAACTCTTACCATGTTAATCACTCTATTATACTATCTCCTTAAATCCCCACAAAACTTTATGAGATGTGGCTTATTATTATCCTTAATTTTCACACAAAAAAATGAGGCAGTGAAAGGTTGAATAAATTACCCCCATTAACAGCTCTCAAAAGCAGGGAGCATGAGATTCCTTTCCCCACAAATCTGCTGAGCTGACTGAAAAATGAAGCCCTACCTCTCTGAGTTCCATTTGCCTTTATATACACTAGAACTGGCATGGAGTGGTCAGTACTCCCCAGTGTTATCCATCTGTGGAGCAGAAATGCTTTTTGATTTGTAAAGCATTATTAAAATGATCCTATTCAGATTAATAGTCACATATCCACAGGACAAATGTGTCCATCAAACCTTCCTGCAGGACAGCAAGCACTGAGGTATTTGTTGCATCTGCCTGTCTAGCACTGGATGGATGCAAAAATAAATTCATTCTAGCTAAGATGAGAAGAGTGAGGGCTGGTGCATGGCTGTACTGAGTCAATACTTCAATTTCCCAAAGGTGTATTTAGTCTCTTTTCAACCTGTTTTCCTACAGTGTTAAACCAAATTGTAACTATTAGAATCTGCAATTTATTCCCTAGTATAATCGCATACTTATAAGGGATAGATATTTGGGATGGGGGTGTGAGAGAGGGAGGGCTGGCAAAAAGCAAATAGAAGTACAAAACATTTGGCTCCTGATAGAACATTTTTAGCAGCCTTCAAACGTCTTTTATACACTAAGCTTCATTCAGATGAGAATTGGATCTCACCCCAAATTAGACAGCAATGTTGTGAATTAGGTGGAATGGAGAGCTAATATTTCTTCCATTCCTAGTTGCTTGGAAGAAAAGACAAAATTTGACTGCATGTTTATGAGGCAGAGAGAGAGGCCAGTATTTGAGGACTGATATTTAAATGAACAACTTGATTTTTGCCAAACTTTGATATTTAATCTTTTGGGGATAGGAGAGAAAAGGGAAAAAAATGTTGACTCATCTAGTATTTGCTAATGTCTCAAAGGACTGTGGTGGGTAGGAACAGGACAAGAGGACTGACAAAGTGGGAACTAACCATCCAGATCATTAGAAGTCGTAGATACACTAAGGATCCTGTTGGTCTTTTAATTCCAATGCATCTTCTGCAACGATATTCAAACTATGCCTAGGGTAAAGAAAGTGGATTCTAAAACAACCAAAGTAACATTCAGTTCATTGCAGAAACCTCTCAAATATATAAAATTGGGTATCACAAGATTGAAAGCGACAAAGAGATGTCTTTTTTTTTTCATATCAAGAGGTGATTAAACACCATTGTTAAGTGATCTCCCAGCCTCAAAACTTAGACATTCTACTTTTACCTTTCACAAAGTGGTATCATATGAGCATTAAGCTCACACCAATTCAGCAACACTCAATCTCAACCAGGACAAAACAATAAATTGTTCAGGTTATTTCTCCCATCACTCTACTAATTTCTACTTCAGCAATGTGCTGAATAGGGTGTCAAGTGCAGAAAGAGGGACATATCATTTTCTGGAATTATAAAAAAGTAAAAACCTCCAGGGATGTTGAACCTACTCTCCTGGAAGGATATATGTCAGTCTACAAAGTGGCCTTGCACACTTTTGTAATCCATTTTCAAGATAATTTTAATTGTACATTAAAAGAAATATCCCACACTGACTTTAGAACTTTGTCCTTCAGGAAGATACAATCCTACCATACTGCAATCAAACTGATATTCCAAAACATGACAGACCATGTATCACCCTAAACAATGCTTTCACATTCAATCATTCCACAAATATTTAATAGGCACCTACTATTTTGTTACAGGTATTGGAAATACAGTGTTACACAAAACAGAAAATATTTCTTCTGGTGAGCTTTTATCCCAGCAGAGAAAAGCAGAAGGTAAACAAATAAACACATACTAAGCAAGATGATCCCAGGTAATAGAAAACATTAAGGAGAAAACAAAACAGAGTGATGGAGAAATTGGTTAGTCAATTTAAGATGGAGCTGCAGGAAGCATTCCTTCTAAGAAGGGAATATTTATGCCAAGACATGATTGGCAATTGGTGGGAAGGAGTCAGCACAAGAGCCTCTGGGATGGGGGAATCAGAGACATAAATTACTGCAAAGTCCTTGAGACAGGAAGGAACTTGGCTTATTTGGGCAGCAGACAGAATATCAGCAAAGCTGTATCTTCAGAAACATTAGCTACTAGTAAGCTCTTTTTCAGCATAAAAAACACTACTTGATCTGATACCACGTGACTTTCCAATTTCACCACTCCACACTCTTTCTCTTTCACTCTCTCTAGTTTTGCTGAACTATTCGGAGACTTCTCATGTATGTACCAGGCTGTTCATGTCTCCACTTATCAGTACACACTGTTATCCCTGCCTGAAATGTGCTTTTCTATTTTGTAACCTAGTGAATCCCACTCACTTTTGAAGATAAATCTTCCCTTTCATTCCTGTAGAATCACAGAGAGAAAATGATTAACTGCCCAAATTATCCAAATTTCTATCACCATCAAAGGGCTTTGCTGCTTCTTTTAGAGCCTATATTCTAATTGAGTATTCCTTTTTAATGCTCTTCTTTGACTTATCATAGAATTTAGCATAACTTTTTAGGTTGTAGACTCCAGAAAAAGCACACCTTTCTTATATCTAACACAAAAATATACGTCAGCAGTCAGTACATTAATCAATTATTTCCCCTTCCCTTCCCTTCCTTCCTTCCTTCTTTCCTTCCCTCCTTTCTTCCTTCTTCTCCTTTAGTTCATTTAACTAAATTTCTAATTCATTTAACTAAACTTAGGTATAATATTTGCTGCTTCCCTTCTCCTCATCCCTTGCAGCCATGTTATTAGGCTCTGACTTGACAACACATGCTTCATCTACTCACCTTCACAAAGTCATGTTGTTACCATCCTCTCTCTTCATTAAATATGATCCTGGTGGTCTTGTGTTCTTTCTTCCCTTCCTATGCACCAAAGGCCTTTACTTTGTTAACCTCTAAAAGGGACTATTCCAGATCAGTCTGCTTCATGCAGCAACCCTCTCTGCGCTTTCTGTCATGTCACCACTTATTTCCTTCACAAGACTTATCAAAATATTTTGTTTTCTAGTTTATAGTTCACCTTTTACTTTAACATAAATTCATTGAGGACTGAAACCTTGGATGCTTTGTACATCATTGTATCCTAGTACTCAGCACAGCATTTGGCACATAGCAGATGTTCAGTATGTACCAAATGAGTAAGTGAGTGAATGAATAAATGAACACGTACTTGAACACATGTATCATGCCAAGCTCTGTGTTAGGTAATGGAAATTTTTTTTTTTCAAAACCATGTTCAAATATATATATATATTTATTTAAATTTAATTTTTTAAAATTATTACTTCTTTTTTGATAGAGACTGGGGTCTCACTATGTTGCCCAGTCAGGCCTTAAATTCTTGGCCTCAAGTGATCCTCCCATCTTGGCTTCCCAAAGTGCTGGGATTACAGGTTTGAGACACTGTGCTCCACCGATTTTTTGAAAAATTAAATCATGGCCTTTGCCTTTGAGTCCCTTTTTCCTTCCTTGTAAGTCTAGCCTTTCTTTCTTCTGTTCTCACACTTAAGAAAAATATTGATTAGTACATGGAGTTAGAACCTCATGATAATGCCCTAGAAGAAAGATCATCGGTTTCATTTGGATTAAAAAAAAAAGTTAACTATGTCCTTAAAAGAGTCTCTAACCTTCGGTAGTCATTTTGTATTCTCTTGAATTTGATAATAAGATGGTGTGAATAGGTTAGATCAAGTATATCCCCTAATTAGCACTCATCACAGGGTACTGTGGTTAATGATTTATATACCTTCCTTACCAGACTCTGAGATATTCAGTGGAAAGCACTGCATCTTGTTTATTTTTGTTTCCAGTCTTCATTTAGTATCACAATAGGCATACTAATTTTTTTCTAAGACAACAACCTAGGCATAAACTTAATTGTTTTTCAGAGCATGTATAAAGCTTTAGAGATTATGTTAGCTATCTTCTAACTTTTCAGATTTGAAAAATGATGGGAAGCATTGTGTTCAAAATAAATGACAAAGATAAAACTGTGACTTGGGTCTACGATTCCATGACTTGAGTACTTCTTCGTTGTTCAAAGTCACATCTTTATCTGAGAGGAAAAAAAAAAACCACCACTCTTGGGAATCATGCTGCTTAATGGAAACTTTGCTCTCTTGGGACAAGGCAGCAAACAATAAATTAAAAATAAATGCTGAGCTGGCAGGAAGATGATGTTTTATCCAAAGATTGCACAGGCATATGCCCATAGGACAGCAAAGAAATTCTGTATTCTCTGAGTTCATGATTAGCAACAAAGAGCTGTAAATTGTCACTAAATTCACCTGTTAGGTGATGCTGGAGAAAAACATTCCCTTCTGAAGACTGCTTTACTTTCAGTCACAATAAAGAATTAGACCTGAGAGCAACTTGGAGGCACACAACAGCCACTCTTTTTGCATCCTTACATCCATAGGATTAACAATTTTCAAATAATTAGCATGATGGTTAATTTTGTGTTTAGTTGACTAGGCTACAGAGTGCCCAGATAGCTAGCTAGACATTGTTTCTCGATGTGTCTGTGAGGATGTTCCTGGAAGAAATCACCATTTGAATCCATAGCCTGAGTAAAGAAAATTGCTCTTCCCGATGTGCATGGGCATCATCCAATCTATTGCAGGTCGAATAGAACAAAAGGCAGAGAAAGGGAAACTTCTTTCTCTTTGCCCAACTGAGCAAAGTGAGACATTGGACTTCTCCTGCCCTCTGATCAAGACTTGCGTCAGCTGCACTCTTTGTTCTCAGGCTTTCAGACTTGAACTAGAACTTACCCCATCAGTTTTCCTGGTTCTCAAGAGTGAGTTGTGGACTCCAGAAAAAGATAAATTTTTCTCTTGCCTAACACGAGACATAAGGGTTTCTTGTGTCAACCCTTAATAAATTAATCAATCATTTCTCCTTCCTTCTTTGAAAAGAAACATACCACCAGCTTTCTGAGATCACCAGCTTGCAAAGGGCGCATTGTGGGGGCTTCTCATCCTCCATAATCATGCAAGCCAATTCCTTATAATCTCATTCTCTCTTTCAATACAGTCAGCCCTCCACATATGCAGGTTTTGCATCTGTGGATTTAACCAACTACGATCAAAATCAGTGATTATGGTGGGCCAATAGTACTTATTTATAATCCATGATTGGTTGAATCACAGAATCCTATGAAGGGCCAATTGTGCTATGCTAATTTAGATAAGGGACTTGAGCATCCTGTAATTTTGTTTTTTGTGGGATGTCCTGCAACCAGTTCCCCATGGGTTCAGCGTGCTGAACATATTTATCTCTCTCTCTCTCTATCCATTTATCTATCTATCTATCTATCTATCTCCTATTAGTTCTGTTTTTCTGGAGAACATTGACTAATACATAGCATTTTAAGTTCTTGAATAGTTAGTAAGCCTTATAGGTGACAGATGTTAACTATGTTAACTGGAACACTCAATTTACTGGAATAATTCTATGTTCCAGATTCTTGATAAAATCCTCATTTAATTTCCTTGATTTTCTTAATACATTGGGGAGCAAAGATAATAAGGGAATCCATGAACAGTCAGGATATCAACATTTATTGAGCACTTTTGTTGGAGGTGACAGCTTTCCAAAAACAGTTCAATAGCCATAGTTGTCCTCATTGTTTATGTAGCATCTAATCAGTTTCTTACCCAAACTTTAATGTCAGTTCCCTCTTGGTCTTATTAGATTACTTTAGTGTTTCATCTGTCAGATTTCATCTATATCTAAATAGCCCATATTCTTGACCTTTTATCATCTGCTCTGCTAATGTACTCCTGGGCTATGCATGAAGCCCTTTTGATGGTTTAACTATGTTTTGCAAACAAAGGCCAGACAGCTGGTCTAGGGAGAACTCCCATCTGGCCTAGGCAATTCTTTCTTCTCAAAAACCATTGTGTTAACCCAAACAATGTGAAGTGGAGTCAAAATTTACACATAAACAAAATGTAAAAAATAAAAATTTTTAAAAAGCCACTTGATTTTGAAAAACATTCTCTCTTGTTCTAGGCCCCCATTCCTGCTGATGACAAAAGAAGCTGGGAATTGGTCCTTAACTTTCCATTCTCTTCCAGTTTAAGGCAGTCTCTTTTCTTTTATCTTGCCTTACTTTTACTTGTACAAATAATCTGTAGATTTAAAGTTCAAATTTCCTATTAAGGATATTTGTTTCTTCTGTTAAGAAATCTCTCCTCTTTGCTTTCTATCCAGACTGGTATCTGAGCAGAGGAAGAAGCTTCTATACTTTGGTGCTGCCCTTTGTTTGGGATGCCTTTTCTCCTTAGTATTTGGACAGGGATTCCTCTGAGGAATTATTTATTACTGAGGTAAAGTTACTTTGGCACAGGTGATGCTCTGTTACCTCTTCTGGATAGCTAGTTTCCACAGGAATTCACCCTGGCTCTAGCTGCACATCTCATTTACTCCCGAAATTGGGAACACTATTATGCATCCTCAAAGGCTTTGCCCCTCCCATTCACAAATTCAGTCTCCAGCACTCCCTGCCCACAGTCTTCTAAATCTCCTGAGGTACTCAGGAATTTCCTGCTCACAAAAGGTAGGAAAGTAGAAGTGTACTCTTAGCATCCTTGCTCTGACCAAAGTTTTCATGCTACTGTCATAGTTGGCTTTACTCACTCCATGTTAGAAGACAGTTTCACCTCAACCGGAAATGAAACAAGTGCTCCAATTGCCTTTGGCTCCCCATATGACCCATCTGTGGTTTCTATCTCCAGGGTACCCCCCAAATTCACCCCATGGTTGAGATCTGTAAAAGGTGGTAGAAACTGCAAATCCCTGCAAAACCAAAGTAGGGTTCCTTCTCTACCTTTAATTCCTTCAAAATCTTTCCAACCACTATTTCATCCTTGAAGTAGAAAAGTTCTCTATCTCCTTTTGAAATAGGGAGAAGCATTCTTGGCCATATGTGGAGTTCTCTGTATCCATAGCTCATAATAATACTCCATATTCAAACCTTCAAGATTTTCTCTTACTATACAAGGAGAGATTTTTGAATTTAGAAATCCCCTTTTCTCTCTCACACACACACATGAAATTCTTCTTGTAAGACTTGTGACTTCCTTTGGGCTTTGCCTCCTATTTTGGAAGATAAAAGTTGAATATTGATTATTTTTCCTTTCTTTTCTCTAATCCTAATCTTTCTGGAAACAAATGGATGCTTTCACTTGTACAGAGAGGAAGGAAACATCAGGAGGAGAAAACTTCCAACAATATTTTAAAATATTATGTTACAATGGTAAAAATCCTTTATAAGCTCCCCAAAGGAAGAGTGAACGGTATACATTTTGTAATTTATCCATTTCATTTGGCCATATCAATTATACCACAAAGCCTTTACCGTGATGAATTTTCTCTATAAATTTGAACTGAATGCAATTCAAATCAGTTCAATATAGTTGCAATCAACAGATATTACTGAGTACCTGTTAATGTGCCAGGCACTGTGCTAAGTTGTAGGAATACTGATTAAGGAGGTACCTTTATCGTCTTTGAGGAGTGCATATCCCATGAAAAAACCAGGCTTATAAGTAAATAAATTAAAGTAAATTTAAAAATCAATGTAATTATTTCAAAGACTATGGGAATAGCCATAAGAGAAATCTTTGACAATCTGTAAGAAAATATACTATTGTGATTCAGAGAATGGAAAATCTAAGGGACTTGAGGATAACTCATGAAATGAGGTGATGTCTTAGTTGGATTATAAAGGATGACTCATTAAATGGGGAGCCATTCCAGGCAGAGGGATTATACGTGAAAAAGGACCAATGCATACCTTGGATAAAGAGACATTTGACTTCACTCACTATATGTACTCACAGAAGCCAAACATTTTTAATGCACTGATTAAATATTGTGTGCTGACAATCTAAAGGGCACAAAACCCAGTCTTCTTTGAGAACACCCAGTCTGGGCATAAGAAAAGGGAGACACACTAAGTTAATAATTAAAATTAAGGTAACCAGAGGGTGTATGGGACATAAAGGAAGAGAGTCTGGGTTGTGTACTGCACTGCACTTTCTAGATAGACTGCAAGAATGTTCACACCTTTTCTGGATGGCTGGTCATACTACTTAGAAGGCTGTTTGGGATAAAATGACCTTATTAGGAGGGAGTGGTACTTAAGAGAGAAGATTTTAGACAGAGACACTTAAAAAGATTTAGTAGCACAATTGGAGTGGGGAGGGAGTTGACACAGCCCCCATCTGGCCAGCTTTTCTGATATCCTGATTTGTATAAGCAATCATTTCTCCTTATCATTTAGGGATGTGCTGGATGAAATTTTTCTTTAAGAGCAAAGACAACTCAGAAAGATGAATGTGTGTTGCTGAGCTAATCAACACACAGAATTAATCAACCTGAGGGAGAAGAATCATTTATGGACCTCTCATTTATTAGGAAGCCACTAATTTGGCTTCTGTGATCACTTAGATTTTTATATCTTCTTTCATGCGCATCCGTGTGAAGAGACCACCAAACAGGCTTTGTGTGAGCAACATGGCTATTTATTTCACCTGGGTGCAGGAGGGCTGAGTCCGAAAAGAGAGTCAGTGAAGGGAAATAGGGATGGGGCCATTTTATAGGATTTGGGTAGGTAAAGGAAAATTACGGTCAAAGGGGGTTTGTTCTCTGGCGGGCAGGAGTGGGGGTCGCAAGGTGCTTAGTGGGGGTGTTTTCTGGGCCAGGATGAGCCAGGAAAAGGACTTTCACAAGGTAATGTCATCACTTAAGGCAAGGACCGGCCATTTACACTTCTTTTGTGGTGGAATGTCATCAGTTAAGGTGGGACAGGGCATATTCACTTCTTTTGTGATTATTCAGTTACTTCAGGCCATCTGGGCGTTTACGTGCAAGTCACAGGGGATGGGATGGCTTGGTTTGGGCTCAGAGGCCTGACATTCCTGACTTCTTATATTAATAAGAAAAATAAAACAAAATAGTGTTGAAGTGTTGGGGCGGCGAAAATTTTTGGGGGGTGGTATGGAGAGAGAATGGGCCATGTTTCTCAGGCCTGCTTCAAGTGGGATTAGGGGCGGCGTGGGAACCTAGAGTGGGAGACATTAAGCTGAAGGGAGGTCTTGTGGTAAGGGGTGATATTGTGGGGATGTTAGAAGAAATATTTGTCGTATAGAATGATTGGTGATGGCCTGGATATAGTTTTGTATGAATTGAAAAACTAAATGGAATAACAGAAGGAGAAAAACAGGTGTAAAAGGTCTAAGAATTGGGACGACTCAGGATATCTGATTAGAGAGTGCCTAAGGAGATTCAGCATAGTCCTACCAGCAAAGATTATTTATTTACTTCAAGAGTTAAGAGTGGCAGTTTGGGGATAGCACCAGGAGATATCAGCTGTGATGGCTTGGAAAAACAGTGTAAACCGGCAGTGTAAACAAGAGCAGGGCATGTATGAGGAGTTAGGAATGGTGAATAGGAGTATGACTAGACAGAAGATAGTAGGGATGACAAGTTTTTTGGAGCACAGTCTAAGTTGGTCTGGTGTCTGGAATGAGACTGGGGCCTAATAAAAAGGAGCGTCTATACAGGAGCTTAAATGGGCTGTACCCTGTAGCATTCTGAGGACAGGCCTGAATTCTGAGAAGGGGAAGTGGTAAAAGTATTGTCCAGTCCTTTTTAAGTTGGTGGCTGAGCTTGGTGAGGTGTATTTTAAGACCTTTAGTCCATTCTACTTTTCTTGAAGACGGAGGACCGTAAGGGCTATAAAGGTTTCACTGAAGAGTGAGAGCCTGAAAAACTGCTTGGCTGATTTGACTAATAAAGGCTCATCTGTTATCACACTGTATTGAGGTGGGAAGGCTAAACTGAGGAATTATGTCTGACAGAAGGGAAGAAATGACTGTGGTGGCCTTCTCAGACCCTGTAGGAAAGGCCTCTACCTATCCAGTGAAAGTATCTACCTAGACTAAGAGGTATTTTAGTTATCTGACTCAGGGCATGTTGAGTAAAGCTAATTTGCCAGTCCTGGGTGGGGCAAATCCTCAAGCTTGATGTGTAGGGAAGGGAGGGGGCCTGAATAATCCCTGAGGAGTAGTAGAATAGCAGATGGAACACTGAGAAGTTATTTCCTTGAGGATAGATTTCCACGATGGAAAGGAAATGAGAAGTTCTAAGAGGCAGGATAGTGGCTTGTACTATAGCATAGCCTGCCTTTGCTGGTGTGTGGCGATTAGGCCTGGTGGAACCGCCATCAATAAATCAAGCGTGATCAGGGTGAGGAACAGGAAAGAAGGAAATTTGGGGAAATGGGGTGAATGTCAGGTGGATCAGAAAGATACAGTTATGGGGGTCAGGTGTGGTATCAGGAATAATATGGGAGGCCGGATTGAAGTCTGGCCCGGGAACAACGGTAATTGTGGGAGACTCAACAAAGAGTGAGTACAGCTGAAGGAGCCGGGAAGCAAAAAGTATATGGGTCAGCTATGAGGAAGAAAATAGATTTTGGAAGTTATGAGAACCGTACAGAGTGAGTTGAACATAGTTTCTGATTTTGAGGGCCTCTAAAAGTATTAAAGCAGCGGTAGCCGCTGCACGCAGACATGAGGGCTAGGCTAAAACAGTAAGGTCAAGTTGTTTGGACAGAAAGGCTACAGGGTGTGGTCCTGGCTCTTGTGTAAGAATTCTGACCGCGCTAACCATGCCTAGGAAGGAAAGGAGTTGTTGTTTTGTAGAAGGTGCTGGGGTTTGAGAGATCAGTCAGACAGGCTTGGCAGGGAGAGCACGTGTGTTTTTATGAGAATTATGCCGAGATAGGTAACAGATGAGGAAGAAATTTGGGCTTGATTGAAGGAATGGGGGCTGTCTGTGAAGCTTTGCGGCAGTACAGCCTAGGTAATTTGCTGAGCTTGATGGGTGTCAGGGTCAGTCCAAGTGAATGCGAAGAGAGGCTGGGATGAAGGGTGCAAAGGAATAGTAAAGAAAGCTTGTTTGAGATCTAGAACAGAATAATGGGTTGTAGAGGCAGGTATTGAGGATAGAAGAGTATATGGGTTTGGCACCATGGGGTGGATAGGCAAAACAATTTGGTTGATAAGGCGCAGATCCTGAACTAACTTGTAAGGCTTGTCTGGTTTTAGGACAGGTAAAATGGGGGAATGGTAAGGAGAGTTTATAGGCTTTAAAAGGCCATGCTGTAGCAGGCGAGTGATAGCAGGCATTAATCCTTTCAAAGCTTGCTGTGGGATGGGATATTGGCGTTGAGCTGGGTAAGGGTGATTAGGTTTTAATGAGATGGTAAGGGGTGTGTGATTGGTCGCCAAGGAGGGAGTAGAGGTATCTTATACTTGTGGGTTAAGGTGGGGGAATACAAGAGGAGGACGCAAAGGAGGCTTTGGATTGGGAAGAAGGGCATCAATGAGACGTGGCTATAGTCTAGGAATAGTCAGGGAAGCAGATAATTTGGTTAAAATATCTCAGCCTAATAAGGGAACTGGGCAGGTGGAGATAACTAAAAAAGAGTGCATAAAAGAGTGTTGTCTAAGTTGGCACTAGAGTTGGGGAGTTTTAAGAGGTTTAGAAGCCTGGCCGTCAATACCCATAGCAGTTATGGAGGCAAGGGAAACAGGCCCTTGAAAAGAAGGTAATGTGGAGTGGGTAGCCTCCGTATTGATTAAGAAGGGGATGGACTTACCCTCCACCATGAGAGTTACCTAAAGCTCGGCGTCCGTGATGGTCTACGGGGCTTCCGAGGCGATCAGGCAGCGTCAGTCTTCAGCCGGTAAGCCAAGAAGGAGTCAATCAGAGATCCTTGGGCCAGAGTTCCAGGGGCTCTGGGAGTGGCTGCCAGGTAAGTTGAACAGTCCGATTTTCAGTGGGGTCCCGCACAGATGGGACACGGCTTAGGAGGAATCCTGGGCTGCAGGCATTCCTTGGCCTGGTGGCCAGATTTCTGGTACTTGTAGCAAGCTTCTAGGGGAGGAGGTTCTGGAGGAATGCCTGGCCGCTGCAGTTCACGCGTTTGGAAGTTCTTGTGTGCTGGAGATGTGGCTGGGGTTTGTCTCACAGTGGAGGCAAGGAATTGCAACTTTTTTTTATTATTGTACACCTTGAAGGTGAGGTTAGTTAAGTCCTGTTGTGAGGTTTGAGGGCCAGATTCCAATTTTTGGAGTTTTATTTAATGTCGGGAGCAGATTGGGTAATAAAATGTATATTGAGAATAAGATGGCCTTTTGACATTTTAGGGTCTAGGGCTGTAAAGCGTCTCAGTATTGCTGCCAAACGAGCCATGAACTGGGCTGGGTTTTTATATTTGATGAAAAAGAGCCTAAACGCTATCTGATTTGGGATAAAGAAAAAGGAGCATTAACCTTGACTATGCCTCGGGCTCCAGCCACCTTTTTAAGAGTAAATTGCTGGGTAGGTGGGGGAGGGCTAGTCACAGAACGAAACTGTAAGCCAGACCAGGTGTGAGGAGGGGAGGCGATAAAAAGATTACAGGGTGGAGGAGCAGAGGCTGAGGAAGAATTGGGACCTAGCTTGGGCTGGCAAGGAGGGGAGAGGTCAGATGGGTCTGTAGAAAAGGAAGATTAGAAAGACTCAGTGACTCTTGGGGTTGGGACTCAGAGGACAGGCAGGAGGGAAAGAAGGAAGATTTGGGACGAGTTGCACTGGGCACAGAGACTAGGAAGGGACTGATGTATAAAAGAATGCCTGGACGTCAGGCACCTCAGACCATTTGCCCATTTTATGACAAGAATTATTTAGATCTTGTAGGATGGAAAAATTGAAAGTGCCATTTTCCGGCTATTTGGAACTACTGTTGAGTTTGTATTGGGGTCAAATGGCATTGCAGAAGAAAATAAGGCATTTAGGTTTTAGGTCAGGTGTGAGTTGAAGAGGTTTTAAGTTTTTGAGAACACAGGCTAAGGGAGAAGGAGGAATGGAAGGTGGAAGCTTACCCATAGTGAAGGAGGCAAGCCCAAAGAAAAGAGTAGAGACACGGAGAAGGGGTGGGGGGTTCTTGCCCTCCAGAAAAGCAGAGAAGGGGTTGGGAGACAGAAATAAGGGATTGAGGCACAGAGATAAGAGATCAGGGTGCAGAAATAAGGGATTGGGGCACAGAGATAAGAGGTTGGGGTGCAGAAATAAGCGATTGGGGGGTTCTTGCCGCCTAGGAAAGCAGGACTTGCCGCTAAGGGTGAAGGAGAAGGGGTTGAGGGGTACTTGCCCCTCTCCCAGAAAAGCGGGGAAGGGGTAGAGACAAGGAGAGAAGGGGTTGAGGTACTTGCCCCTTCCCCAGAAAAGCGAGACTTGCCGCTAAGGGTGAAGGACCAAGGCAGGCGTCCCTGCATGGTCTGACACCCTTGAAACGTGGGTGTATAATCAGAGAGGTGTCCCTGCAAGGATTAAACACCAAGGGAAGGCTGCCTTCCCAGTCCGTGACCGGTGCCGGAGTTTTGGGTCCATGGATAAAACGTGTCTCTTTTGTCTCTACCAGAAAATGAAAGGAATTGAAATTAAGAGAAAGGAGAGATTGAAGTGTAGCGCCAAGATTGAAAGGAGAAAGATGTTGAGGGAATAGTGAGGGAAGTTGGAGAAGAGAGTAAAAAGAGGCCGCTTACCGGATTTGAAATCGGTGAGATGTTTCTTGGGCTGGTCGATCTGAGGACCTGAGGTCGTAGGTGGATCCTTCTCAGGGAGCAAAGAGCAGGAGGAAGGGGGATTGATCTCCCAAGGGATGTCCTCCGATCCGAGCCACGGCACCAAATTTCATACGCGTCCATGTGAAGAGACCACCAAACAGGCTCTGTATGAGCAACATGGTTGTTTATTTCACCTGGGTGCAGGCGGGCTGAGTCCGAAAAGAGAGTCAGTGAAGGGAAATAGGGGTGGGGCCGTTTTATAGGATTTGGGTAGGTAAAGGAAAATTACAGTCAAAGGGGGTTTGTTCTCTGGCGGGCAGGAGTGGGGGTCGCAAGGTGCTTAGTGGGGGTGCTTTTTGAGCCAGGATGAGCCAGGAAAAGGACTTTCACAAGGTAATGTCATCACTTAAGGCAAGGACCGGCCATTTACACTTCCTTTCTGATGGAATGTAATCAGTTAAGGTGGGGCAGGGCATATTCACTTCTTTTGTGATTATTCAGTTACTTCAGGCCATCTGGGCGTTTACGTGCAAGTCACAGGGGATGGGATGGCTTGGCTTGGGCTCAGAGGCCTGACATCTTCACTTTCTATAAAGATAGCATTCACAAATACATACACATAGGCATAAGTGTGGGAAAATATTCAGCCATCCTAAAAAAATTCAGTGTGCATATTAAAATATTGCTTAGTGATAGAATCAGAACTAGATTCTAGACCTCCTATTTCCCAGTCTAGCACTTTTTCTCCTGGTTGATATTTTAAAGTGTTATGAAAAACAAGCAAAAAACTTGAACATTTCCATATAAATCTTGCATAGCAGCTACTTGTGTGTAGAGAAAATAATAGTTATTAACTTTATACAATTTCTATATTACAAGTATTTATCTAAGTGTTTCACATATTATAGAAGGTTATTTAGTCTTCAGAATGATTTCATAATGTAGGAAGTACTATTACCCTTATTTTAAAAATGAAGAAACTGAGGCCGAGAGAAGTTAAGATTCTTGGTTAAAGTCATATGGCTACTAAGAAGTAGTCAAGCCTGAGTTACAAATCCTGGCCATTTACCTTCAACACATTGCACTATACTGCCATTTTAATGCTCTTCTAGCAAGTAAGTTTAAAATTTGGAAATTTGGAGAATAATCCCCAACTAATGATCTGCTATTAGGCAATACCTTGGCTTGTCTATGGGGTGCAGAAGAATTTCAGTCACAAGGCCTCTAGTCTTTGGATGAGAGGAGGCAGACTGGAGTCCTGGAGTTCCTGAAGGAATTATCAAATTCCTCATATTTTCTCTTATATTCCATGTAGCCAAGCAGAGTCTTTTTCCAATCTTGCATTAAAAGTAATGGCAAAAACTGCAATTACTTTTGCATGATCTAATAAACGGAAAGTCATCATGGGTAGAAAGTGGACTCCACACCAGAGTAGCCCCACAGAAGTCTAAGTTGGTAACCTGGGCCCTGGGTGGGTACAGAACTGGGGACAGAAGATATAGTTAGCTCATTAGGACTTTAGGAAGACAAGTTACTTGTGTTGGTTCACTTGAAATCCAGTATGGGTTACAATAAAAAAAGATATGGTGAGTTATCTGAGATAGAGAAATATAATTGAGAGAAGTAAGAAAGTTTACAGGTCTACAATGATAGAAATAGGCTGATTTCATGAAGGAAGATGGTGATGTTGCTACGGGGTTTGAGTTCAAGAGGGAATATTTCAGGCAGAATGGGTTTTACCAAAATCAAGTCAGTATTGTAAAAATTTCAACGGAGGAGGCCTTGGTGTTGGAGCCAGGGGCCTATATGTGAGAGCTGAGTGGAAATGCAGAAGGCTTGGACAAGCTAATTCCTTAGCATTCCTTCACAAATATATTTGTTATATATGTGTTCAAAGTTTATTTTGGGAGACTCAGCCCCGATCTCATATACCCACTCAGCAACACAAATGCCATATTCTTTACCAAATCCATACTCATTATAAGGCAATTTAGGTACTATCTCTTGTGACTTGGTCATGTTATATAGTGAGCTCATATTTCCTCTCACATTCCATGTAGCTTACCAAAGTCTTTTTCCAATCTTGCATAGCTTTCTCAAAGGAGACTTAATAATAAACACAATTTTCTTTATTCGGTGTCATTTCCAATGAGATTGAAAGCCCCCTTGAGAACAGAGCTCCCAGCAAGTGCTCAGCCAGTATTCTGCTAAATGCAGATCTCATAAGAGCAGATTCTAGCTCTGGATGTGCCTAGAAAAATTTATGTAACTTGAACAATTTGTTTCCGTACCATGGGCCTATCTACCTTATCCGTAAAGTGAGGCTACTGAAAGAAGCCAGACATAAAAGAACACACACAGATCATATGACACCATTTCTATAAAGTATTTAGAAAGACAAATCCATATATACAGTATGTAGATTAGGGGTTTCAAGGGGCTGGAGAGACAAATGAGAAGTGATTGTTAATGGGTGCAAGCCTACTTTTTAGGGTGATTAAAAATGTTGTATAGTTAGACAATAGAGATGATTCCACAACTTTGTGAATATACTAAAAGCAATTAGATTTTGTGTAATTAAAATGGTAAATTTTATGGTATGCAAATAAGATTTCAATTAATAAAAAACATATGAAGGCTTTTTCTACTGCTGAAAAGTTTCACAAGTAAGGTTTTTTTTTAAATGAATTCAACCTGTAACATAGTAAGAAATCAAACGCATTTTCATTTGCTATTTTTTTCTTCTCTTCGCTCCCAAGCTATAGACCACAATTATTGATGCTTTATCCAATTGCTCGTTTTCCTAGCAGTGAGAATTTGATAATTATTCACAAATTTGACAGACAGGCAAATTTAGGAAGAGGGGAAGATATTTTCCTGGATTTGAGCCTTAGGAAATGAAAGATGACTATATTTATCTCAGTGGGCTTCCATCCTGTTTCAGTGAGCAGTTTGAGCTTGAATCCAAGTGATTTGGCCATGATACAAATAGCACACATTATATGCAAATTTCCCAAGCATATGAAAACAATCACATTCACAGTTGGAAGAAAGTGAAACAAAATCTATATATAACCATGCAATCACTTATTATGCTAAAAATACCTTCTTTTAAGACATGTCTTTTTTTTTATTATTATTCCCAGTGGTTGAAAATAAATTTGTACTATGCTCTCTGTGGCACTAATAATCTATTGTAGAATTATGGCATGAAGTTTTAAACAGCTTTTTTTCCCTTCTGAGCAATTGTTTCTTGAAAGCAGAGAAACAGTGCCTTTCTCCTGTTTCTAGGCCTTGGAGCAAAAGCTATCATTTTAAACACCTGTTTTGATCTTAAAACGTATAAAATTCCAGCATATGTATGGTGATGCATGACATCTAGCTGTGCAATACTTACTACACTACTGTCTCGACGATACTGCCACTTACGTGATGGAGACTGGGGACCTTTCATTTGCTACTCTTGATCAGCATCTGTAACTGAGATTGCTGCAGCTCAGGGAGAAAGCATCGCGTTCCCCTTAGAGATGCCTCAATGCTCTCCACCACTAATGAGGTTCAGTACTGAAAGAAGAAGGCAGAATGCATACCAGGCTTTTTATCTTTTTAACACTTCCCTTACCCATTTGGCTTTATCTTCCTTCTCTGGTGATGGAAACAATCAAAACAAGTTTATGGCCTATAAAAATGCTTTCCATGCTGTTCCTTTTTTTTTTTTAAATGCTGGTATAGAGGAGATTTTGGAAATGTATACTGTACCATTGTCCCTCTGTATCTGTGGGGAATTAGTTCCAGGACCTACCTTAGATATAAACATCTACAGATGTTCAAGTTTCTAATATAATACAGTGTAGTATTTACATATAACCAATGTATATCATCCTGTATACTTTATCTCTATTTATGGTACCTAATACAATGTAAATGCTATGAAAATAGTTGTTACACTGTATTTTAGGGAATAATGACAAGAAGAACAAATTGACACATGTTCAGTACAGACACAATCTTTTTTCCCAAATATTTTCTATTCCCTGTTGGTTGAATGTGTGGATATGGAACACATGAATGTAAAGAGCCATCTCTATAGGCTTGGAAAAGCATATATTCCTTGCCTTCAGTTGATTTCCTGGGGGCTTGGAGGCCTGTGGGAGTGGGAGCAGTGGGTACCGGCTGGTGGTAGGATCGGGAGTGGTAGGCTGGGGTAACAATGTGTATGAGCATATTAAAGGCCCTAAGGAGCCTACAGAACACTGGCTTTCCACATTTGGAAAACTATCCTGCAGGTTCAAGATCTTAACTGTTATGTTGATATTTAAGGCCTAAGAAAATGCTAAAACTTACGTTTCTTTATCACCTACTCGCATATAAGAAGCATCTTCAGGCATTGTGTTGTTCTCACATGCAATTGAATATTTTCCTTGAAATTTGGAAAAGTTGTGTCTTCCTGTGACTCTTATGGGTAATCTTATCTACTCTTCTGACTTCAGGAACATATATAAAACTGTGTTTTTTGCATAATTCAGGTTTGCCATTCCTACTCACGGCTAACAAACAATCCCTAATCTCAGTGATTTAATACCACAAAAGTTTCTTTCTCAGGTACAATCCACTGTGGGTTAGGTGGCTCTTCTTTGAAAAATAATTTAGGAATTCAGTTCCTTCTATAGTTTGGCTCAATCATATTATGGTCTATAAAACAGCTCTACCAACTTGGGGGTCTTTTACTTCCAACTTCATGGATGGGATGAGAGTATAGACTGAGATACTTGTTGAAGATTTTCAGGACCGCTGCCTAGAAGTAGCTTCCTTCTCTTATCTCCACATTCTATTGGCTATAACTAGATACAAGCTAAGTGCAAGGGAAGGTGGAAATAAGGTTCTCCTGTGTTCAATTGAAAGAGAAATTGTATTGGTGAGCATCAAGTTAGTCTCTGATTTATCCTGTCTGATCATCATGGATCAATTTTATTCTTTCTTCTAAACATGAAATATGTCCTCATCCTCCCCATGGAGAACAATTTGATGTCCTTTCAAAACACCAGCTCTCCAGATAATGTTCAGGCCTCTACACTAGATCCACATGTGTGCCCTTGTTACTGAATGCCAGGGGTTCAGTCTAGGTCCTATTGCTTTCCACACAGAAAGACAATTACTGAGACAATGTGTATTGCTAGGGAAGTAGGCTTTATTACAGGTGATGTCAACCAAAGAGACTGGAGACAAATCTCAAATCCATGTCTCCCCCCAAGTGAAGTTAATAATTTATACAACTGCAAAGGAAAACAGGAGGGGCAAAGAAAAGGAGCTGGTCAACAGGCAGCAGGTGATTGAATAGAGGTCTAGCATCTCATTATAACCACGTGTGGGAAACTGAGAATTAGGGAAGGGTAAGGAAGAGGAGTTGGTCAACAGGCAGCAGGTGCATCTCATTGTACAAATGTAAGTTTCTCAAGCTTCAGTTCTATGGGCTTCTGGCTTATTGAAAAGTTGGGCCAATTTTATTTTTATGGTTTGATAGTTCATGAAGATCGGTATCCATCCCCAATTTCCCTCCTTGGTTACCACCGTCAAATATACAATAGCAGAATAGGGATGGGATAATTGCAATGTGTACTCTCATTTATGAAGGGAAAAAATACAAGACACATAAATCTATATTTATAGTGGATGCTGTGGTGCCCTCCCCAGATCTTCCTTTATGACCAAGGCCCTTAGCCTCCTAGCTGCTGATGGCTCACAGTTGAGCCCCACTCCAGGAACTGCTATCCAAAAATCACTGCCTTGACCAAGAGTATGACCTGCCTTGTGGAAGCTTGCATCCAATGACTAGTGCAGAGTATGAGACATCAACTCTTTGTCTCAATGGGGACAACTTGAAGGGATCTCCTAGCCTCTGATCTCTGGTGGGATTGGCTGAGTTCTTTGTTGCAATTACTTCACTAGTTCAATGTTTCCCTTTGCCTAATCTTATTTTTCTTACTCCTTAGAGGTGTTGTTTTCAATGACATTTCCCAAATAACCTGTGGCACACATATCTCAGGGTCTCTGAATCTGTTTCCTGAGGGACCTGAGCTACAGCACTGGTCATAATTGCTCTGAAATTCCATGGGGCCAATTTTATGAAGTCCCCCTAGTTTGGGTGGGTAAAAATAGTGCCTTTCAGGCTCTGATTTTGCTCTCTGTTGGAGGAAATCCCTTGTCTTTTATAGTTTATGGCCTGTGGCTCTACTCTTGAGGGTCTTCTCTTTGTTCAGTTTCTTTGGGGACTCTAAAGTGAATGCTGGAAAGCATACCATTGTTAGGGGTTTTGAGACTTTCTGCCTGCTTGTGATAGGTCAGGATCCTAAAGGTTACCTCAAGTCTCAAAAAGCCAAAGACGTTTTGAATTAATTTGTGACTTCTTTGTCAATGTAATTCTTTCAACACCTTCATAGCTTCTAATCTCTGTACATTCCAGTCAGTTTCATGTCCAGTAACCACACCCTAGAACCTTTCCTAGACACAGTTCTCTGACCTGCTTTATTTCTTTGCTTTTTCAGAACCCTGCCTCTCTGTCTTAACTAAAGCTACCTTGAGGTTAGAGGGATTGAATGGGATTGATTGAGTCTGAATTTGTCATTGCTCTAGTCACTTCATCCAACTGAAGAGTTTTTCCTAGACTTAGTATTTCAAAGTCATTAAACATCTCATATCTTACTTTTGAAGGTCTAGAATCTAGAATCTTCTCACTTTTTACACCCCTAAAAGGCCTTGAATTTCTCAACTTTCTTTATTCTTTTTCATTTCTGCCTGCAAAGTATCTAATTATTCCTTGAGGTCATAACTTAAAATATCTTACCAGACCACCCATTGGTAGCCAACATATCCTACCAAGATTCTGCTTTCCAAGCTTTTCTGCTGGAGCTATTGGTTGACTAAGCGTGCTCTCTGTATTGAGAACAACTACAGAAGGGATTCAAATGAAGTGTCTTGCAACTGCATAATCTGGAGACCTATGCTTAGAGCCTGTGTCAGCTTCCATGATGCTCATCTCTGAATGCTTAACCAATGCCATGTCTTTATCTTTGTGTTATGGTAGTCCCCTCTTCAAAGTATCAATTTCTGTATAAGGTTATATAACCAACCACCTGGTAATCTCAGTGACTTAGTAAACAAAATAGTGGAATTCTTCCTCGTGTCATAGTTTGTTGCAGATTTGATTGCTTTCCTAAGAAGTTTTCCTTGAAGAAACACATCCATGATTCTTCCATAGTGTCACTACAACTCTGTACTCTTTTTTTTGTCATGAGAACCTCAAGATGATTTTAAGGTCTGGTCTTTCAAATGGTGCATATCACTCCTGCTCCCATCCCGTTGTCCAGAAGTAGTCATGAGGGTATATTTTATGGCCCATAGGAATCATAAAGAACTCTAGGAAATTTATTCTTCCTCTGTTCTTGGGAAAAGGAAGAGAAATTGAGAGCATCTAGTCACTTGCTGTCATATTCCCAATTTCATGTCTCTGTAATCTAGATTTTTCCCTGAGTTGAAAATATTTATTAAATAATATTTAAGATGTATATGTATTTCAGTTTAAAGGTGATCTTGCACGAATTATATTTTTTGACTCTCAAAACATCCTGTGTGATATGTATTAATATTTTCATCTTCCTTTACAGATGATAACATTGAGGCTTGTGAGTCAAATTCCTTAACAAAGGAATAAATCTTCTACTGTATGACAAGTAGCCTGCTAGGCACTAGTGACAGAAAGGTGGCCCCAAAATAGATACAGACTCTGTTCCCATGCTTATGCTTTAAAGTAAGAAATAGGTATTAACTGAACAAAACATTAATAAATGTGTATTAACAAAGGAGATCAGTGCTCTGTAAGAAAGATACGTAATTGTCCAAAAATGTATTTAAAATTTAGCCTATGCAGTTTCTTTTTGGAGTGATGATTATATTTAAAAATTACCATATGATGATTGTACAACTCTGTAAACATACTAAAAACAAACCATTAGTTGCAGATTTTATATGGCTGAATTTTATAGTATGTACATTATATCTCAATGAAGCTGTTAAAAAGAAAGAAATACATGCAGGGAAAATACAAGACAATTTACCCATGCCAAATTAGTCATATAGACTGTAAGTACTGCAGAAAATCAATATTTAAAATAATTACTATACTTTACTATTAGGTTTTCAGTTTCCCTAGGCTTTTAAAAAATATATCAGAAAATGTTAAAAGATAGTATTTAAAAAGAAAATTCATGACAACCCAGTAACTCTTTATTTTTATATCTTGTCTTTTTCTTGGGGCAAATTATGGTAATCATGATAGAATAGAAGCTACATTTTCCCTAGATAACTTCTTCTGCAGTAGAAACAATAATTGATATAGTGTAATGTCATTTTCATCCATCCAATTAATATATTATGGTTTTGCTTAGCAGTATAAAAGACATTGAAAGTATAAACAAAACCAAACAAATGAAATATAGCCTAAACTGAAGGGCTCAAGGAAAGATACACTGGAGAACTCTAAGCCTGATATCTGAAAGTAACCTGGAGTTAATAAGGGAAGAATAAAAGAATAACATTCTGAACAGAGGGGTAATTAAGGAACCATGAAAGGCTTATGCAGGCAGAGACACTGCATAAGTGGAAATCCAGCAGGAGGGCCCAGGAAGGCCTATATTGTGTATACCTGACAGACAAAGTTAAGATTTTTCATTTTTTTTCCAAAAGAGTTTTCCAACTAAAAAGTTAAAGGTAGAAAGTCAAGGTTAATTTGATGAACAGCTTTTTTGTTTGTTTGTTTGTTTGTTTGTTTTTCCATAGAGTCTATTTCTAGAACTTAAATTACTCATGTACATTCAGCTTTAAGTGGTTGAATTGGAATCTTGAACTCAAGCTACCTGTCTGTGGAGGCCACTAGACAGTACCCAGCATAGTGGGGACAAGCCAAGTCAGCTAGGCTGGCCCTGTAGAAGGCCCTGGTCAGGTCACCAGGAAGCTAAGTACTCCTAGTGATGCAAGAAATATACTCAGAAGTATATAACCCTTGGGCAGGTCAAATTTTCCTATTTTGCAAACAGTATGGATCCTTGAGAGTTGGGGCTGCTTGCACCCAAAGATAAAGAGTGGAAGGTTCTGAGACACACTGACTCAGCATTGACTATTATGCTCTATTATGGACTCAAGTCACACCTCTGAGGAGCCCGGGTGGCATTGGCAGCTGCGTTTTCACCCACTGGTATCTTTGATTTCCTGTGTATTCCTCTCGCTGGTTATTTGCTAGTTCGGTATTAAACTAAAATAAAGGTAAAATTTCAAAATATGCATCTCTATTCCAGCTATCACTGATTTGTTGCCTGTTCAGAATGGCATGGCCATAGTTGTGGTGTTCAGCTAACACTGATTCTGATTAATCATTAATCACTGCCCATGCCAAACCAATCAACTTTCACTGCTGATCCTGGCCAGTCTTCAACTTGGGAACAGCCTTTGTGAATCAGCCTAGCTCAGCCTGGCTGTGAAGTTGGAGCAGAGAATTCTGGCAGAGGGTTCCGACATGGTTGGTAGGATGGATGGAGAAAGTAAAGATGGGTGCAGGGGAAGTAATGGAAATAATGTATTAGGCAAAAGCCCTGCAGACTGTCTCTGAATTGAAATCTTGTACTTAGACATGCAACAGAGGGGGTTTCCCACCTCTGCCCCAAACCTCCTGGGAAATTCTCCAAAGCAGCCCAATCACTTGGTATTTGCTCCATAACCGAGGTCAGAAAGTATAAGGACAATTTTTCTTTCATATGAAGCTCTGTGCATGTGAAAAGTAAATTTACCTTCTACTTCTAAAGATCTGTAGTAGGTACTGCAGTAGGAACATTACAGATGTGGTCATATTTCATCTTCATATGAAAGCTTTGAAAACGTATGATTTTCATTTTCCCCATTTTAAAAATAAGAAATCTGAGTGTCAAAGCAGTTAACTAATAATAAAGATTATGCATGTAGAAAGTGGCAGAGTGAAGGTTCAAACCCAGATCTTTCTAATATCCCCACATGAGCTTCTTACTTAAATATTCAAAACTGATCTCCTTTAAAATATTTTACTAAATGAAAAACCTTGAAAGAAAAGTTTTGTGTGTCTTGCCAAAATTATAGGTCTAATTAAAGTCAGAGTTGGGCTTTAGTAAATATCTGTTCAGTTGTCTCTTCTTACATAGGCCCTTCAAAGTGCTTTGGGACTATGGGAAAGAGATCCAAAGTGAGGTGGCAACTATCTCATTCAAACTGTTAAAGTTTAAGCACAAAGGAGCACTGCTAATTTGTAAGCAAACATCAGAATTTACCAGTTTCAGTGACAGCAAAGTCCTCACCAGAAGTTATCTTGGAGGTGCTGGGTGGCACCAGAGAATAAGCATGGGCTTTGAAATCAAAGGGCCTGTATTAAAACTCAGGCTAGGCCCGGTGGCTCACGCCTGCAATCCCAGCAATTTGGGAGGCCAAGGCGGGTGGATCACGAGGTCAGGAGATTGAGACCATCCTGGTTAACACGGTGAAACCCCACCTCTACTAAAAATAAAAAAAATTAACCGAGCGTGGTGGCACACGCCCTTAGTCCCAGCTGCTCGGGAGACTGAAGCAGGAGAATCGCTTGAACCCAGGAGGCAGAGGTTGCAGTGAGCCTAGATTGGCCCACTGCACTCCAGCCTGGGTGACAGAGCAAGACTGCGTTTCAAAAAAAAAAACACAACTCAGCTCAGGAGTTCGAGACCACCCTGGGCAACATGGTGAAACCCCATCTCTGCGAAAATACAAAAATTAGCTGGGCATGGTGGCGTGTACCTGTAGTCCCAGCTACTTGGGAGACTGAGGCACAAGAATCGCTTGAGCCCCAGAGGCAGAAGTTGCAGTGAGCCGAGACTGTACCACTGCACTCCAGCTTGAGCTACAGAGTGAGACTTCATCTCAAAACAAATAAATCTAAGTCTAGAGAAAGTTTTAAATGCCAAACTAATAAATATATTTTGTAATAATGCCTCTAACAATTTTCTTCTGTCTCTCTCTGTCTTTCTGTCTCTCTTTCTCCCTCTTCCTTCCCCATCCTCCTTCCCTCTTTTCTGTCCTTTATTCTTTCCTTTCTTTCATTCATGAGTATTAAAAGCCCTTTTTCTGCTCCATCTCTAGCCATATACCCCCTGGTGTTTTCTGCTAAAACAGAATTGATTGCCTCCTACCATGATAGTGGTTCTCACTTTTTTTTTTTTTTTAATTGAGACAGAGCCTCACTCTGTTGCCCGGGCTGGAGTGTGGTGGTGCAATCTTGACTCACTGCAACTTCTGCCTCCCGGGTTCAAGCAATTCTCATGCCTCAGCCTCCTGAGTAGCTGGGATTACAAGCATGCACCACCATGCCTGGACTTTTTGTATTTTTAGTAGAGAGGGGGTTTCACCATGTTGGCCAGGCTGGTCTAGAATTCCTGACCTCAAGTGATCTGCTCACCTCAGCTTCCCAAAGTGCTGGGATTAGAGGCATGAGCCATCACACCCGGCCATGGTTCCCACTTCTTTGCCTCCTTGGTTTCCTTTAGCTAAAGTGGTTTTAATTTTGTGTTGCCTTGGTGAGATTTTTAGTCACCAGGATCCTTCAAGATCTAACAGAAGAATCACTTTTACATTGAAATTTTTCCTATGCCCCCTTTTATTCCTCCTTCTCTAAGTTTACTTGATTGCTTCTCTCATTTATCTCTTTGTCCCAATTGTACCCTGTACATATCTCTATGGTTAATGATTCCAGCTTCACCCTATTCTATGCCTACACTTGATATTTCAAATATAATCATGTCTGGCTCATCAATAAAGCGGAACTATCACAAGACACTTTATCAGAAAGGTTGAGACACATCATGGGAGACAATGCATTTTAATAAGAAAGCCAGGGAAAGAATCTTCTGTTAGCCTTTGGAAATAAGAAAACCAGTGTGCTATCTATTTAACACTAGGACTCCCCCAGCTTTGTCCTATATCACTGTCACACCTGTACTTGAGACTGAGTTACAGAAGGAAAGTTAGTTGGGCATAAAACTGAAATAAAACTTTTTGAATATGCACAGAACTGTTTGAGCATCATGAAATTGTAGACAGTCATTCTTTTTAGCCAAAAATTACAATGCACCTGAAAGGCATTGAAGCTTGGTACCCAAGAAAACCAAGGGAAGTAACTGACACAGTTGACAGAAGCTAGTAAAAATGAGCTCTAGAATTTGTTGCAGATTCCACACTCATTCTGTTTCACTTCACTGTCTCTCAGCGACATTTGACTTAACAAATACTATTTTGCAAACTATATTTGTGCCCTTAACGCTATGTAAGATAACAGGTAAATCATGTGGTTCCTATTTTATCTGATATTTGCCATCAGTGAAATGAGAATAACATTTTCCACCTACTTCTTGGTGGCTTGTGGGTAGATTATGACATAATATTTGCAAGAGACCGTGAAGGAAGAGATTAAGGTACCGAGCAATGATGCAGATGAATGCTTTGGGAAGCATTATTGAGCTCTGACTATGTGACAGGTAATTAGATAGGCACTGGAGTAGAAAGACAAAGACATGACAACAAAGTAAGTGCACTTATCAAAATACCACTGTAAAGGCAATGAGACTTTACTGAGATCCTTTATGACTTACGCATGCAGAACTGAGAGTCTCCATATGGTAAGCTGACATGTGAGCTGTTAGGTTGTATGATATGAATAAAAATCCAGGTGAAATTAGAAAACACATACTAAGCTTAATGAGACCACCGAAGTCTGCTAAATGTTCTACTGTTTTCTTGGACCCCCACCAGCCGTCCTTTACTAGTATAAACCTGGATTCTCAGCGTCCTGCCTTGGTAAATATAATCTACAAATTATCCAGGGTATAAAAGGCTGCAAAAGTAAGATAAACTCTCCAAAGTTTTCACATCTCCAGAGTCCTAGTCTTCCCCACCCCTGCCAATTTTTAGTTTCAGTAATATGGAAATGGAAGAGAAAGCCATTCAAGTCAGAGGGAAGAGCAAATGCAATGGCAGAAAAACAATAGCCACGTGAGCTTTGGGAAACTTGGAGTCAATGTCAACTTAGCTTCTTACAAAAGACTCACAGGTAGCATGACTGAAGCAGGCAGGAAGGAAAGTTAGCCCTTGTGAATTGTGAACATAGTGGGAATTGTGGAAAACTGCAAGTAAAAAGCCATCAAAGGGTCCAACTTCTATAAAGCATGGGCCAATTGCTGCCATGTGAAAAAAATAAGTTTATTCTTACTTTAAAAAAAAAGTGGTGAAAGAAACTACCATCAGAGTGAACAGGCAACCTACAGAATGGGAGAAAATTTTTGCAATCTACTCATCTGACAAAGGGCTAATATCCAGAATCTACAAAGAACTTAAACAAATTTACAAGAAAAAATCAAACAACCCCATCAACAAGTGGGCAAAGGTTATGAACAGACACTTCTCAAAAGAAGACATTTATGCAGCCAACAGACACATGAAAAAGTGTTCATCATCACTGGCCATCAGAGAAATGCAAATCAAAACCACAATGAGATACCATCTCACACCAGTTAGAATGGCGATCATTCAAAAGTCAGGAAACAACAGGTGCTGGAGAGGATGTGGAGAAATAGGAACACTTTTACATTGTTGGTGGGACTGTAAACTAGTTCAACCATTGTGGAAGTGAGTGTGGCGATTCCTCAGGGATCTAGAACTAGAAATACCATTTGACCCAGCCATCCCATTACTGGGTATATACCCAAAGGATTATAAATCATGCTGCTATAGACACATGCACTTGTATGTTTATTGTGGCACTCTTCACAAAAGCAAAGACTTGGAACCAAGCCAAATGTCCAATTATGATAAACTGGATTAAGTCTTAATGATAGACTGGATTAAGAAAATGTGGCACATATACACCATGGAATACTATGCAGCCATAAAAAATGATGAGTTCATGTCCTTTGTAGGGACATGGATGAAGCTGGAAACCAACAAGGCACATGTATACATATGTAACAAAACTGAAGGTTGTGCACATGTACCCTAGAACTTAAAGTATAATAAATACATATATAGATAAAAAAAGTGGTGAAACCACATTTTTATGCAAAATCTTCTGATTTTTAAAGGTAGGCTTAGTTTTCTCTTTAAAACACTAAGCAGGACAAACTATGTGTTGCCTTTTCCCTGTCTCTGTCTTAGATTCTAATTTTTCCTATTTATAAAATGGGATTAATAATTCCTGTTTGGCAGTGTCCTTTGGATTACAGTATGTGGGGGGCTAGGATTTGCTGGATGCATGTAACTCTTCTTAAGGACACATGTATTCACTATTGATTACATAATCATAATATGATAAAAGACCTACTCAGGGAATGCCTCACTTTAGAAGTGCTCAATCAGGAACTTGATGCCTGTTTGTGCAGAATATTACAGAGGACATCCATTTTTTGAATTTAGGGTTGGAGTCAATCAAAGATAGATTAGTTTTTTTGCAAGATCATTTTGACTGGTTGTGTCTGTCTAGAGTAGTGAGTTAAGAAATGTTCTGCATCTGTAACTAGGCTCAGTGAAAGGAGAAGTCTCACGATTGATTAATGATGTCTGACAGGGTCTTAGAAAGTGAAAGTGGTCACACACATATGCACATTTGCCATCTCTGAACCAAATGATTTCTAAGTCCACTCCCAGCCCTAAGAGTTTATAAATAAGATTTAATCAAATTTGACCTCCCTTTAATGCCTCACAAATTATTCTGAGGTCTACATTATGAAGATCAGTGTCAATGAAATATTGATTAAGTGAGATTTCTATGTGACAGACTGTTGTATAAACCAGCTTTGTCCTTTTCTTATGTGACATCCACTTTCAGCACTTCACAGAACAGATTTATTAACTGAGTTGTCTAATGTCATTATTTTTTACTATGCTTGATGAAATCCTATATGCTTCATTCTGGTTTAACTTGAAAGACACCTGATTCTGTTCTGTATGCATGATACTAAGGACACACTGATGAATAACAATGGGTGCCTTTATTAAATGTGTTTCCTGATGTTCTCAGTAATATAGACAAAAGAACAATGAGTAAAATGTAAGGTGAGGTGTAGTTTCCACCTCTCATTCTTAAACTTTTCTATGAAAATCGAAGAGATAGATTGCCCCCAAGAAATCTGAAGCCAAAAATCACAATAAGTAGCCACAGAGTAAATATTTAAATATTTAAGAGTAAACATCTTGGGATTCTTGTTCTATATTTTAAGAAAAATTTGTAAATGCTATATAATATGTTTCTTCTAATTCATTGGGCTTTTTAATCTTAAAATCTTCCAGGAAAATTGGTAAATTTTAAAAAATGTGCTAGGCTTCCCATGTGGGTTTCTGGGACCTTTACATGGCCATATATAGATTCAGCTCAAGAAGCAGTGATGACTCCAATAGAGAAGCGTCATAAAATGGTCAAGAAACAAGTAGCTTATTTATTTATTTATTTATTTATTTATTTATTTATTTATTTATTTATTTATTTTGAGATGGAGTCTTGCTCTGTTGCTCAGGCTGGAGTGCAGTGGCATGATCTCCGCTCACTGCAAGCTCTGCCTCCCGGGTTCACGCCATTTTCCTGCCTCAGCCTCCCGAGTAGCTGGGACTACGGGCACACAGCACCATGCCTGGCTACTTTTATGTATTTTTAGTAGAAATGGGGTTTCACCATGTTAACCAGGATGGTCTCGATCTCCTGACCTCGTGATCCGCCCACCTTGGCCTCCCAAAGTGCTATTAATCTTGTTTTTAGATAAGAAATAAGAGAAATTTTCATAGCTGAAATCAGACCTGAGTGGAGGTCAGGAAAGATAATCCATTCAGAGGAAAGAGTTTATATAAAGACATGGAGGTATTAAATAGCACAGTGTCTCCAGGAAACTATAAATAGTTGTCTACTGCTGGATGAAGTTTCCAGATTGAGCATGGCATGAATAAGGTAAGAGAGAAAGGAAGGAGCCAATGTGTACAATAAGCAGGTCTGTTAGAAATATCACATTCTTTCCAAATACGTATTTTTCATTAAATTTTTTTAATTGCTCTCTTTTTGCTTAACTTTCTACTCATAGACCAAAAGGCAGATCAGGTGAAAGCTTTTTTCTCCTTCTTCATTCATAAACTGTACTTCTGAACCACATTATTCATGACAACCCTCTGCTTTGCCTTGGCCACCTATCAAAGGCCTCCTCTCACTGCTGATCAATGGTTCTTCAGGCACTGGAACTGAGCCAAAAAGAAAACAGCCATTGATGAAAGAGCAAAGCAGCAATTCCATGAGACCAAAACGTCCTGACCAGAGTGCAGGCTGGTCACAGCACTGATATATCAAAACACATTGTACTAGTGAGAGCTACTATGCACTGCACGTTTGTCTGTCTGCGGTTCTAGGCACATTACATATTTTCTCTTCTTTGGTTTATATAGCTCTCAAACACCTCTTACAGAAGATATAATAACTCTCATTTTAGAGATAGGGGAATTAAGGCTCATAGGAATTGATTTGCTTTCATACATTTACAACAGTGTAAATGTCAGAGCTGGTGCAGAAGCAAGAGCTCTGAGTTTCCCAGTATATCTTCTTAGTCAATATCTGATATGATTTGGCTGTGCCCTCACCCAAAATCATACTTTGAATTGTAATTGCCACAATCCCGACATGTCAAGGGTGGGAACAGGTGAAAGTAATTGGATCATGGGGGTGGTTTCCCCCATGCTGTTCTCATGATAGTGAGTGAGTCTCATGAGGTCTGATGGTTTTAGAAGTGTCTGGCATTTCCGTTGCTTGCACTCACTCCATCTTGCCACTTTGTGAAGAAGGTACCTGTTTCTCCTCTGCCTCTGCCATGATTGTAGTTTTCCTGAGGCCTCCCCAGCAATGCAGAACTGTGAGTCAATTAAAATTATTTCCTTTATAAATTACCTAGTTTCTGGTATTTCTTCATAGCAGTATGAGAACAAACTAATACAATATCTTAAATGGTACTTCATGCATGTGGTTCCTTTGTCTCTGTAGTGTACTCTGCCTAAAATCCTCATTTACCTCTATTTGTATGACTCTTTTCTTTAAGATCTGAGTTTGGATGTCACCACTGGTAGGCAGCTCTACATATTCTCACAAAGTCTAGGCTAGGTGGTTGTTGTTTGTGGTTCCATATCATCTTGTGCTTCCCTCTTTGCAGCATTTACTGCACTATTTAAATTGTTTTCTCTGAGGTCCTCCAAGGCAGTGATCATGTCCTTTACCTACACATGTCACACAGAATACCTGGCAAAAAACTAGTGCTCAATAACTGTTAATAACCCATCAAGTGTTTTGCCTTTCGGTGGCACTTGAGGCTTTCCAAATGAATTCATATAATCTGGCTCATTTAATGATATGTAAAAACTGGTGTAATCAGTAAAGTGCTATGTCAAGTGAAACATCACAATTAAATATAAGCATATGGATTAGCTAGAAGAGTCTGATTATACAAGATAATGTGCTTTCCTACATTATACCTGTAATACTATACCATATCTATTCCAAATATTACACATGTGTACCATATCACAGTATGGTCATTTTAATAATGATTCTTCCAATCCATGATCATGTATATCAGTCAGTTCTCATGCTGCTAATAAAGACACACTTGAGACTGGGTAATTTATAGAGAAAAAGAGCTTTAATGGACTCACAGTTCCACATGGCTGGGGAGACCTCATAAACATGGCGGAAGGTAAAGGAGGAGTAAAGGCACGTCTTACATGGCATCAGGCAGGAGCACATGTGCAGGGGAACTGCCCTTTATAAAACCATCAGATCTCATGAGACTTACTATAACGAGAACAGCACAGCAAAAACCTGCCCCCATGATTCAATTACCTTGCCCCAGGTCCCTCCCTTGACATGTGGGGATTATGGGAGCTACAATTCAAGGTAAGATTTGGGTAGGCACGCAAACAAACCATATCAGCATAGGATGTTTTTCCATCATCTACAATTTCTTTCATCAGTGTTTTGTAATTCTTATAAAGATCTTTCATCTCCCTGGTTTAATATATTCCTAGACATTTTTATAGCTATTGTAAATGTGATTGCCTTCTTGATTTGGTGCTCAGCTAGAGAATTATTTGTGTATAGAATCACTACTGATTTCAGTACATTAATTTTGTATCCTGAAATGTTATTGAATTCATTTATCAAATATAAGAGGTTTGTGGTGGCATCATTAGAGCTTTCTAGACGTAAGATTATATCATTGGCCAACAGGCATAATTTGACTTTCTCTTCTCCAATCTGGATGCCTTTAATTTTTATTTTCACTTGCCTGATTGCTCTGATAAGGACTTCTAGTACTATGTTGAATAAGAGTGGTGAAAGTGGTCATCCTTGCCTTGTTCCAGTTCTTAGAGGGAACGCTTTCAACTTTTCTCTGTTAACTATAATGTTGGCTGTGGGTTTGTCATATTTGTCATATATGGCCTTTATTATGTTGAGGTATGTTCCTTCTATTCATAGTTGAGAATTTTCCATCATAAAATATGCTGAATTCTGTCAGTTACTTTTTCTGCATCTATTGAGGTGATAATATAGTTTTTGTCCTTAATTCTGTTTATGTGATATATCACATTTATTGATTTATATATGTTGACTCATCCTCACCTCCCTGGGATAAATTCAGCCTCACCATAATGTATTTATTATTTTTCAATTTCAATGCACTGTTACATTTAATTTGCTAGTTTTTTTTTTTTTTTTTCTTTGAGACAGGGTCTGTCTCTGTCACCCAGGCTGAAGTGCGGTGGCATGGTCATGTCTCACTGCATCCCTGAACTCCTGGGCTCAATTTATCTTCCCATTTCAGCCTTCCAAGTAGCTAGGACTATATGCATGTTCCAGCATGCCTGACTAATTTATTTTCTTTATTTTAATTTTTTGTAGAGATGGGGTCCTGCTATACTGCCCAGGCTGGTCTCAAACTTCTAGCTTTAAATGTTCCTCTAGCCTAAGCCTCCCAAAGTACTGGGGTTATAGGTCTGAGCCACCACACCCAGCCATTGATTTGCTAATATTCTGTTGAGGATATTTGTGTCTATTTTCATCATGGATATTTGGCCTTGTAGAATGAGTTAGGAAAATTTCTCTCCTCCTCAACTTGTTGGAATAGTTTCAGGATGATGGGTATTAGCCCTTCTTTGTATTTGTGGTAGAATCCATCTTGTCCTGGGCTTTTTTTTTCTGATTAATTCTTGCTACTCATCATTAGCCTGTTCAGGAGTTGTCTTTCTTCCTGGTTCAATCTCAGCAGATTGCATGTTTCCAGGAATTTATCTATTTTTCTCTAGGTTTTCTGATTTGTGAGCATATAGTTGTTCATAATAGTTTCTGATGATCTTTTATATTTCTGTGGTATCATTTGTAATGTTTCTGTTTTTCATTTCTGATCATAGTTGAGTCTTCTCTTTAGTTTAGTTAGTGGTTTATCAATTTGTTTACCTTTTCAAAGAACCAACCTTTTGTTTTGTTGATCTTTAGTAATTTTTTTGGTCTCTATTTTATTCTGCTCTGATCTTTGTTAGTTCTTTTTTCCTAATAACTTTGGCTTTGACTTTTCTGGTTTTTCTAGTTCGTTGAGGTATAACATTAGATAGCTAACTTGTGATATTTCCACTTTTTTGATGTAAGCATTTAATGCTATAAAATTCCCTCTGAACACTGCTTTTGCTGTATCACATAGGTTTTTGTATGTTGTGCATGATTTTCATTTATTTAAAAATTTTTAAAATTTATATCTTAATTTCTTCATTAACTCAATGATTGTTCAGGAACATGCTGTTTAATTTCCATGTATTTGTGTAGTTTCTGAAGTTCTTGGTATTGATTTCTAGTTTTATTCCACTGTAGTCTGAGAAGATACTTGACATAATATAAATTGAAAAAATATGTTGACTTGCTTTATGCCCTAATATGTGGTATGAAAATGGAAAATGTTTCATCTGCTGATTAAAAAAAGTATATTCTGCATTCATTGAGTAGAATGTTCTGTAAATGACCATTAAGTGTACATGGCCTAAAGTCTAATTTAAGTTCTAAGTTTCTTTATTAATTTTCTGTCTCAATCTGTCTACTACTCTGAGTGGGGTGTTGAAGTCTCCCACTATAAATATATTGCTCTCTAATTCTTTCTTTATGTCTGGTAATATTTGTTTTGTAAATTTGGGTGCTCTGATGTTGGGTGCATATATTTAGAATGTTATATCTTCTCACTGAATTGATCCCTTTATCATTATGTAATAATCTTTCTTGTCACTTTTTATTGATTTTGATTTAAAGTCTGCTTTATCTAAAATAAGTGTAGCTAATCCTCATGGCCTTTTGCTTCAAATTGCATGGAATATCTTTTTTAATGTCTTTACTTTCAGTCTATATGTGTCTTTTTGAGTAAGGTGAGTTTCTTGTAGGCAGTATATAGATGCATCATGCTTTTTAAAAATCCATTCTGCCAATTTCTATATTTTAAGTGGTACATTTTAACTCATTTACACTCAAGATTAATACTGAGATGTGAAGCTTTGTTCCTGTCATATTGTTAATTGTTTATAAGTTGTATAATTTTTTTCTTTTTCTTTTTGTCTTTGTGGTTTAATGAAATTCTGTTGTGTTGACATTTGATTCCTGTCTCTTCCTTCTTCATGTGATTGTTTTGTAAGAAGTGTAAGTTTTATATTTCCATGTATTTTTGTGATGGTAACTACAGATCTTTGTTTTTAATGTTTAAGACCTCTTTGAGTATTTCTTGTAGGGCTAGTCTAGTGGTGACAAATTCCCTCAGTGTTTGCTTATTGAGGAAATATCTTATTTCTTCTTTACTTATGAAGCTTGCTCTGGCAGGATATAAAATTCTTGGCTGACACTGTTTTCCTTTCAATGCTTTGAAAATGTCATCCTGTTTGCTTCTGGCTTCTTAGGTTTCTGATGAAAAGTCTACTATTAATCTAAGGTAGTCTCCCTTATAGGCGACTAGGTATTTTTATCTCGCTAATTTTAAAATTATTTCATTTTGACATTAGACATTCTAAATATAACATGCTGTGATGAAGTCCTTTTTGTAATACATTTGCCTGAGGCTCTCTGAGCCTCCTGTACCTGGATGTTTAATTGTCTTGCTAGACTTGAAATGTTTTCATTGATTAGTTCCTTAAATAGGCTTTCTAAACTTTTTGATCTGTCTTTCCTCTTGGGAATACCAATAATTGGTAAGTGTGGTCACTTTATGTTATCTGAGGTATCTCAAAGGCTTTGTTTATTCTTTTTTATTTATGTTTTCTTATCTTTGTCACACTGAATTATTTCAAAAGCCATGTCAAGTTCTGAAAGACTTTCTTCTGCTTGGTCTAGTCTATTATTGAGGTGTTTAATGTATTTAGTATTTCCTTCATTGAATTTTTAGCTCCAGCATTTCTGCTTTTTTTAAAAGATATTTATCACCTTGGTAAATTTTACATTCATTTTCTTAATTGATTTTCTGCTTTCTTTGTATCGATTTTCAGATTTTTGTTTCATCTTATTCAGCTTCTCATTTCATTCAAAGCCAATATTTTGAATTCTTTATCTGGAATTTTGTGAAATTATTTTTTACTGGGATCTGTTGCCAGACAATTGTTGCCCATTGGTAGTGTCATATTTCTCTGCTCTTTCATGTTTTCTGTGTCCTCCATTGATATCTGCATATCTGTTGTAGCAGTCACTTGTTCCAATTTTTTGAAGTTGCTTTTGTAGGGGAGAATATTTTTCCTCACAGCTCCAAGGCAAGGCCCTAGGCCAAGGTGGATCACAGAGTCTATTCTCCTTTCCTCATTCCTCAGCAGTGATGCCAGAGTCCAGACAGCTCAACCTCCAATAACAATGAAGGCAGAGGTGATGGTGCAGACAGGGGCCATGGCTGTTGCTCTGCAGAGAATCAGAAACTGCAGCAAGAATGGACCAATCAGAACTACCTCCTGCAGTGATTTTTTTGCCTGCTTCACACCCAGTCATGACTCTGATTCCCTTATTTTGGATTTATTTTGCTATCCTTTCTCTAGGTTCTTGAAATAATACTTTAGGCTTTTGATTTGAAACTTTTGTTCTTTTCTTTGCAACACTTCAAATGCATTTTGTGATGTAATTTTCTCTCTCAGCAACACTTTAGCTGTGTCCCACAAATTGTAATATGTTGTTGTGCAGTAAAAGATTAGCTTAGCAGACCTGTGTTGTCAAACGCTACACATTCCAAAGAAGGATCTGGTCTTGAATGGCTCCTGGGAGATAACTTTTTATCCCTTAGAATATTCTATCTAATAAGAGTGTTTGTGTATGCCTGAGATCTTGGCTTATACTATGGGTCTCTGAGATCTTGGCCCATGTTATAGATCTCTGTTGAATCCTGATAGTGTATGCTAGCAATGTGATTTATGGTAAATGTCAGTTTTTATATGTCTGAGACTCTCAGTCAGGCTATGTCAGTTTGACGTCTAGAGGGCAGGAGACTTAATAACTGAGGTCAGTTGCTTAGGTGCTACATGCCTATGTAACTGACCACCTCTCTGCAAGCCCCCTGATGCCAAGACTCAGGAAAGCTTACCTGGTAGGCAATACTCCATCTGTGTTATGCACATCATTAGTAGGAGAATTAAGTACAACCCTGTGTAATGCCAGTAGGAGGAGACACCCGGAAACTTACATCTAATTTCTCTTGGATTTTACCCATGTGTGTTTTTCCTTTTGCTATTTTTCATCTATTTTTTTCTGATATAAACTATAAGGGTGAGTACAATAGCTTTTCTGTATTCTGTGAGTTATTCTAGTTAATCATCAAACATGAAAGTGGTATTGGAAACAGAGTGGAATTTTTATGTTCATAAGGTTCATTTTCATGTTCAATATATTTTTATTTAATTTCCCATGAGATTTCCTTATTACCTGCTATTTAGAAGTATACAGTTTGGAAATTTTACAAATGTTTGGAAATTTTTCTGGTATCATTTTATTATGAATTTTTAGTTCCCTTCCATTTTTGTCTGAGAACAACTATTTTCAATTTTTAAAATGCGTTAGTTTTAATTTTATGTTTTTAAATGTTTCTGGATATCATGTCTCAAGGAATATGCTCTATGGCCATTTGAAAATAATGTGTATTTTGCTGATACTGGGTGGAGTGTTCTATAAATGTTAACTAGATCCTGGTGGTAGATGGTGATTTGAGTTCCTGTATATCCTTGCTGATTATTAGTATAGTTGTTCCATCAATTTTTGAGAAATGGATGTTGAAGTTACAAAATATAATTATGGATTTGTCTATTTCTCTTTGGAGTTCTATAAAATTTTTCTTTCTTTATTTTGCAGTTATATATTTTGATGCATACACCTTAAGAAATGCTGTATCTTTTCTGTGGAGTAATCTTTTTGTCATTATATAATATCTCTCCTTATCTCTTATAATTTCCTTTGCTCTAAAATATAATCTATCTGATATTAACTTAGTCACTCCTGTTTTCTTTTGCTTAGTGTTTTCATTATATATTTTTTATTAACTTTCAATTTTCCAACAATGTCATATTTGAAAAGAGTTGTAGATAGCATATAGTTAACCCATGTTTTTAATCCTCTTGGTATTTCTGTCTTTTAATTGGTTGAATTTAATGTAATTATTAATATGTTAGGACTTAAAAGAGTAATTTTTTATTTCATTTTATAACACTTATAATATTTCATTTCATTTTTTATTTACTCTTTGTTATTGTTTTTCACTGCACTGGCTTTTTCCCTTTTTGTGGGTTACTTGAACGTATTTTAAAATTCAATTTTAATTTATCTATTGCATTTTGAGTGTATCTACTTGTATAGCTATTTTTAATTGTTGATCTAGTTGTTATATGTCATAACTCTAGGTAGTTATAACTGTAGATGTTCAATAGGTTAGGCATGTTAAATACATTTTGAATACATGTACACACACACACACACACACACATACACATTACTGGTGTCATCATTTTACCAGTTTGAGTGAAGTATAGAAAATTTACCTCTTTTTACAATCTTTACCTTCCTGTTTATAATTGTCTTAAATATTTTTGCTACATGCATTTAGAACCACATCAAACAGTATTACAACTTTTGCTTCCATCATCAAACATAATTTCAAAATCTCAAGGGAAGAGAAAATTACCCATATTTTTGCTTACTCTGTTTGTCTGTTTGTTTTTCTTTACTGATGTTCTTAGGTTCCTTTTATTGTTTCATTTCTGTTCAGGGAAGTTCATTTACCTAATTTCTTAGGGTAGGTCTCCTAGTGACAAATTCTGATAGTTTTTGTTCATATGAGGATATGTTGATTTTTTCTTCATTATGGAAGTATATTATTACTGCATATAGGATTATAAGTTGGCAGGGTTTTTTCGTTTGTTTGTTTTTTGTTTTGTTATTGTTGTTTTGTTTCTTTTTTAAAGAGATGGTCCTGAACTTATGGTAGTTCAACTTATAACTTTTTAACTTTGCTATGGTACAAAAGAAATACTCATTCAGTAAAAACTGCACTTTCAGTACCCATAGAACCATTCTGTTTTTCACTTTTAGTACTATACTCCATAAATTACAATAGTTATTCAACACAATAAAATAGGCTTTTTGTTAGATAATTTTGCCCAACTATAAGCTAATGTAAGTTTTTGAATATATTTTAGGAAGACTGGGCTAAGCTTCCTGATGTTCAGCAGGTTAGGTGTATTAAATGCATTTTTGGCATATTTTCAAAATATTATGGGTTCATCAGTATGTAAACCCGTCATAAGTCAAGGAATATTTATACTTGAAAATTATTGTCACTTTCTCCTGACCACTATAGTTTCTAATGAGTAATCTGTTATTATTAGAAGTGTTTTTCCCTATAGGTAAGGTGTTTTATTTCACTTCTTTCAAGATTTCTAATTTTAGTTTTTAGAATTTTGACTATTATGTATTTTGATGTGGATTTCTTTAGATTTATTCTGTTTGAAATCCATTCAGTTTCTTGAATCTCTCTATTTATGTATTTTCTCAAATTTGGGAAATTTTTAGCCCCTTTTTTAGCATTTCAAAAAATAGTTCAATGTGTTTCTGAGGCTCTGTTATTTTCTCCAGTCTATTTTCTGGAACAGTGTATGTTTGGAATGGGCAATTTTGTTATCCTATCTTCCAGTTCAATGATTCTTTCCTTTCCCTCCATTCTGATGTTGAGCCATTCATTGAGATTTTTAACTTGGTTATTATATTTTTAAGCTTACCCTTTTTGTTTGTTTCTCCTTAATGTCTTCGATTTCCTGTCAGAGATTTTTTATTTTATTGTTGGGACTTTCTGTTTTTCTGTTTGTTTTAAGCACCTTTGTAATTGCTGGTTAGAACATTTTTCTGATGTCAGCTTTAAATTTTTTTAGATAAGCTAATATCTTTTTCACCTTAGTCTTCACATTAATTAGAGACTTTTTTATTTAGTTTGAGATCTTCCTGGTTTTTGCTGTGACAAATTACTTATTTTTCAAACCTAGGACATCTTCAGTATTATGTTATAAGATTCTGGATATTATGTAAATCTTATATTTTAGCTAAATTATTTTGATAGTACTTTAGCAGGGGAAGAAGAGATGCTGCATCATTATTGTCAGATGAAAGTAGATGTCAAGATTCCTTCTTCGCCTCTGTTGACACCCAAGGGAGGAGGCTGTTTGTTAACACTGGGTATAGTGGAAGTCTTGGCTCCTCACGGGGTCTCCACTGATGTACTCCTACCCCTCTTGGTCTGGGAGATATCAGTGTAGACCTAGTGAGAAGCCAAAACTTCCACTATCTGCAGCATTAACAAAGAGCCTCCTCCCTTGAGTGTCAACAAAGGCTAACAAGGGAATCTGAACATCTACTTTCATCTGGCAATAATGATTCAGGATCTTTTCTTCCCATCAACACCATTTAGGGTTTTAGCCTTGTTACTGTTGGACAGTAGTAAAAGTTCTAAAGAAGATGTGTTCAACATCAACCCGTCTTCTACCATCAACACCACAAGGGTTTTAGCTTTGTTATTCTTGGGCAGTAGTAAAAGTTCTGACTCTCTACTGGGATTCCTCTGGCATAAATCCAGGAAGGAGTGTAGTGGTGCTGCATTATTGTCAGGTGGGAATGGAAGCATAGACTCCCTACACAGCCTTCTCTGAAACCATCACAGTGGGGAGGTTAGAATACCTTGTTAATGCCAGATAAGGGTGAAAGTTGAGTTCCCCATTCAGCCTTTGTTGTCATGTGTAAGGATAAAGCCACAACATATACTGTGGTGTTTGGTGTTTGGCTAGAATAGTAAATTTACTATGTACAATATTTCTGACTTGCTAGATGGCTCCTTTCCTGCTTTTTTCACTCAAGAGAACAGATTTAATTATTTATTTATTATTAATAATAATTATTTAATCTGTGCCCATTGACATTTTTGGGTTGCTGACGTCTTCAGTTCTAATCTGGGAAATGTAAAGCAAAAACAAAATTCAGGAAACTCATCACCATATCATTCCTTGCTCCCTAGCTTGTCTGCCTTGACTCTACCTGTCAGAGTATTCTTATTATGGTTTTATGTATAATACACAGAGTTTTTTGTTTTACTTAGCAGGGAGAATAGGGAAAATTACATCTACTCAATTTTTCCGTAAGTGATTTCACAGCGTATTTATTACAAAGAGGGATATTGATTTTTTTTTCCTCCTTTCTCACTTCCTTTCCCTCCTCCTTTCTTCTCTTTCCTTTCCTTTTTCTATTTACTTTTCTTTCCTTGTCTCTTCCTTCCTTCCTCTCTTCTCTTATCTTCTCATTTTATTCTTTCTCTCCTATTTTTTATCTTCTCTCATTCTATTTTTTCCCTGCTCCAACTTTGTTTTGTATATTTGATCTTCATCTCCATCTCTACTTTATTTCAGTACTCATTTTCTATCAAGCTAACCAAATATCTAATCAGAGATCATGGTCGTCTTCTATTTTCTTCTCCTTCTTCTTTAACTCAGTATGTGCATAATTGACTCATTGCTTGGGGAGCCACAACCAAAATAATTTTGCTTTTATAAACCTCTGTTAACATTCATTCCTTTCTTTTAGAAATAGTCACAACATCTCATGTTTCTTCTCAAAAGCAATCCTTCTGAAGCCTTCAATTAAAAAACTTTTTCTGACAGTAGAAAGGAATGAGTTTTAGATTTAGACTGAGCCAAGTTTGAACCCTGGTTCTATAATTTCTTTTAGTTGTATAATTTTTGGGAAAATTACCTAGCTTCTGTGATCTTGGATTTCTCATCAATAAATTGAAGACTTAATGAGATAATGTTTGCAAAGTACCAAATATGGCTGTTGGTACATATTGTGTGCTCAATAAATACTAGTTAAATCAAAATTATTAATTCCCAGTGATCTTTATCACTTCATCCAGTTTGGCTGTCAGCTTTGTTTCTGTAAGGTTATCTGTTATTATTACTTTGTTGTCATTGTTATTTTGTTATTATTAGTTAGGGTTGTCTGTACATTGAATAAAAAGGTTTATAAAATAGTTGAAATAATTTATTGACTATTATTACAACCATTAAGATTATGTTCATCCAACTCAAGCTTCAATTTTATCACAGACAAATAATCAAACAAATATTTCCTCAATTAATAAAAGGATACTTTATAAGCACATATTTAAACTTCTTATTTATAATGCTGTGACTATTATCTGATCCAGTGTCAAATACAGTATTTTGTTATTGATGCTTTGCTATTTGCTTATGGCAGAAAGACTGCTCAAGAAAAGTCTAGATAATTGTTGATAATGCTTGATTTGAGACAAAATCACGACCCTTATTTTACATGAAAAACAGCTCAATTAGGCCTCATTTCAGAAAGTTAGCTTCCTACAGTTATCCATTATGTCAGTATATTCTGCATTTGATGAGTAAAATGCAAGAAGAAATATAAAGATCATTTTGATATTGCAAATACATTTATTAATCAAATTCTAAGCATAGTTAGTAAAACTAAATTCGTTTTAACTACAAGAGGATTTCCCAACTATTTTCCCCGACATTTTTAATAAATTACTTTTTATATTTGTATATATCTAAAACACTTTTTTTTTCTTTTATTTTTTTGAGACAGAGTCTTGCCCTGTCACCCAGGCTGGAGTGCAGTGGCACAATCTTGGCTCACTGCAACCCCCACCTCCTGGGTTCAAATTATTCTCCTGCCTCAGCCTCCTGAGTAGCTGGGATTAAAAGCACCTGCCACCATGCCCAGCTAATTTTTGTATTTTTAGTAGAGATGAGGCTTCACTATGTTGGCCAGGCTGGTCTCAAACTCCTGACCTCATGATCTACCCGCCTCGGCCTCTCAAAGTGCGGAGATTACAGGCGTGAGCCACCGCGCCTGGCCCAACATTTTACATTTTAATAAATAAAATCAAAGTATAAGACTATAATTTAAAAAACATATTCTATGCCATATGCTTCACTGTCAAATTCCTCTACTCACTTACATTTGTGTCTTCCTGACAGTTTAATTCATACTAAATATTTTGCTTTCAAAACAATTTCTTGATTTATCAATTTTGTATATTTTTTATCGATTTTGTGGATTGGTGAAAATGATTTGTAATTTTTATCTAATTCCCTTATCTACTTCTATTATCATTATAATAATTTTAGTTAAATTGCTATTTGGTGTTTGGATTTTAAAAATACGTATTTTTAATAGTAATTCAAAATTATACACAATGTTTACTTTTGGGTAAATTTTCTCTCTGCAGTTATTTTTTTGTTTATTGTTTGGCTTTTATGTTTCTTTTATCAATATTTTTCCCAAGCCCTTCAAAGTAATATAAAGCCTTTCTATGTAAAATGTTTCTTACATTCAAGCATATCAATTATCCCATGCCTTCCATTTTCTTTGAGATCTTTTTCCAGAGTATCCCTCTTTTTACCATGCCACTCTAGAAAGGCTATTTCATAGGTCTGCCACACAGCTGCCATCCTGAGACTTACCCTTATCTTAATCAGAGGTTGCATCATCTATTTTTGGATAATTTTGTGAGCTTGCATATGGTGTCCATGGTTTGTAACCTTGCATTTTTATTCAGGGCCTATATTTAACTTTCATTTTACCAAGTAAATAATTACAGGTTGAAAATTATTTTCTACAGAATTTTAAAAGCATTCATCTATTGCATTCTAGCTTCTAGTGTTGCTTTTGAGAAGTCCAATGCCATTACTTTATTTTTTCAATGTGGAACTTTCTACATTATCCTCAAAATTTTAGAATTTTTCTCTTTACACTCGTATTTTGAGCTTATATGGTGATATACTTTGATGTGCATCTTTTTTGACTTATTTTCCTTGGCACTTCAGAGACACTCGTCCTTCAATTCTGAGATATTTTCTTAATTCATTTTCTTTTGTATAATTTTCTGTTCTCTGTTTTCTTCTTCTAAAACTCTAATAATTTGAATATCTTAAATTTGTTAAGCAACTGTATCTTTTTTATTTTCTATTTTATCTTTTTGTATTACTTTTTGGGAGATTGTTTCAACTTTAATTTTTAATATAATGTTGAGACTTTTTAAGCATCATGTTTTTAATTTAAAATAGTTCTTATTGTCTAATTGCTCCTGTTGTATAATACCCTGTTCTTGTTTTATTGATAGACTATCTTCTGTTTTCTATCTGAGGATATTAGCTATAGTATTTTTAAAGATATTCATTTTCTGTTATCTGTATTGTCTTTATTTACTCCAAGCTGCTTTCTTCCTATTTATTTTGTCCTTTGACTTTCAAATTGGAAGATATTTTAAATTTATTGATACTATTTGGCTGTTCATTTATATTTGAGAATGACGTGCTATAAAACTTATGAGCTCTATGTGGACGGGTTGGATTTGTTAACTGATAAACTTTTGGTTAAGATGACATTGTAGGGACCAGTTTATTGTATTTATTGAGATGCCTTCAAATAAAAATAATTACAAGTGTATTTTCAGGGGTTATTTCTTTTCTCTAGTGAACACTCTACCAATCTCCTGCTTAAGGAAGACATGGTGGGGACCTTGGAGAATGATGTAGGATGGGAAGTGATGGTGGTTGCAGTGGTGGTGACAGTAGTTATTGATTACCCAGGTTTTTGGAGCCTAACAAAGAAAGGGAGCTAAAAGTGGCCTCATTCAATTTCTTTATTGTCGTTAATCCTCCTGATTTCCTGTGCTGTGCCAAGTATACTCGACCCTGAGGTCTCTCTGTCTCAATTAATCTACCGAATGAAATTTCTGCTAGAATGGGATAGAAGAACTGCGTGATGTTGGAAGTAAGACCACAGTTGTACTGGTTGTCTAACACATCCCCTTATTTGGAGTATCATTACTTACTCTCACATTTGCTGGCACATGGTATTGCTAATTTTTGGAACTTTGCGGGTACTGTTACATGTTATCTTGCTTGTCTATGGCTTTCCTCTGTACATGTGAATGGTATTTCTCTGCTTTGCTATTTTCTCCGTTCATTTTTAATCTTCCCCCAATCATGAATTCTTTTCCTTTGTTCCTTCCTTCCTTCCTTCCTCCTTCCCTGCCTCCCTCCCTGCCCACCTACATTTCTTTCTCTTTCTTTTTCTTTCTTTTTTCTTTCTCTTTCTTTCTTCTTCCTTCCTTCCTCCTTTCCTTCCTCTCTATTTCCCTTCCTTCCTTACCCTTCCTTCCTTTTCTTTCTTTCTTTTCTTTCTTTCTTTCTTTCTTTCTTTCTTTCTTTCTTTCTTTCTTTTTTCTTTCTTTCTGTCCTTCTTTCTTTCTCTTTCTTCTTTCTCTTTCTTTCTTTTTCTTCTTTCTTTCCTCTTTATTTCTTTCTCTTTCTCTTTTCTTTCTTCCTCCCTCCCTTTTTCCTCCCTTCCATTCTTCATTACTTCCTTTCCTTCTCCTCCTCTTCCACTTTCTTCTCCTCCTCTTCCACTTTCTTCTCCTCATCCTTGCTTTCTCTGTTAGTTTCTCTTCCATTTTCTTTGTCTTTGGAGTTTATGACTTTATTTCAAAAAAGGGCACAGGTAAGGGCATGCATTTATTCAGCCACATTTAACTAAAACTGCTTCTGAATTGAATTATTTATTTTTTGTTCTTTGATATTTTAAGTTTACCAATGTAGACATTGATTTAGAAGGAATGAACATGCATGCTCTCTCCAGAGAACATGCACATCACATATATGTTGGGAAATTCTTCAGTCTAGATTGACTAGTTGAACATTTCTAGATTAGAAAGTTTTTCAGTGTATCCTCTTTAATTTACTGAGATGCTAAAATAATTGTTTTAATCAAAAATGCATGATTAATAACTTTAATCAATAATACATAATTAATTCCAACTTCTGTCTGTATTTTTACGATAGAAACCTGATATCATGGCTGAAATCATTCTCCTGATTTTACCCTATCCAGTCAATCACAGAACCACGTTGATTTTTCTTACATCTTGAATCTCTCGGCTTCTTACTTTCTCTGCAGCCAATAGTGAAATCCAAATCACCAGCATCTTTCCCTTAAATTTCTCTCACTGCCGTCTATTTGAATGGCTTTCCTTCTTTCACCTATTCTCCACTTAGTAGTCAGAGCTATCTTTTTTTTTTTTTTTTTTTTTTTTTTTTTTTTTTTTAACAGGGTCTTGCTCTGATGCCCAGGCTGGAGAGCTGTGGCATGATCTTGCCTCACTGCAACCTCAGCTTACTGGGTTCGAGCTATTCTCATACCTCAGCCTCCTGAGTAGTTGGGACTACAGGACTGCACCACCACACCTGGCTAATTTTTGTATTTTGGTAGAGACGGGGTTTCACTATGTTGGCCAGGCTAGAGCCATCTTCTTAAGTCACTGATATGATAATGTCATAATCATAGGAAACATTAAAAGTTTCCCATTCTCTTAATATGAAGACCAAAACCTTTACCATGGTCCATAGGGTCGCATGTGCTCTAAACTCACCTGAAGTTTCAATTACATCTGTCCCTGTGACTGTGCTAACCTTCTGATAGCTCCTACAGTGTTGCAAGCTTCTTCTCAGCTCGTGAACTTCACTCAGTTATTTTGCCTGGAACCACTGAGTTTTCAAAAACTCCACCTCTCTCATACGCAGCTTTCAAAAATTATTACTTGGTAGAGGAAGGGGTCAGGGCCAAGGGAAATCCTGAAACATTTCCAGAAATTGTTGAAGCCCAATCTCTACCTTGTACAAGCTGTGTGACTATTTCTGAGTCATTCATGAGCTCTTAGAGGACCATCAGTTTGCTCATAATGGGTGGAGTTAATCGAACAATGAATATAAAATATTCATCACAATACCTTTCAAGTAGTTCATGTTTAATACATATTAGTTCATGTCTCTTCTCTTCTGTTTTTTTGGCAAACTATCAGTAACTATTTGGTGAAGGCATATAAGTTTGAAGAAAAGTTAATGATCACTATGAGACATGATATTAATACAAACAGACTGAAAAATCTTTCTCCTCTTAAAGTTTAGTTACAAACTTCAAAAATAATTTTAATAAAAGCAATCATCTCTGAAATAAATTACAGAAAGAGCTATTTCTGAAATTCTTTTGAAGTTTTGGGTTTTTTTTTTTTTTTTTTTGTATTTTACTTTTCCTATACCAATTTCTAAACAAATGTGTACCATTTGCACAGTGACAAACTCAGGAGATTTTTGAAAGAAAGTTATCCATAAATATGAAGTATTGCATTTAGATGGAAAATAAAAAATGTTAGTGATAATGGTAATGCTAGTGTTGATTTTTACATTTATAGAGCATATTTGTTTTCAAAGCACTGACAGAGCTTTCTGTTAAGGAAAGGAAAAAATTTAAGTGATGATTTCTCAAACATGATTGACTAAAAATTTATATCATAGAGAAATAATGCCCAAATGTAGATTCCTCAAGGGTTGGCAGCACACTATGTCAGAGAGGCTTTTGTGCAACTCACTTATCCAGAAGCTGACTCAAAGAGATGTTCACTGAGAACTTTCTTAAGGCAACTCATCAAACACGACTCTTACATGAGGTTTCATTTCCATGATTCTTGGCCAATTTTTTTTTTTTTGGTCAAAAAAACTTTCACTTCCGTAAATCATCCCTAAATCATATTATTTCACATTCTCAACTGCAAGTATTCACACAGGTTTTTATCTTTGCTTTTACCTTTTTTCAAAGATGTCATGACACCATTTCTTTCTCCAAACACTGTGTTGTCTGTAGTTGTTATTCAATAGCACAAAAATGTGAACTCAAATCAATCACTTAAGATTTGATTTGGTCATTTCCAAGATTTGCAAAAACCTTAACTTGATTTTATAACCTATGTTCAAAAACTCTAACCCCGGAGATTTATCCTAGCTCTATTCCAAAGTACCTGTGTTATACCAAATGCACATCCCATCACTTCTCAGAGCATCAACTTGTAATTCTTTGCAAACTGTGGAATGATAATGGTATATCATTCATATCAAGCTGATTTGAGTAAGAAACCATGAATAAACTATATTCTTTGTTCATGAGCTTTTTTGCTTTTTAATTTTCTACTTTGAAAATGTACTATTTTTAATAGTATTTAATTATATTACATATTTTTATCTAATCGGAATTTAAGATTTTCAAAACTACCCAATCTCAAAAAAGTACAGAAATTTCCAGAAAAGTTTAAAAATTTTGTTCCATTCATATCTTGAGTAATTTCCCATCATTGGCCATTGAGTATGCAAAACATATAAACTAAGTTTTAGTGCTTTTAAATTCAGTGTCCTGAAGGCATTTGCAGCAAAAGATTAGGTATAAGATGGATTCTAAATTCAAGTTGCGCTTTACTATTCATCTTTTGTTGTTTAGTGTTTTCTTTTTCTCCATTAATACCTTAAAATCTCAAAGCCCCAAAGTGGTAGAGGAGGGAAGAGGAAGCTCATAGAGATGAAAAATACTGGTGTTCTCCGGAACCCCTGAGAGGGCCTTATAGCCCAACCTCCTCCTTTAGTAGATAAAGGCCTGGAGACTTGGAGAGAGTACAACTGGCTGTTTACAGTCTAGAATTCTTTTAGTCCAGGGGCCTTTATATTTTTCTTATGTCTAGTTATTTCCTCCTCTGTACAGCACCTTACTAGTCATATAACCTTTCATGTGTTCAATTTAAAAAATCTCTTGGAGGCAACAAGATGGAAAGGATCTTGATCATTGTCTTCTCATTTCTTGTTCTTTCTTTTTGAACACATGTGAAGATGCAATTCAGCAGAACAGAGAGACTGGGGAAAAGTCTGCTCTGAAGTAGGAGCAGTATAAAGCCATGGGCTAAATTAAGTTAAAGTAAAAAAAATAGGGAGTGACAGAAAATATTATACACTTGGCGAAAATTACCCACCAAGTTAACGGGTGGTATATTCAATTAAACAACATAATTATCTTCTATGATGTTTTACAGTGAGCAGGTTCTAACAGGAATATGTATTATTAAAGTGCTGGTCTAGAGTTAACAGCTATGTCCTCTCTGAGAATGAGAATCCTGCCTGAATCCTCAGCGGATCCAACTGGCCCAGATCTCATATCTTAAAAGTTAACACAAGTGATTTCTTATCTCAGATCCTAATAAAGAGACAAAAATGAATAATTTGTTGATAATGGCCACCGACATCATTTATTAAATGCTTATTTGTGACAAACATTGTTCTAGATAACTTGCATATAGAATTTTTTTTACCATCACCACAATTTTAGAAATCTAGAAGTAAGTATAATTACCTCCATCTTATAGACGAAGAAATTGAATTTTGGAGAAGTTAAGCCATTTGACTTATTGATGCTAAAGACAAATTACCAAAGTTATGCCTGAGCTTAAACATGCTACATTTACATACACATTCCTAGTGCCAAGATTCATTTGTGAGAGAAAGTTTCAGATTAACGTACAGTTTCTTAGCACTAGGGAATATCAGAGAAATGCAGTATAGCTTCAGCTTAACTAAAATTCATTGCACATCTACCCTATAGCAAGTTCTGGGCTTTGCACAGCAAACAAGAGATAGATTTCAATAGATCCTGACTTTGAGCTATTCACATTATCACCTGAAAGATAGATGTGAAAATGTATAATTTAGTTGTAATGCAGGAAATGCAATGAGAGTGGTCGAGTTTTGCCTAGAGCTGGCCCTGACCTTCATCATGATTCCCAGGATATAAGCCTTGGCCATTTCTGTGTGGCAGGGTTCCATTCATGTCAAGTGTTAATTACGTGATAACCTCTGCTGTGTGAATTCCTGTGTACAGCACTGGAGGTCTGGAGCTTAGTGTTAGGAGATGTGAACATCTCACTAGATCCAGGGACCTATGTTAGACTGCTCATTTCCTACATCACAGATTTATATGTCTCTATATGTATAATTTCTCAATGTATTCTGGTCTTTAAAGTTGCCACCATCAATTACTCTGTTATAATTGCTTTAATTCCTTTTTTGCTGTTCACAAATCCATAAACATGCTGAAGGGTAAGAAGTTTCCTTGACTCCATACACAATCTGAAACCCTAACACAGGTATCTTTCTCTGCATTACAACAGTGGGAAGTATTTTGTTTTTTTCCTTTGCTTTTTGCCCAGGAATGACAACTTTTACCTGAAATAGGCTTCCTCAACTCCCTTAGAAGCCCCAAATCTCCAATCAGATGTCTCCCAGGGCAGTAGTTCAAGTTAAGAACTATCTTCCTGCAGCTTTTCTAAAATCTTACTAATTTACTATTTCAGGCCCATTTGTCTCCAAAATTTAGGAGCAGGCTGCATAGTTGAATACTCTGTTTCTTGCTTACTTGCTTTTTGCTAAATATGGATCACTTGGTTAGTTGTTTTTTGTTTTTTTTTTAAAGCTGTGTACTTTGTATCTACTAAGTAAAGTATAGGAGAAGAGATTATTCATTGCAGCTTTCTTTTTAAAAGGAGGTGTTCCTCTAAATGTTCCTTGGAGATATAACCTATATCTTTTATCTCTCATTTGAAAATTTGAGCTCTGACTTGGTGACAACTTTTGAGTGATTTTGTGAAGGCCATTTGAACTCTCTTGGCCTTAGCACACTCATTTTTACAATGAGAGTCAGGTGAGGTGCTCTCTTAAGTTTTATTTCAGCTGTAACATTGGTGATTCTATTGTTTGAAATCAAGGATCATTTCTTATAAATTTCTATGAAAGCTGCAATATGCTCTGCAACAGTCCTCAGCCAGCACAAACTCGATACAAATAAGTATGAATTTGTAGGCTTACAAAATCTCAGAGTTCAAAGGGACTGTCAAGGTCGTAGAGCTCATCCCCTGTGGTGATACCTGAATACCTTCTACAACATCTCCACCATGTGGCCAATGAGTCCACAGGTGAACACCTCTACCAGACCCCACTACCTCCCAAGTCAACCAGTATTTTTCTGTGGCTATTACAAAGTTCTTTTCTCCAGTTGTTCCAAATTCTGCTGCATGCATTTTTCATTAGTAGGTCTGAATTCTGCCACTTATTACTTCATTAAAAATAATAATTCTTTTTTTTTACATAAAAATTATTTACATATTTGAAAACAATGACACAAATAGTCTTGTCTCCAGGACAAATAATTCGTTTCTTTGAAAATAATAATTCTTTTTTTTACATAAAAATTATTTACATATTTGAAAACAATGACACAAATAGTCTTGTCTCCAGGACAAACAATTCGTTTCTTTGAAGAATTCTTGCTGTCTTATGGTTCTGAATGTGTTCCTAACTCTGATCACTTTCTTCTTAAGTTGATCCAGGTTGTCAATGCAGATTTTACTGGCCTGCAGGACTGGTCAAGGAAGTCCTAAGTAATCCTTGGTGATAGAACTTGAAAACTGACTTTTGGGAAGAAAGAAAGATAATCACTGTCAAATGAGCAAGTAATGACACGCATTTGTGCAAAGAGGGCAGGAGAATACTAATATCTGTTGGATATTTTGTGTTTCACTTTAAGTGCGTTGTTGCAAGCAAGGTAATTACTGAGTCCTCATCTTACAGTTGAAGTTACTGATACAAGACTGGTATCTGGTAGGGCTGGAAACCCAAACATTTTTTTAGGATTCAAAAATCCAGCAATATCCCTCAAGAACAAGGAGGATTTCAGACATATTGTATGAGGAAAAACTCTACTTCAATAATATAAATGGTTGGAGTCAGGAAACTTGCCCCCTACTTAGTTTTCAAGGGAAATTGCTTTTGAAAATTTTGTAGAGAGAAGCTTCCTAGATTAGGTCCATCATGCTACAAAATGACAAAAGGCTTTGGTACCCCTTTATAGAAATTAGAATGAGTTATGTATGTTGATGTATGGTCATTTTTCTCCCAGGCTAGTTCTGTCCTTCCCAAAAGGGGCCTAAGAGAGGGGATTTGTCTTCAGGCCACTGGGTAGTTCCTGCAGCTTGTGCGGAGTGGTGTAAGTGAGTCATCCACAGCAACTCCAATTTCTGGATAAATAGACTTTTGTACATATCTTTTTGGCTGGCTAAGTTTCTGCTGTTTTTTTCCTTGGAGTATCTGATACATAGAACAGCCATCACTTAGAGTACCTATCTCGTACCATGCACAGAAAAACCTCCATTCTCCAGGAATGTCCACTGTGGTACAATCAGCCTTCCAGAGAACAAGGCAAATAGTCAGGGAACTGAATAAGAAGAACAGAATTATATGCAGTGGGGGGTGGAAATGGGCTCCTGAACATATCGGATGAGTGATTTGTAACCAGTGATTGAGCCTTATCTGTGAGTAGCTCCAAAAGGGCAAGAGGAGTATTAAGTGAGTTGATACATGAAAGGTGCTTAGAATGTTAATTGGTACGGAGTAAATGTTCAATGGCAGTGATGATCACAGGTATTATTATTGGCTCAGAAGTTTCATTTGTGGAAAAAATAAAGATATCTTGGTTATATACTGGAGTGATGATTCACTATGGTCTCCTGTGTTGAAATTTGAGATCTGAGGCCGGGCGCGGTGGCTCCCGCCTGTAATCCCAGCACTTTGGGAGGCCGAGGCAGGCAGATCACGAGGTCAGGAGATCGAGACCATCCTGGCTAATACAGTGAAACCCTGTCTCTACTAAAAATACAAAAAAAAAAATCAGCCGGGCGTGGTGGCGGGTGACTGTAGTCCCAGGTACTCGGGAAGCTGAGGCAGGAGGAACGGCGTGAACCCGGGAGGCGGAGCTTGCAGTGAGCCGAGATCGTGCCACTGCACTCCAGCCTGGGTGACAGAGGGAGACTCGGTCTCAAAAAAAAAAAAAAAAAAAAATTGAGATCTGATACTCAAACTAGTAAACCTTGAGACCCACATGATCCTTTGCAATGAACAAGTAAGTGAAGCATGATTGTTCTCTTATTTCAAACTTTACTGGTGCCCCCTCTCCTGCAGAAAGCAGTTTAAACTCCCAATGAGGGGAAATATACACAGCATTACATGGCTGCTGCCTATCCCCATCCCCAAGCCCCTCCCATCTCTTATTTTATTCCCTTGCAATCCTGCACGTGGACACCAAACTGTTTTACCTATTGTGTGTTTTTGTCCACCCTGTTCTTTCTTCCTTGAAAGAACATTATTTGCCAGAAGGAAGAGTGGAGCTATACAACTTAATTGTCATATCCCTTGGGTCTGCTCTGTTAAAGGCTTATGAGGTATTCAATTATTTTGTTAAAATTACAGAGAATCACATTATTTATTTCACAATCATTTATCAATTGTCTTCTATATGCCAGGCAAGGTGCAGAAACTAAGAAGTAAGACAGAATCCTTGTCCTTACATAGCTTATGGGAAGAGAATAAATAAATGTAGCATTAGACGGTATGGTCAGGATAAATGGAAAGTTCAGCTGAGGAGCTCTGGATTAAACCTGAGTATGTCAGAGATATGGGAGTGACTGGACTTTGCAGAAAGACAAATTCTCCTAGCAAACAAATGAGTGAGTAAGCATCCCAACAAAGAGAGAAACATACTTGGACTTGGTCTATGGTAGGTGCATGACGTTAAAAGCACACCATGCTTGCCAAGAGAAGGAAGGTATTTTTGCCCGATACACTCAGTGATGTGGTCAGACTCTGTCATGAAAGCTCCCAAAGTACCGCAAGGAAGGAAAGTGGGAGTGGTAAGCCCTGCCAGACCATCTTCAGAACACGGTTGTGATGACCCTAAGAGGTAAGAATAAGAGGATGGCTGGGCTAGGAAAGGCTTTGTGGACTGTGAGCTGTGGCACAGGAATGGGCCAAGACAGGGAGTTTCTGTCTCAGTGTTCTAAGCATCTCTCTGGCCATGACATCCCAGGATGCAATTGGCCAGCACTATACTCTGAGTTCTTCTCCAGGCTTAAATCCTCAAATGCCTCCAGTTACTGACAGGTGTCACAAATTTGTGAGCCATGACAGGTGTAAGACAAAGGGAGCAAGTTGCTCAGATTGATAGCAGTTGGCCTTACTTAGCTACATTCTCTTTCAAATACCTTGGTTCCCAAAGAAAACAGAAAAACACAAAAGGGACCCATAGGCCTCCCATCGGTGATCTCTTGCAAGGCATTCTCTCTCCCTATAGTCCCGTCTCTAAAGCCATGCCTTCCTATATCTCTGCCAAACAAATCTATGTGATCATGACTGCCACATAGGGAAATGCAAGGGAATAGGCTTTGGAGTATGGCAGGCCTGGATTCAGAGCACTTATAAACCATATAACATTATTCAATGTCTCTGAGTTTGGTTTTCTTCATATTAACTCCCACTTTGAAGAGTTGCTGAGGTTTACTAAAATATACATGATATGATAGACAAGATATCTCACTTGCACATAGTAAGAAGTCAATAAACAAATAATAGCTCTCATAACAGTTACTTCCAATTCTATTATTTCTACTTCAGTGGAAGGAACAGGTAGTGTGATTGAGACTTTGGATACTAATGGGGAACATTATGTAGCCTCTGGGTTAGACTATACATGTTGCACTCACCAATTGTCTGGACCATCAACACATTCAAGGGTACAAGATGCACAGTGTTTGTATCCTGTCTGGCAGCACAATACTCCCCAGACTCCATAATGATCTGGAAATGCCACCATTCATATCTGCCCTCCTGACACCAAGATATGCAATCATTTCTTTGATTAGAGACGCTGGCCTCTGTAAGGCCCCTCTGAAATCACATAGACTTGACATTTTTAGTACTCACCCTTACATTAGAACAAAAGAATTTGGCTGATATCCAGGATGAGCTGATTTTGCTGAAAGTGGAGGTGGGGAAGGAGAAAGGGGAAGACCCCAGTAAGGTGTAAATGACAAAGAGAGGATGTGGTCACTGAATTTCAGGGGCAGTTTTCACCAAGAAGAGCATGACAGAGGAGTGCAGGTGATCCTTCCTGTGGAAACAAGGTAGTTCTCTGTGGTGAGTCACCTATCTGGGGTTCCCCCAAATCATAAATGGAGCCCGTGAGCCCTTGAACACAGAGACTGTATGCAACTAGGAGCCCTGAGACCTGTATCTTGGCCTTGCTGCTGCCACTTGCTCATTTGCTGTGAGATCTCATGCCAGATAGTCCCTCTTGGAGCCCATTCGCCCATTTGTCCATTAGAATGAGTATGTGTGTTTGGGAAGGAGTTATTTACATCTATGATTCTTTCCTAATGTGATTCTGCACTGATAGAAGAGGAACTTAAAGTGAGACTGAGAGAGGTAGCAGTAAGGCGTCTAGCAAAGACTTAATAAATCTTAGTTATTGGTATCTTGATCACCATTGTAGTTGCTGTCCCTATCATCATGATTGTCTTCTTTAATCATTACAAGGAAGTAGACAAAAAACAGTAAACAATCAGTTAGTCAACATTGTGCTTGGCAGGAAGAACACAAAGCTGAACAAAACACACTCCCTGTTCCAGAAGCACCTGTAGTCTAGACAGGGAAGCAATTAAGAAAATAAACCACAGCACTAGAGCCTACTGTGAATATAGAGTGGGAATTAGAAAGCAAAGGGAAGTCCAAGTGCTGAGCTCAGTACAGGGCAAAAGGGAAGTGAGAGGCTGCCTGCCAGGAGACCCTAGGTGGCCACACCCCTGCTCTGCTTCCTTTAGGCCTTCACCTGGGCCCAGCTGGACCAGGTGGTGGAGGTGGGGAAGGCATGGACCTTTTCCTTCTTCTTACTGATTCCTCCATGTAAATTTACATCTTCTCTTGAGAAATAAGTTTCTAGTGATGCCATTTAAATAAAGGGATTAAGACATATTCTAAGGAAAAAAATCTGTGAGAATTTAGTAAGATTTTAAAATTCCTAAAAATTTCCTAATTTCCGATTTTCATTTTTTGTCTACTTCTTTATAATGATTAAAGAAGACAATGATGATGATGGTAATGACAGTAATTATAATGATGGTGACACTAATACTAATAACTAAAATGTATTAAGTCCTTACTATGTGCCATGAACCTTGCATGCATTTTGTGACACATTAGTCCTATTTTTGTTCTAATTTTACAAATGAAAAAATTGAGACAAAGAATTGGCTAAAATCGCACAGTTTTACAACAGGAGGAACCCTATTTGAACCCAGATATGTTTGATTTCAGAGTCTGAGATCTTCACCGCTCTGCCTGCCCTGTGCAATTTCATGGTCTTACACTTTTGGTTTGGTGTCCTGGCCTTCAAGAGATGCAGAAAAGAGGTAGCTGGAGAGGCAGAGCTCCACTCTAACAAAGAGGCCCCTTACGGAGAAGTTGAGAGTGGCAGCTATGAAAAAGAGAGCAAACAAGCCAAACCTCTGGGATCAGCAAGGGGAAAGTAATGCATTTCTTGAGAGGGGAGCTGTGACTAAGTGGCCCAGGGAAGGAGAATTCATCTGGCTGCTGTTGGACAGAGCGTGCAAGAGTTGCTAATAAAATGAAAGTGATCTAGATAAGTACTTCTCATGCACTGGGCTGGCTCATCCTCCCAGAAGGGCAAAGAGGGAAAAGTAAATTCCTGCTTTGGAATTTGGAACAATTCCTGCTTTGGAACAATTCCTGCTAGTGACTGCAACATACTTTTCAAGGACTCCAATATATATTCAGTGTTTTGTGCCTCCACTTCTCCTTTGGAGGCATCTTCTAACCACATCTACCCTCTATAGAGGTGTAGCCACCTATTCAGGTGGCTATTTAAAAACAAACAAACAAACAAAAAAAAACAGCTAATCACTTTTAGTAGCTGCCAATGTTGAAAATTGCAAAACATCTTTCCCGTCTCACTGATTTTGCAGCTGTAGGTGAGTTTGCATTGTAGACTCAATGTGGAAGGAGACTCCTTTTAGCTCAGCTCAAGTAAAAAAGTAGCCTTGTAATCTCCTTCCCGCTGTCTGGTCCTGTGCTACATCTTCTCTCAGTACATTGCACAAGAAACATCATCATGGCCTCCATTTTATGATATCTCCCCTGAAAATTTGCTTAATAAGTTTCCCGCCAGAAAATGAGGGTTATGTAGAACTTAAAGGTGATTGAAACAGAAAGTTTAGGGCTCTTTAGAGGCCGTGTGTGTGTGTGTGTGTGTGTGTGTGTGTGTGTGTGTGTGTGTGTGTGTGTGTGTGTGTTAAGGCTATAGAGCTATATATAGCTGCTGCTTTTAAGTTCCCATCTACAGTGAAACACAGCTTCCGGCTTTCTCTGAAAAAGGGGCTCGAGCTTGCAAACAGGCCCAGTCACTGAGAAATACCTACATCCAGATTAGAATTGGTTGCATTTTTTTAAACCATAGGCAAAACTAATCTTATGTGGGGAAAATGTAATCCTTTCCCCTCTGTTACTTCTCCTGCTTAACCCTCAATCCCCTCCATCCCTGCAGTCATATAAAGGTGTTCCGGAGTGTTACCTATTAGGATGAAAAGAGAATTCGTATCTGGCCTTTAGCTCTTGTTAAGTGGTTTTCTAATGTTGAGCACCCATATTTTCACTGGTTTTAAATAAACACTTACAGAGTGAAGCACACTGGACTTGAAGAAAGAAGAGAGAACATTCACATTCCAGCATCATACTGGAGTTTGGGGATGTTGGTCAAGTTACTTTTGTTTCCACATCTGTACATGTCATGGGAAAATTTAAAAAGATATATAGAAGTGTTAACAGTAAGTAACTGGTTAGTAAGGACTTGGAGTTAGTTGAACGTCCACAAAATTTATTCTAGATCTTATGCACTGGGTGCTGAGCAAATATTGTTGCAAACACCAAAGTCACACTTTTAATGTATTTTTTTGTTAGAAGTGTAATTTTCATGAGTGGCAAATAAGCTCGTAAAAATACCTGAAACTTTTATTGAGGTATATGTGTATATATACTATTGGTGATGTTAACTTTGATCACTTGGTTAAGGTATGTTCACCAGGTTTCTCCACTGTAAAGTTACCATTTTTCCATTTGCAATTATTAAATAATTTGTGGAGAACGCATCACCCAAAATGAGATGAACTGTCATGATGTGACTTCTAAGATGCACTGATATCACTTTAGTGGTGTTCCCACCCAAAATGCTTAAAATAAATCTAATCATTAGTAAATATCAGACAAAACCCAAACTGAGGAGCTGTCTACAAAATTTGTGATTAGTATTCTTCAAAAGTGTTCATGTCATGAAAGACAGTAAGCCTGAGGAACCATCCCCCAATAAGAAGACTAAGAGATACAACATCAGAATATAACATATGATCCTGAATTAGGTCCTGGACCAGGAAAAATTGCCATAAAATATTTTATTAGGAAAATTGTTGAAATTTGGGTTAATTAAAAATGTCCCAATGTTTTACTGATTGTCATAATTGTACTATAAAATGGAAGTGAATGCTCTTGTTCTTAAAAATACCCAATGAGAGTTGAACAATGGGAACACATGGACACAGGGAGGGGAACATCACACACCAGGGCCTGTCAGGGGGTGGGGGGCTAGGGGAGGGATAGCATTAGGAGAAATACCTAATGTAGATGACGGGTTGATGGGTGCAGCAAACCACCATGGCAGGTGTATACCTATGTAACAAACCTGCATGTTCTGCACATGTATCCCTGAACTTAAAGTATATATATAAAAAAAGCAATCACCAAGTTTAATCAAATAAAAAATATTCTCTTAATTAAAAATTACCCACTGACGTATTTAGGGATAAAGGGGCAAGACATCTGCCTTATACTATCACCTGTTTCAGGAAAAGAAAAAAGAAATATAAGTATATATATGAGAGAAAGCAGGAGAAGGATAAAAACAAATGTGGAAAACTTTTAATAACTGGTGAATTTGGATGAAGGGTATACAGAATTTTGTGTGTGTGTGCGTGTGTGTGTAATTCTTTGAGATTATTTCAAAATTTAACAAAATGAAACAATCAAATTAGAAATCAATACTTCAGAAGAGAAAAGCAGCTTAACTGCAAGCTCAAATTGCTACATTTCTCAAGAACTCAAAGGAATTGAGCATGGCGTTCCTGAATTTTGTTGGCTGAGATTGTGATTTTATCGTCATGATAATTCCCCCAGGGAATATATAATTATAGCTTCTCCATCACAGATGGTGACTGAGGTGGGGTAGGAATCCAGAGAAAATCTAAGCACTTATTTGAGCTCTTTTCCAAAAAGTTTTGAAAAAAGTTACCTAACAAGACACCGTCAAGCTGATAAAAATTTATTGAGCACCTAATATGTTTCAGTTCTGCCTAGGTTCTGAAACACAGGCTTGGATAACGTCTTGCCTCATCACTCAAGGAGTTTACAGATTAGATGGGGAGGCAGTCATGTTATAAACAGTGATAGTCCAGAGGGCAGGGACTGTAGTAGAGATAGACCTAATATGCTATTAAGGAAGAAGAAAACAGGAAAATAGTCTTCATAAGGAGATAACGTTAATGTATGACTAGAATTGTTGCAGATGGAAAGGGGCCTTTCAGACAGAGAAAAACATGGTAGCCTAAACAATCACAGTATACTTGCATGAAGTAAACTACTTGATGTTGATGGAATCTACACTATGCAGTGAAGTGAAAAGAAATGCAGAAAAACTCTTATTTTTAAAGAGTTGTTTCTTCCATGCTAGAGAGTCTATGCTGATTTCAGTATTCCTCTTTATGACCAGTACCCGATCTGAGTATCTCCCAAGCCCTCCAGCTGATGGTCGTCATTCACCATTTTCCTTTAATGTTCAAATGAAGAGAGATTCAAGCAGCCACCTGCATACATTGAAAATCCCGGCCGGGCGCGGTGGCTCACGCCTGTAATCCCAGCACTTTGGGAGGCCGAGGCGGGCAGATCATGAGGTCAGGAGATCGTAGACCATCCTGGCTAACACGGTGAAACCCCGTCTCTACTTTAAAAAAAAAAAAAAAAAATATATATATATATATATATATATATATATATATATATATATATATATATACACACACACACACACAAAAATTAGCCAGGCTTGGTGGCGGGCGCCTGTAGTCCCAGCTACTCCAGAGGCTGAGGCAGGAGAATGGCGTGTACCCGGGAGGCAGAGCTTGCAGTGAGCCGAGATCGCGCCACGCACTCCAGCCTGGGCGGCAGAGCAGGACTCCGTCTCAAAAAATAATTTTTTTTTTTTAAACTGTGCTTGGATTTCTGTTGAGGAAGGGCGCACGTTTCCCCCAGTCTTCCCTTATTCCATGTTTCTCTTCTGGATTCTAGCTCTCACTCTTTGTGGCTTTTGTTTTTCTACCTTGGGTCAACCCAAATCTGGAAGCTAGTCTTTTAACTACTTTGATTCAAGCTTCAGGCTTCAGAGAGAAAAGGAAGTTGTTTGTTTTTTGTTTGTTTGTTTCTTTTTGGAGGTACTATGCAGTAAGCCACTGAAAATTGCTAATGAAGTCTCAGTTTTCCAGACAACTACAGACTCACTCTTGAAAGTTAACTTTTCACTGGCTGGGGTCTTCTCCGTGGCTGTCTCGTCTGCCATACTGACCAGGCACTCACTGTCTTTTTACATTCCTCGTGTTCTCCCAGATTTTTTGAATCTCTCTCTACCTCTATTTTGGGCCTCATCTAAAAAACAAAACAAAACAAAAACTTAAATATTTTATATGTTAATATACAGAGCAATTTATTTTTCACTAAAACTTACAGGTCTGCCAATATGTAAAAGGTTATTATGGTTTTCTCTTAAACAAAGGGCCATCTATTTGGGCCTTTGTTGGGTTCTCAACTTTGAGCAACCAAAGAATTGATAGAAGCTTTGAAACTACAATCTTCTTTTAAAACTACTCACTATGTGGGTATAGCTTCACATATGTTTGTAAGGAAGGCAGCCATGTAAAGACATCCTCCCACTGATGTACATTATTTTACCCTATGGAAGGCAAATGTGGTTATCATTAGTTGTTTATTAAAAAGAGTAATTATTTTTATTTTCATTACATTTTCACTTCTGGAGAGAAGGGCTTTTATGAGGGGAAGTACATGGGCATTGGAGTCAGATAAATTTGAATTTTTACCCTGACTCTCTCTAATGAGTTGTTGGACCTTGTGCAAAATATTCACCAGCTCAGGGGCCCAGTTTTGTCATCTGTAAAATGGAAGCAGAAATACCTATGATTGTTGTAAATATGGGAGATCATGAATTTTAAAATACCTGCTTAGTACAGAATGGGTATTTGATAAATTGTACTTACTATTAAGTCTAATTAGTTTCAAGGGACATAAATATAGCAACTTGTAAAAGTGCTAATGATGTATCAGACACTGTGTCAGTATTATAATAATGTATAATAATGTACATTATTTTATTTTCTGGGTAATAACATAGGATAGCTATTATGTCCTTATTTCATAGCTGAAGAACCTGAGCCATAGAGTAGTTAAGATAATAGGAAACAAAAACACAAATATGAAATCATCTGACCAGTCTAATAGTAATTGATCATTATGGAAAGTATCCTTCTTAGTAAATGATGCTAGCTACCCAGTTTCTTAAGCTAGAACACTAGGTCTTCTGGATTTCTCTATTTTCCTCATGCTGCAACATGGATGCATCAGAAACTTCACTTCCCAAATACATCTGAATTCATCCACTGCTTTCAACCTCCACTGCTATCCCCATAGTCAAAGTCACCTTTCACTTGGGTTTCTGCAATAAAACTTCTAACAAGGCTCCCTGCTTTTCCTTTTATTCTCTACAACCTAATTTTCTCCATAGGAGTCAAAGCTACTTTGGCCTTGTCGTTCTTGTATCCAGAACCTTCCAATGACTTCTCAATATATGCATAAAACACACGTACTGATTTCATTCTATGTGTAGACTGTAAGGCCACAACCCATAACCCGGATGTGCTCTGGACTCTATTTGCCTTGCTTGCTGCATCTTGTGCCTTTCTCTCTGTTGCTTTGTCTCAGCCTTGCAGAAATTTCATCCCTGATTCTAACATTTCCATTTATTTCCCACTGTACGGCCTTTGCAGCAGCTGTTACCTCAGGCAGGAATGACTATTCCCCACGTTTTTCAAGACTCGGTGCTCATGACATTCAAGTTCTAGCTGAAATGATGCTGCTGCACTTAATTTAATGGAAGAAATAGATTTAAAGTATTCTGAAAATTTAAATTTACAGATGGGTTTTGCAAAGACAAAGTCCATGTGAATAAGTACGTGAAAGATGCTTCTCATACACAAATGTATTGTCTTTAACCACTCCACTGAATGCCTAAAGTCAAACATGAAATCTCCACGCTTGAGGATACATATTCTAGAGGTTGTCCTTCCCTGTTGAGTTTGAAAAACCTTCTGAAAGTCTATAGACACATAGCTCGGCTCTCCTTAAATGGTTCAATTTTAGGGCATGTAATACTTCCCAAGACAGCCCATTTCATCTCTGGATAAGAGAGCAAACTACATTATAACTCCGAGAAAAATTACACCATTATTATTGATAAGATAAGAGTTACTGATGCTACAGAGAAGAGTTGGCATACTACCATCTGAAGAACAAATTCTGCCCACCACTTATTGGTTTTTATATTTTTTTAATTGTTGAAAACAAAATCAAAACAAAAATAATATTCTATGACACTTGAAAATTATAACGAAACTTAATGAGGTAATGAATTATGAATTTTTATTGGAACACAGACACATCCATTTGTTCACACACCACCTATGGCTGCTTTCTCTACAATGGCAGAGTTCAATAGTTGCAATAGGGACCATATGACCTGCTACTGGCCCTTTACAGAAAAATATTTATAGACCACTGTGGTGGAGAATGCAAAATTGAAAATTACCACTTTTGAGTCTAGCTTTCAAGATACTACATAATCTGCAAAAATCCTCATATTGTAATTTTTTGACTTATGGTTCTTCAATCTTTCTGCATGTCTCTTTAAAGAGAATTTATGGCTGTATGTAAGTGTGTATCCATAATTATAAAGTGTACTGTTTGTCCATGTATGTGTGTTTATGCCATAACAAGAACTCTGCCTATGTAGATTTATACTGATTAATTAAATTAAATGGAAAATGCTTTCATTTTAGATGTACATGTATGGTTATATTATTGATGATCAAGCTTGAATAAAATCTTTAACTATAACATGAAAGATTAAACTATTAAAAACATCTTATCTTGTAATAGATAATTAGATGCTCTTTTTTTGTGGTACTTGCGGTTGCATGTTCATTTTTTAAGATAATTTCTTAAGTAAATAAGCTTGTGTATGGCCTGTTGTCCTCCTGAGCATTACCTCATATGTTACTTTTATTCTTATAATGCTAGGTTTTTTTACACTCCGAGAAGTAAAAATAATTTCAGTTCTGTGTTAACTTTAACAGGTCATTTGAATCATACATTTATTTATACTTGTGTGGTCCTCTTTATTAAGATAACAGCTTTGTCAAATGTCAGATAATCCTTCCAAGGATAGGGCAAGTTTCATATTTCAGTAAGCCTCCAGTGGAAAGCCCATTTAGTTCTGTGAAATGACTCAGAGGCTGACTTGTTTTGTAAAGAAATACAGATCTACTACCTCAATATGTGTGGGAATAAGAATCAATGATTTGCACATTCCATCACAGGGACGTGTTCTTATGAGTAAGAAAGGAAGGAGGCAGGGAAGTGTGGTGGAAAGAGTACCAGGCAAGAAGGATGTTTGCTTCACTCCTGTTTGACTACTAACCAGCATTAGGATCTTGTCAAAATTACTTAACTTCTTAGTCTTAAATGTCCCTGCTTTGAAAATTAAGGTATTAGTTCATTCTTTCACTTTTATACATTTTAAAGCAGCAAATTCTTTGATGAAATATAATCTCTAGTGCAAACCAAAAAATGAAACCAATGGGAGTAGAGTTGACATAATTGCAGTCAGAGACCACTGGACCTTCATGTAACCCCTGGCAGTAGCTCTAGAAGCTCTTCTTTAAGCTGAGCGCTTGGCAGAACAGCCTAATAACTGCAGGATTGTTTACAAAGTAGCCCTTTTCTGCTAAAAATAACCTGCGACTCTGTGAATAAGTTGCCCCAGGCATTGTTTGTATATGCATTAAAGCATTGGATTTGCTGAAAAATAATGTATTCTCTTAAATGATCTAGCATTTCTATTCCAGTAATATTTTTCTTACTTATATACTAGGCAAATCTTGTGGACAGAGATACAGGTTGAGTCATCTCAACCTTATGCACTGACAATGGGAATCACCATAGAGCAGTGATTCCCAAGCAAATATAATGTATTTGGGTTGTGTGGCTTTGTATTTTTATACTTGTCTTTATTAAACTTGAATTCTATGAGAAGGATTTGTATCTCAATCATCTTCTCTAATCAGTGCCTAGTCCCATGCTTAGCAATAGAAAATGTCCTGAAATTGTTCAGTAAATCAATATACGAATGAGTGGTTCTAAACTTGTATAGATTGTCACACGAATACATGAAATGGGAGGCGTTATCTAGGAAATATGGAAATAAAACTTATCCACTGGATAATTGAGGGTTAAAATCATCCAGCAGTGTCACAAGCTGAAAGATCCCTGGGCCAGAAATCTCATTCTTGCATTAACTTCACTTGTCACCTTGGGTGCCCATCTATAAATCTCAGTCCCAGAGAGACTAACCATGCAATCTCTGAATTTTATCCCAATGGTGAGATTCCATGAGGCTAAGATTAAATTGACTCAGAAAATGATCCCATTAAAGTTTTTCTCATGAATTATTTAGGTGATTGCTGTAAATCTCTAGTTCCTGGGTCCCTCCATCTACAAACTCTGTGGCTTTCCCAAGCTCAGCAACTCAAGGGCCATGGAGAAGCATCAACTCCTTCCTCTGCACCACCCAACAGGGCTTCCATCTTGATATGTGTACCTGAATTTTCTGTTCTGGACCCCACAAAATGTTAACGATGACAACTGTGATTTCATGCCACTGGAGGCTGTATGCCTGGCATAATGTGAAAGAGGAATCGCAGAGCTGGAGAACTATAGAAACTTCTGGAATTGTATCAAAGGAAGTATGCTAAATAGGTGAGAGCAATCAATGTTGTTTGGAGACAGGCAATGAAGCCTGCTGTTCCTAATGTAATAGTATCATTAATTTTACACCATACTCCATGTGGGGAAAGAAATGTATTTTTTTATTTGTGTATAGCTCATCTAAGATTGATTCTGAGCCTCAAATGTACTGGGTAGAAAGAAAAAACTTGCGGATCTCAGTACCTCAGTTTTTATAATACTAATAAAATCCAAACAGTTTAAAAGAATATTTAAGAGGTAAACTATCAATATTTCACATTTTCATCCACTCCCCTTCCTTCTCCCCAGGGTGGCATCTAGGAGTATCCGAAAGCTTTCTCTGTTCTTCTCAGGAAAGGCGGGGGCTTTAGATGTGTGTATGGGTACTTGTTTCACCCTCTAGTCCTTGCTAGGTTTGACAGAGATAGCGCTTCTTTCCCAGCTAGTAAATATTTGCCTGGATTACATTCACTTCAGAACAAATATTCCGGTATATTTTATTATTCTTGGTCAGAATCTCAGCTGAATTTAAATCCCAGCTGAAACATTTGCTAGTTATGCCGTCTTGATGAAGTCATTTGTCCTGTCTTCAGCTTTTTTCTTCTGTAAAATGGATATTGTTTCCAGAGTTCAATGAGATAATACATATTCAGTGTTTGACATGTATTAAGCACTAAATAAATGTTAACTGCTACTATTATTATTATTATTAAAATTGTGTACTAGGCATAGAAAATGGCAAATTTAGAAGCACAGTGGGATAGAACTGTTTGTTGGCACCATTATTAATTCTCGTTTAGGGTCTAAGTTTGCTAGTCTCAAGATTGATGTCAAACACAATAGGCTGCATGACCTGTTATAAATTTTGAGTATCTCCAAATACTAAGCATATGAGAAGATCATCTGCCTAGTATGCTTCTCAAGCTTTTCTAACCTCAGGCTTTAAAACCAGTAACAGACAGTTATTGATAAGCAATCAAGTCAATATATTTTTTAGAAACTCAAGAAGGAAGGCACTTTCATCTTTACTCTGTCTGGCTTTCAATCATTTCCTTATAGATATTGAGGCCTGCCACTAATTTCACAGCATTCAAGTATGAGAAAAGATCATTCAAATAGTGACTGTTAAAAGAAACCCTAAAAAGGCTTCTGGCTGTTGGGCCATTGTACTTTCTAAATCAATCATATTTAATGTGTATCTATCTGCATTGGTGGTTTCATTGGCCAATAAGTGTGTATTCCCTTACCAGGGCTCTGCAGACCTTCAGCTCACTTAGTCATTCTGCTCACAAAGATATCACATATTTAGTTTCGAAAGATTTTGGCCTTTACTCTGATTAGACCTCCACTCACACAGTTCTTCAATTTCCTGTGAGTATTTCATGCACCCAGCAGTCACTACACTAATAATAACTTTAATCTTTCAACAAACATTTAGTAGCATCTACAGCATAGACAGGCTTTGTGTCATGAGTTGAGAATACATACCCTAGGAAACAAAACTATTGAGACTCACATTGATGATGGGGGGCATAGACAATTATGATACTATGGTGGAGTTTAGAAGTTGAAAGGGGTCTTGGAGGTCATTTGGTTCCAAAGGTGGTGGGAAAATGTACCCATATAGCAGCTGGATTATTCCCTTTTATCTGTTGTACTAGTTTTCTGCATTTCTCACCACCTTTAAAGGGGTTTCTGTGTATGTTTTTCCATTTTCTCATCTCCCACTCCATCCTGGCTTCTACTCCCATCACTTCTTGGCAATGACTGTCCAGAAGAATCCAGTGATGTTCAGGCCACCAATTCCATGCAGACTTTGCACTCATCCTCTTTACTGGACCTATGAGCAATGCTGACCACTATATTTTTGAGATGGAACTCTTTTAAATTGCCTGAGACACTGTTCTCCTGTTTGAACCTAAACCTTTGGTCGCTGCTTGTCAGAGCCGTTCCCAGTTGTCGTTTTTCTACTTTATAAACAGACCTCCAGGAACTCTGAGTTCCTCACCACTATTTTGTCACCTTAGTCTAGAGCTTCTCCCTAGATCATATTTTCTCTGCCTAAGGTTTCATTAATACCTCAAAGGCTATGGCTTTCCAGGCTCTAGATATGTGCCTGCTTATCCAATCACTGACTTGACATTTTTATCTGGATGTTTCACAGGTAAATGCAACCTAGTACATCCCAAACTGACCTCATAATTTCCCCCCCAAATATGCTACATCTCTAGTGCTTATCTTAATAAGTGACATCTCCAACATCCCATTGGTTTATGGCTATTACCTTAGTCATCCTGGACATCTCCTTTGTCCTCAGATGCATATCCAATTCATACTTAAATCTTCAGAGTGCTTCTTCTAAATATTTTCTAAAATTCAATCACATATTTACATCTTCATTGCTGTGACCCTAATGCAGGCTACCACATCTTTTCCATGGAGTCTCCAGAATCTTTTCATCCAGTCTTCACCCATCTTCTTTTGCCCTTCTTCTTCCTATTCTATCAAGAGTGATTTATTAAATATTCTTTTGACCCTGTGCCTACCTTGCCCTTAAACAACTTCCTATTATTCTTAGGACATTGACCAGCTTTACTATGGCTTAGGAGTTGTTACATGATCTTGTCTTTTTGTATTACCCCAGCCTAACCTCATGCCACCTCTCTCCTTCCTCATGTCCTCTCGGTCACCCGGATCCTCATTCTCATAGTACCCAAAACTGATTCTCATTTCGCTATTCCATCTGCCATTCTTCCTTTCCAGCTAACTCTTACTCGTCCCTCATGTCTTGTTCTAATTATTATTTCCTCAGTGAGCCTTCTCCAAACACTCCGATCAAGTTAGGTCTCTTTCATGCCCTCTCATTTCAGATATATTTATTGCAATTACAATCATATGGTGATTTGTTGCTCTATTTATATTCTCTTTCTCTAGTAGACTGTAAAAACCATAAAACAGAGGCCCTACTGCATTACTAAGTTTTCTGTCTTCATCACCAGTGCCATCTAAAGGTATCTGTTGAATTAAAAAACAAGTCAGCCATATAGCTTCTGCTTAAATGCTTTAAGCTTCTACCAGGAAACTTGGCATTTTTCCTCAGTCACTTCACCTCCGTGTAACTCTGTAATGTGGGGTAAATAAGGCCCATCAAATGGTTTTGTTGTGAAGAGTAAATATATTTTGCATCTATTAATATGTGAAATTCTTCAGGAACACATACACAAAGTATGTTAGATGAATGAACAGAAGTATTAAAATGGACATGGGGAAAACTTGGATTTGTCATTTTGGAATACTCTACATGTCATTTTCTAAAAGGAGAACCATGGTAACAAAGTAAGCAACCTCAGCATCCAGCCTGGAAGAAACTGGGAGAGCTTTTATGGATTAACTTTAACATGTTTCTACTTGGAGAGCAGTACCACTTACTAGTGATGTGCCCTAGGGAAGAGCACGGCTGGTTTCCAAACCTTCTTCCCAGGATGAATGCGTCAGGTTCACAAAAGAGTTCCGCGGTCCAGAAATAGAATGGAATATTGAGCCTATGAGGTAACGTCCCCAGGGTCTTAGCACTTTTGTTCACTGTCACAGCATTAACCTAGAAAGGTGAAATATGTCTTCAATTTCACCTTTATTTAATTAATTGATCTAAAATAATTTTTCTTCTCAGGGGCCGTGACGAGGACCCAAAGAAGACCGCTAGATTAGGCAAAAGTCAGCACATGTGGCTTCTTCCTCGCACCCCCACAGAAAAGAGGGCCAGGTGCCTTTCTAGGAAATACAATTTTCTGAATTGTTCTTTTGTCATGTATTACTAAATGGTGCCAATAGCCACACATAATTTGAAGAAGGAAGGTTATAAATAACCACTCATTTACCTACTACCTACCTAAAAATAAATTGATAAGAATTATCCCTTCCTCCTACCAATTCTGTGTCTCCTTCCCTCCCTTCCTTCCTCTTTACAATGTATTGACTTTATACATGAATGCATAAACACACATCCTACTCACCACTCTCCAGTTTCACCCTGATCCACTAAGCGGATCATTCTATTTGAGTTTTATGGTAAAGAAAAGTAATAGTCAGTATAGCACAGGACTTGTGAGGTGAGGCCTTTGACTCAGAGAGACCTCTTTTGAACCTCAAGACATTTTAAAATAATGTGATCTTGGACAAATTGCTTGAACAATTCAGGACCCAGTTCTTCCTCAATACAATGAATATAAATAACAACATCTCTGTTGTAAGATATGTTCCATTTCATCACATAAAGCACTTAGTATAATATTTGACACACAATAAGTGCTGAGTAAATATTAACTATTTATTTTCTGTGTATTCTGCTTTTAATAGTGCAACAGCAGTAATTGATAATTTCCTAGCAGGCAAAGAAATTTAAATTCTTTAAGCAGTCATTTATTCTAGAATTCTGTCTCCTCAGTATTTTCCCTCTCTGTCCAAAAAGTCACAGAGCCTCAGAAATGGAAACAGACAAAACAAACTCTACGTCTAACAGGTGTCCATAGAAGCATCCAGGAAAAGCCCGAATTACAAAGGGGAGCCAGGCCTAGCAGAGATGGGGCTTGTTTCATCAACATTTTTCTAACTCTGAGGTTTGAGCACTCTGCTTTTAGCTGTATTCTGGCAGAAAAGCATTATTGAACACCTACCATATATAAGGTCTTATCATGGGTTTAATGTATCCTCCCAAAATTCATATGTTAAAGACCTAGCTCCTAGTGTGTCAGCATGTGACCTTATTTGGAAACAGGGCCATTGCACACATAATTAGTTAAGATGAGGTCATTACTGTATGGGGTCAATTGATATCAAGCTACAGTTATCTGAAGGACTGGGAGGTGTTATTCTGTATTACTCTAGACAGAAGAACTAAGACCAGAGGTAACCCAGTATGACTAGTGTTCTTATGAAGAGGGGAAATTTAGACACAGACATGCACACCAGGGGAACACCATGTAAAGATGAAGGCAGAGATCAGAAGGATGTTTCCACAGGCCAAGAAAAGACAAATTTCCAGTAAACTACAAGAAGCTGAGAGAGAAGCATGGAACAGATTTTCCCTCACAATTTTGGGAGAAGCTAACCCCGCGAACACCTTGAGCTTGGACTTCCAGCCTGTAGAACTGTGCAATAATACTTTTCTGTTGCTTAAGCTATTTTAGGTTATGGTACTTTGTTACGGCAGTCCTAGCAAATAATACAGGCCAAATGTATTCCATGTCAAAATTACTGCATGTAAAATAAATGTGCTGAAGTTACTTTTTCTACTTCAAAGGAGTTAAGCCTAGTGAGAGATATACACATTACACTTCCCCAGTGCTTAACACTTCTTTATTTCTGGATGGCTAGTTGTGGATTTCATTTCTGTTCATGCTTTCTAACTTCCACAACACATTTTCTGAATCTTTTTTTAATGTGGAGGAAAAAGGGGCTTCTTTTTATAATTTTATAAGAATGGTGATTCAGCCTATTCCCTTCCAGGAGTCTCTGGTATGGCACATCACTCTCAATATTCCCACCTCTTAAATGCTATGGTTGTTGAAAAGTTGCTTCTGATTTCGAATAAATTTATTTTTTCACAACTTTGGAAATTTTGGCCTTAGTTCTTGTCTCTAGAATAATACAGAATAACACCTCCCAGTCCTTCAGATAATGGAAGATTGATATCATTTGACCCCAGACACTTCTTTTCTCAGGATTGCACCAAGCTCTGGACTGAGGTGGCTTCAGGATCAGTTCATAATGAAATTCGAAAACATGCAGGGCCCTTTCCTAAACACAAATGCATTTTCAGGGTACATCTGTAAGATAGGCACTCTCGCCATGTAAGGAAAGGAACCGGAAGTTGGAGCAGGCAAAGTCATTTTTCTGAGGTGACACAATTGAGAGGGGCCAAAGGTGGGATTTACACATCGACCTGTCTGACAATAACCCAGCAGCTTCTGGCTCCACAAATCAAAATTAAACTTTTTTCAAGAGTGAGTCTGATTTACCCTCTAGCTCTGATGTTAACTTTTGCATTATGAAAAGGTTTATGACAGTGTTACATAAAAACTGGTGCCATACTCTACTCAAACGATGTCTATTCAACAAGAGCAAGCACTAGCTGGCATACACCTTTGGGTGCCAGTAGATCTGAAAGTGTAGGTAAAACAGTCTTGATTGGCAGCTGTTGCCTTGTCCAGCTGTCCGAAAGATAGGGGGATGAAGAGCAAAGTGGCCAAGCTGGCACCAAATATTTCTGCTGCTTTTTTATGCTGCCTGAATATCAGATCAATAAAACTGTTAAGTAACATTGTCTTTAAAATAGGGGCACTCCTACGCAACTATCAAAAACTCCCCCTTTATTATGTAGTAGGAAAAAACTGGTTTCTAGGTGAGGTGTCTGGTTTTACCCTCAATCTGTTGTTAACCTGCTATGCAAACTGAGACTAGTCACTTGGATTTTAAGGGTTCAATTTCGTTATTCATAAAAACCCTTCACAGTTTTGTTTGATGACCAAATGTGAGGGTGTATTTGAAAGTTATTTGAAATGTATAAAGTACAATAGAATATAAACATACTGGGATTTTAGGTACTTGACATGCAAAAACAATTATCTGAGTGCTGTAAGTAAATGTGGAGGATTTGGGTAAAATTGCAGGAAGAGAACAAAACTCAGCAGATTAGAGGATACGTTTTCTTATACAAACATTTGCAAATCATACTATTACATTAAATAGCAAAGTGTTGCACTTCTGTGAAATCAACTTGTTTGTTCTGCTAGTATTTTCAAATTGGCACAGATTTTTTTTTAATTCCAACTTTTATTTTAGATATAGGAAGTACATGTGCAGGCTTGTTACATGAGTATATTGCACACAGGTAGCGAGCATAGTACCCAGTAGGTAGTTTTTCAACCCACAGCCTCCTCCCTTCCTCCCTGCCCCCAACACCCCCCCCTCGCTAATAGTCTGCAGTGTCTATTGACCTCATATTTATGTCCATGTGTGCTCAATGTTTAGCTCCCACTTATACTTGATAATAAGCAGTATTTGGTTTTCTGTTCCTGCATTAGTTCACTTATGATTATGGGCTCCAGCTTCATTCATCTTGCTGCAAAAGATATAATTCCATTCTTTTTTATGGCTGTGTGGTATTACATGGTATATATAAGTACCACAGTTTTTTTGTCCAATCAATCTACCATTGATGGGCACCTAGATTGATGCCATGTCTTTTCTATTAGAAATAGCATGGCAATGAACATATGACTGCACATGTCCTTTCAGTATAATGATCTATTTTCCTTTGGGTATATACCCAGTAATGGGATTGCCGGATTGAATAGTAGCTCTGGGCTGGGCACAGTGGCTCACACCTGTAATCCCAGCACTTTGGGTGGCTGAGGCAGGCAGATCACCTGAAGTCAGGAGTTCAAGACCAGCCTGGCCAACTTGGTGAAACCCTGTCTCTACTAAAAATACCAAAATTAGCTTGGCATGGTGGCACATGCCTGTAATCCAGCTACTTGGGAGGTTGAAGTAGGAGAATTGCTTGGACCCAGGAGGCGGAATAGCAGAGCCAAGATTGCAGCCCCTGCATTCCAGCCTGGGTGACAAGAGCGAGACTCCATCTGAAAAAAAAAAGAGTAGCTCTGGTTTAAGTTATTTGAGACATCACCAAATTGCTTTCCACAGTGGCTGAACTAATTTACATTCCCACTGATAATATATGAGCGTTCCCTTTTCTCTGCAGCCTCTCCAGCATTTGTTGTTTTTTGACTTTTTAATAACTGCCATTTTGACTGGCGCGAGATGATGTCTCATTGTGGTTTTGCATTTCTCTGATGACTAATGAATATGGGCATTTTTCATATGTTTTTTGACTACTTGTATGTCTTCTTCTGCTTATGTCCTTTGCCTATTTTTTAATAATGTTATTTGTTTTTTGCTTGTTGATTTATGTACACATAGGTGCTGAATATTAGACCCTTGTTGGATACACAGTTTGTAAATATTTTCTCCCATTCTGTAGGTTGTTGGTTTACTCTGTTGGTGGTTTCTTTTGTTGTGTAGAAAGTTTTCAGTTTAATTAGGCCCAATTTGTCAATTTTTGCTTTTGTTGCAATTGCTTTTGGGGACTTAGTCAAAAATTATTTGCCAAGATTGATGTCAAGGACGGTATTTCATACATTTTATTCTAGAATTTTTAGAGTTTGAGGTCTTACATTTAAATCTTTAATCTGTCTGGGGTTAATTTTTGTATATGGTGAAAGGTAAAGGTCCAATTTCATTCTTCTGCATATGCTAGTCAGTTACTTCAGCATCCTTTATTGAACACGAAGTCCTTACCCCATTGCTTGCTTTTGTTGGTCTTCTTTAGGATGAGGTGGCTGTAGGTGTGCAGCATTATTTCTGAGTTGTCTATTCTGTTCTGTTGGTCTATGTGTCTGTTTTTGTGCCAGTACCATACTGTTTTGGTTAATGTACTCTTATATTCTAGTTTGAATTCAGGTAGTGTGATGCTTCCAGCTTCATTCTTTTTGCTTAGGATTGCCTTGGCTATTCAGGCTCTTTTTTGCTTGCATGTGAATTTTAGAATAATTTTCTGTAATTCTGTGAAGAATGACGTTGGTCCCCCTTGAGAACTGGAAGAGGACAAGGACGCCCACTCTCACCACTCCTATTCAATGTAGTACTGGAGGTCCTAGCCAGAGCAATCAGGCAAGTGAATGAAATAAAAGGCATCCAAATAGAAAAAAAAAAGGAATCAAACTATCTTACTTCACTGATGTTATGATTCTATATCTAGAAAATCCTGAAGACTCTTCCAAAGACTACTAGAACTGATAAACAATTTTAAGATGGTTTCGGGCTACAAAATCAATGTGCAAAAATTAGTAGCATTTCTATATACCAATAATGTCCAGGCTGAAAGTCAAATCAAGAAGACAGCCCCATTTACAATAGCCACAAGGAGAATAAAATACCTAAGAATTCATCTAACTGAGGAGGTGAAAGATCTCTGCAATGACAACTACAAAACACTGTTAAAAGAAATCAGAGATGACACAAATAATCATGAATTGGAAAAATCAATACCATTAAAATGACCATCCTACCCAATAATTTACATATATTTTTTCATTTTGACTGGTTGGTTTTTTTTCTATTCTACACGCAGATATCAACTGAAAGGTTAAGCCCTTCTTATCAACTTTTCTTGGATGAGGGTGGTGTCATTTCTAAGGAATACAAATGATGCAAATATATTGTTATTTAAAAATTATTTTTCATGGAACAGTAGATTATTTATGAGAGATTGTGGGGAACAGTTTTGACTCACTAGCATTGGAAATTATGATGCCAATTGAGTGCCTATGCAGTGAGCATAAAATGTTAGAGTTCAATGGAACTGCCAAAATTATATAATCTAAAACTCTCATTACAGGGAGGAAAAAAACTCATATTCAGAGAGGCAAAATGGAAAAAGAGAACAAACATTTATGAAGCATCTTGGCCCTTTCTTGCTCTCTACAACTAGCTGTGGTTTCTTCATCTTTTAATTTCTTAATGGAACTTGTTCATTTCTCTTTTTTAGTGCTCATCTCTCTATGTATAGATGGATGATCCTCTACACAGACGCAATAGAAAATCTTCATGTTTAAAGATTTTCCCATTAAAACCCTAGAGTCAGCATTGACTAGCATTGCTTATGGGGAGTCATACAGCAGCTGGATATTTCAAAGGATAAGATTCATTCTTGTGATACCATGTTTGTATCAATCTTTCCTTTTAGGTTGAAAGCTTCCTAGAGTTAGCCACAGTTCTTGCTGCTCTACATTGCCAGATTTAATCCTCACCTCAATTCTATAAATTTGATAACACTGATAAATGTCATAATGCAACATTTGACTAGAAATTTCAATTTTCTTATAAAAATCAGGAACATAGAAACAGACCCTCCCACTTTGGTGACATAGGCTTTTGGGAGGACAATTTAGAATGCATCCATTTCATTTAAAGAGGTCATTGCCATCTGAAGTTTATGCATTGCACAAATTTGGGGGAAAAAATCAGACAAAGAAATATTCAAAATAAGAAACAATTATTGGACATACCTTTATATAGTCACAGTGGAAAATCTCTTATACTTTAATGACTGAATTTTGCACAATGTGAACAAAACTAAGAATCTTTTATATTTGTTCAGCATTGATTAGTCTAATATAAACATGCATAAAGCATATAGTGTTGAGTTGTCAAAGGGCAATGAATAAAGTTTGGTACATAGTTTGCAAAGATGACCTCAACAGTTTTTCACATCCCAGAACACATGTTCCTTTGCAGTGTGACCATTCCTTCCATCAAGTTGTGGCACATATTTCTCGTTCCCTGGAATCTGGGCTGGCCTTACACTTCGCTTTGACTAAGTGAATGTTTCAGATGAGACACTGTATAACTTGCAAACCTAAATTCCAAGAGGTTTGTAGCTTTTGCTCTTGTCCATTGGGAATGCTTCCATCATCCTGCAAAGAAACCTGATCTAGCTGCCCTGAGGAGAGGCTATGAGGAGCAGTGATAAATCATCCCAGCTGAGGGCCCCTGGACCAATTAATCCATAGCCAGCCTCATTCACCAAAAACGTGAGTGAGGCAATCTTGGATTATCTAGTCTTTGATGAGCTACCAGGTACCTAAGTGATTTCAACCAAGACCAACAAATGAACTACCCAACTAAGACCAACTCAATTTGTTGGGCCACAGGATCATAAGCAATTGATTGTTATATTAAAAGTGACAGTTTTAAAGTTTTTTAATACAGTAATAAAGAACTGATATACCTAGCTCCTTCCAAGTAAGGTCTTTGGCTTAATTCAACAAACATTTATTAGTTCTTATGGCCACAACTATACCCTAGTCAGGTGGATATTGGTCATTAACACTAGAAATAAGCTTTAGTTGTGCCTGAATATTATGTATCTGTTACATATTTAAATTAATTATTAGTCCAGGATTACAAAAATGGATACACTGGGATGATTTGGAACAATGGATAATTTTCTCCTTTCATTGAATTTCTGCTTATTTTGTCATCCATAATTATCTTTAATAACCAGGTTATACTTCTTCTATGAAAGAAAGATCTTTTTTTGTTTTAAAGTTAATATTGTAACTATATAAAAAGTTGATATTAGAAACTACTCTAAAATAGAATTTAGAATTAAGTTTTTGCCTTTTTTCCTTTGCTTTTCTGACCAATATTAATCAGCCCCTTATATAATTATGTTTCAATATGTCACATTCTCTTCAAATGTGCCAGCTTTTCCTGTTCGTGTCCTAGTCTATAACTGATGCAATTTGAGGGCAGTTGAAAAGCTATCCTTTCTTATAAAATTTCCAACATTGGTATCTACATGTGGGAAATGTTAGGAAACTTACAATCATGGGGTAAGGAAAAGGGGAAGTAAGAAGCTTCTTCACATGGCAGCAGGAGAGAGAGAGAGAATGAGTGGGGAAGTGCCACTTTCAAACCATCAGATCTTGTGAGAACTCACTCACTATCATAAGAACTGCATATCATAAGAACTCTCCCCTGACACATGGAGATTACAACTTGACATGAGATTTGCGTGAGGACGCAGAGCCAAACAATATTATAGCTCTTTCTATTTACTTCCTGTATAAAACAGACTATAAACTGTCTTGAATGCAAAGTATCTAGAATAATTTTCAAAACATACTCAGCAAAAGGAAATGTAAAAATATTTGCTGACTTAAATTGAATTGAAAACTCAAATTACCCAAGAGAGTATTTTCTTCATGTTTTTTAAACTGAGCTTGTTTCCTATGTGTCTCTCTGTAAGGGCCTCTGACTGTATTTTCAATAACAACAATAAGAGAGTATGGCTGTGAAGATAGCATTTTCCATCTCTCCCTCAAAATCAGAATTTGAAGGCCATTTGCAAAAGAGGCCATTGTTTGCTGACAGTGGCAAAAGGTGCTGTCTCTGAACCTATGGGACTGACTCATTCCTGCTACAGATCTTTGGACCATCATACCCACTCGATGTCCACCTCCCAATCATTAAGCCCCCTTGAAAAGTCAACTCCTCCTCATGAACTAAGAACTTGGTCTTCATTGACTCTCTTATTTGAAAACTATGAAGAGCCTCATGTTATTTGAAAGATTTGACAACTGGCAGTATGCAACCCTCCCTCTCCCTGGACACCCTTCTTGGGTTCAAGATGAAGTTACTACTCTCCCTCTCAGCCATTTCCTAACTTTGGGGGTTGATAGAGGATGAGTCTTAGCATACTCAGACACTATCTTTAACAGTTGGAGAGAGAAGTTAGAGCCCTTGAATCTTAGACACACACACACACACACACACACACACACACACACACACAACACATACAGTAAACAAAATCAGACACATATTTCATTTTTAAAAATTTTCTGAAAGCACAGAAACTATTAAAAAATAAAACCCATTATCTGTAATTCCAGAACTTTGGGAGGCTGAGGCGGACAGATCACTTGAGGTCAGGAGTTTGAGAGCAGCCTGGCCAACATAGCAAAACCCCATCTCTACAAAAAACACAAAAATTAGCCAGGCGTGGTCGTGCGTGCCTGTAATCCCAGCTACTTGGGAGGCTGAGGCAGGAGAATCACTTGGACCCAGGAGGCGGAGGCTGCAGTGAGCTGAGATCATGCCACTGCACTCCAGCCTGGGTGACAAAGTGAGACTATCTTAAAAAAAAAATTAAAAATAAAAATAGATAAACAAATAAAACCCATGCCCCTAACTAATGTAAATCACAATTAATATGTTGTCAAATTTGCTGTAAAATTTGACTTATTAAGGAACAGAACTTGCAAGATAAACTCGAAGCCTCCTTTGTTGTTCCCTCCAATCTCATGGCTCCTCCTCCCTCCAATAATATAACAACTATAATAAATTTGGTAACTTTTCTTCCAGGCCTGGCTTTATACATGTTTCATGTATATGTGTCCATAAATAGTATTATTTATTAAATGTTTATAAATAGCATAGGATTATATTTAACATTATTCAATTTGTTTTTTTTCTTTTTACTCACGCATATTAAAGAACAACTCATGCTAATGCACTTACACTTAACTGATTCATTTTAGTTCATCATAATCTATTACTTACTTTCTTAGATTGTACTATTCATATCATTGTTCCCCTGCCACTAGACATTTAGATTGTGCCCAACATTTTTTGCTATTATCAATAACACTACAACAAAGGAACAAATGCTGTATTGGGTATGGATTTCTCTAGGATATAAACCTACAAACAGACTTGTCAGGTTCTTTGTTATTTTGTGTTTTCTTTTTTTTTTTTCTTTTTTTTTTTTTTTTTTGAGACGGAGTCTGGCTCTGTCACCCAGGCTGGAGTGCACTGGGGCAATCTCGGCTGACTGCAGGCTCCGCCTCCCGGGTTCACGCCATTCTCCTGCCTCAGCCTCCCGAGTAGCTGGGACTACAGGCGACCGCCACTACGCCCGGTTAATTTTTTTGTATTTTTAGTAGAGACGGGGTTTCACTGTGTTAGCCAGGATGGTCTCGATCTCCTGACCTCGTGATCCGCCTGCCTCGGCCTCCCAAAGTGCTGGGATTACAGGCGTGAGCCACCGCGCCCGACGGTTCTTTGTTATTTTAACTTTTCCCAGATACTCCTGCACTTTCCCTGCCTCTTACCATTCACCAGCGCTTCTCTACTGCCACCCAAGTAACAATTCTAAAATGCAAATTGGTCCTATCCTGAAATATTAAAATCTATTAGTGACTTCCTATAATCAGTAAGATTTGGTATAAGCTTTTAAGCCTGACATTCATGACCCTTCATGACACAGCCTGCCTGCTCCTCCAAGTGTGTCTCATTCATGCTGTATCCCCCAGCAATATTGATTCAGTGCCATTTTAGGATGTCACAATGGAGTGTGGTGCCCCTGTCCCTTGCACAAACTCCTCCGCCTGGCTGGAATTTTCTGTCTTTTCCTTGCTAGTATCATTATACCATTCAAAACTTACCATAGGTCCACCTCCTTCAATAATAATAATAGGCAACATTTACTGAGTATTTGTCATGTGCTTGAAATCACTCTGCCAATTTTTCTTCCTGACAAATACTTTTGCCTCCTCTTATTTGAAGATATTTACAAATCTTCCCAAGTAGAGTTAAATACTTCCCACGATCTCCATTATTTTGTCTCTCTATATATTTATTATTGAATCTATACAAGGAACAATGATAGTATCATGATGTTTTTCTTTTATTAATTGCCTGCTTTTAATTGTGCTACTCACTTTACTCATATTTTCAGGGACTCGCTGCAATATTCATATTTGTAACCCTAGTACTCAGTGTAGGGTGAGGATGTTAAATAAATGTTAAGTGTACTGTAATAAAGTGTCTTTTCCTTTCCTGGAAGATCTCACATAGGGAAGAATTTGTAATAAGTTCTAACCACTGAGCACTTCTATTACCACTAACATTGGTGGCATAGGCACTTTGCCAAATGTGAGTTAAAAGTAACCTTTTGATGTTGAAACTACCCCTTAATAACCAAATAATGAAGCCACAAAAGGTTCACACGTTTCATGCTTCTAGTTTCACTTACAGATCACATCCTTCCTTTCCCAGAGTTGAATACTTCCTCAAACTCATATTGGCTTGGATAGGTTCCAGTTTCCAAAATTCATTGGTAACAAAAAGAGGAGATTAAAAAAGTTCTGCTAGTTTCCTTTAACTAAAATATTAAGCGAAGTTAAAAGAAAATAAATTACTATCTCTGGAGTCTAGCCTGATGCCTCACACAAAGAAATACCGACAAGCTTGTTTAGGAGAGACTCATTTCGTCTTGGTAAAACAGAACTGTATACTCAACTGTGGGCAAGAGAAGGAAAGAAGAGAGTCAGAAATAAGCAGAACATTTAGAGCAGGCGCACTTGGAAAGGTCTAGTGGGTCACAATATGCCTGATGAAATATCAGGACTCTAAATACTCTGAACATTCCCTAGCATCACACTCAGAATCCCTGGCAGGAAGCTAACAATTCAGGAATAGGCAAAAGAGACCTAGCAACAAACAGTAGGAACAATCCCTAGAGAAAATTATATAATCTTTGACCTTTTGGTTTCTTCCTATGTATGACTTCCTTTTAGGGAAGCTATCATAATTTGTGATCTACAGCCAATTGGAATCCATAAGTAGATACATCTGTTTTGTGTACATTGTGGAAATGCCTTGTGAATTAATTGATTATTATTGTTTTATGAATAAAGGTCCCTAATGGTATCTTTCCAAAAGCTCACCTCAAAGAGCACTTGTCAAACAGAAATATTTCATTATTAAATATTTTTTCTAAAACATCACATTATACTCCGTAAATATGTACAAGTATTATTTGTCAACTAAAAATTTAAAAAAGAAAAATAAATTTTCTCAAGTTGGTAAAGAATTAATGCCCAGCATGTCAATGACTCAAGCACATTGACAGTGGACTAAATGTCACATTAAAAATCTACTGAGCTCTTGCCCTATAGGTTAGCAATTTTGGTTCTGCTGCACACAAAAACATAAAATAACTACCATTTTTTAATACCTACTTGATATCAAGCACTTAACTGAGACATAGTCCTACTATATACCAGACACTTAAACAAGTCATCTCTAATTCTTACAAGACAGCTATAAAATATGCATCACCTGCTCACCCCATCTTCTATTTTAGAGATGAGAAAATGGAGAGTAAACAGTTTGTGAAAGTCGCTAAGCTGGTGGTTATAATGCAGTGCCAGAACCAGAATTTAGGTCTAGGGAAATCTCAAAATCATATTACTTTTTACAAAAATCTCCAACATCAAAGCTGGACTCTATGCCAACTGTCAGTGAATGACACTTTGAAAGAGTCAGCAGGAACTGTTGGCATGACATGGAGTGACAGTTTCCTCTTCAGCCCAGACCCCTGGTGGTGATTTCTCTTTCTCTTGAGAGATAGAACAGTCTACTCTGTGACCAAGATACACATGATGTTATAAGCTGCTTTTAGAGAGTGATGTAAATGCATGAGTATTTATTAGTAACTGATAGTAAAAAAAAATAGGCAATGGGAAGCACAAATCTGCAACTAGTTAAAGTGGGAGGTTAACATTCCAGCCAGATTGTAAAAGGATAAGGCTGGAGATATGACTTTCAGTTGCAGAAAATAAGGTAAACTCTATTATGTGCTCAGTGTCTTCCATTATAAAAATAAAATATTCAGAGAGAGACAGAGAGAGCAAGAAAATAGCATAAAGTGTGCTAAGTAAAAGCATAATGGTCAAATGGGCTTCAACTGTTTCTGTTCTGATACTGGCTATGCAAAAACAATACTGGAGCAATTTACTTAAATTGTGGTGGTGGAAAGCGTACCTCATCTCTCTGGCATCCAGTTCTCTCATACGTAAATTAGAAAAAAGTAACTATTCTTAACTCATAGATGTAAGAGAGAATTAAATGAGGTAATACAGGAAAAAGGCTTAGAACAGCCTCTGGCAATACACTAAGCACTCAGTAAATGTTAGTTAGAATCTTAGTCTAGACTAGCATGTTGAAATTAGCATTGTTTTGTGGGTCAGAAGATGAGAGTTCAAACGTGAGCATAGAGCCATTACCCAGAGACATCTACATTTTTTTCATTTGTAAAATATAGGTGCAAAAAATCCTTTAAGCTTTAATCAGTTATAATTCTCTGCTTTTGCTGTATTTAGACACTTTAATTCCTTTCTAGAAATATATACAGTCATTTCTAGGTATCAATGGGGGATTGGTTTCAGGACCTCCCATGGATACCCAAATTCGTGGATGCTCAAGTCCCTTATTCTTAATTGCCTAGTATTTGCATATGAGCTCTCCACACTCTCCGTAGACTTTAAATCATCTCCTGATTACTTAAAATACCTAATGCGATGTAAATGCTATGTGAATAGCTGTTACACTGTACTGTTAAGGGAATGCTGACCAAAAAAAAAAAAAAAATTCTGTACATATTTGGTACAGACACAAACATTCGCTTTTTTCCAAGTATTTTCCATCCATGGCTAGTTGAATCATCCACAGATGCCGAACCCATGAATACAGAGGGCCGACTGCATTGCAAACTGAAAAACAGAACAAACCAAAACATGAAAGCATCCAAAAATATATTAAGCTGGTAGATAGAAAGATAGCTTAATGGGGACATGGTCATAGTATAAAGATTTTTTTTTTAAGTGCAACTCAAGGTTTTCTCAGGATTAAAAGAAATAAAAACCTGAAACCAGCCCAAAGTTTGCATTTCTCATTCTGAGAAAAGAATTTCCCGATATTGAACTACATGACATTTAATGACACATGGTGAAAATTTTATAGTAGGCCATACACCTATGAGTGACTCATAGTGTATTTTCTAGAAGAAAAAACGGTGCCCTATAAACCAAGGTAGGCCTTCTGAGAAAATGAGGGGACTAAGAGTTGGTACTGCTTCTGGAGATTTGGAAAGCCAGTTTGATGACTGTTTTCCAAGTTGTGGTCACCATTTTTGGCCTCTGTATAGTCACTGTAGTTTAACATCATGTTAATCAGGAAACAATTATGTCATACATAAAGTGGAGTTCAGGAAGTTTTATGGTAACCACGTTAAGTATACCCACTTACAATCAAAACTACTTATGCTTGGATGTGGTGACTCGCGCCTGTAACCCCAGCTCCAGGGAGGCTGAGGTGGGAGGATTCCTGAGGCCAGGAGTTCAAAGACCAGCCTAAGCAATGTTGCGAGACCCTGTCTCTACAAAAATTAAAAAGGGGAAAAAAAAATGTTGGGTGTAATGGTGCATGCTTGTAGTCCCAGCCACTTGGGAGACTGAGACAGAAGATTGCTTGAGCCCAGGGGTTCAAGGCTGCAATGATTCATTGTCACACTACTGCGCTCCAGCAGCTTGGGTGACAGAGTGAAACCCTGTCTCTAAAAAACAATCTAGAAAAACTACTACTTAGCATATATTTACTTCTCTGCTTTCTTGCTTTTGGAACTAGAATTTTAGAGATACAGTTGAAATCGCAGTGGCGTTTATCTTATTTTCATCATCTTTCCATTCAGTCTGGGACAATTATTATGCTAAACTCAGTGTCTCTCCTTCTACAATACAGCAGCAAACATAACTCCTTGGTCAGTCAAAATAGAAAGAGTATGGTTTCATTTTAAACATTTGCATACATTGGTTTTTCATCAACAAAAGTTTAAATTTCAATGTTATGTTCCTGAGATCTATTTATGTTGATACAAATGTTAGGTTTAACCTTATAAAATTGCCAACAATCCACTAGTTCTGACTTATACAAACAGCAGTACATCTTTTTTTTCAGTTTAATTGCTGTATTATGCTCTGCAACTTTTAAAATATACCTCCTTGCTGATTCTAATATATATATATATTTTTAATTTCAGCTTTTATTTCAGATACAAGGTTATGTATATGTGTAGGATTTGTAACATTCATATATTCCACCCACATAGTGAGCATAATATCCAGTAGGTAGTTTTTCAATCCATAACCCCTGCCTGCCCCTTCTTGTAGTCCAGTGTCTATTGTTCCCATGTTTATGACCATGTATGCTCAGCGTTTAGCTTTTCTTACTTATAAGTGAGAACATACAGTTTTTGGTTTTCTGTTTCTGCATTTTCTTAGGATTATGGCTTCCAGCTCCATCTATGTTGCTGCAAAGAACACAATTTCATTCTTTTTATGGCTGTGCAGTGTCCCATGGTGTTTAAGCACAACATTTTCTTTATCTAATCCACCACTGATTGGCACATAGGTTGAATCCAAGTCTTTGCTATTGTGAATAGCATTGTAATTACCATACAAGTGCATGTGTCATTTTGGAATAATGATCTATTTTCCTTTGGGTATATACTGGGTATGCTGGTTAGAATGGTAGCTCCTTTTTAAGTGCTTTAAGAAATCTCCAAATTGCTTTCCAGAATGGCTGAACTCTGGAAGTGTATATGCATTCTCTTTCTTCCTCAGCCTCTCCAGCGTCTGTTGTTTTTTGACTTTTTAATGATTGCCATCCTGACTAGTATGAGATGGTGTCTCATTGTGGTTTTGATTTGTGTTTCTCTGATTAGTGATTATGAGTGTTCAAATGTTTGTTGGCCACTTTTATGTCTTCTTTTGAGAAGTGTCTGTTTATGTTCTTTATTCATTTTTAAATGAGGTTATTTGATTTTTGTTTGGTGAATTAAGTTCTTTATAGATGCTATATATTAGATCTTTGTTTTATGCATAGTTTGTGAATATTTTCTCCCATTCTATAGGTTGTCTGTTTACTCTGTCTATAGTTTATTTTGCTGTGCAGTAGCTCTGTAGTTTAATTTGGTCCCATTTGTCAACTTTTGTTATTGCAATTGCTTTTAGGGACTTAGCTAAACATTCTTCACCAAGGCCAATGTTGAGAAGGGGATTTCCTAGATTTTCTTTTAGTATTTTCATAGTTTGAGGTCTTAAGCCTCAAAGATATGAAATCTTTAATCCACTTTGAGTTAATTTTTGTATATGGTAAAAGGTAAGGATCCAGTTTCATTATTCTGCCTATGGCTAGCCAGTTATCCCAGCACCTTTTATTGAATAGAGAGTGTTTTCCTCATTACTTGTTTCTGTTGGTCTTGTCAAAGATCACAAGGTTGTAAGCGTGTACCTTCGTTCATGAGTTTTCTATTCTGTTCTATTCTTCTATATTTGTAATATTTTATGATTATAAACTGTGCTCCAATTCATTTGCACAAGTCTATATTAAGAACAATTAAAAGTCTGGAATTTTACCCTGTTTGTAAGCTAAATTAGCCTGCCACAGTTTTATAAATTCTGAGAAAAGATACAAGGCTCCTGGGTCAGAGGCAAAGGATTTTATTACTCATAGCACAACAAGCAGCATGAGAATTAGCATATTTTCACCCATTTCTCTTTTGTGCCCAGTTTCCATGGGAGCAACTTGTAGAGACCCAGGTGGATTCTATATACACAGTGGATTTGCATTAGAACTGAAGAACTCTGAGTTTATGGAGCCTAATTTTTTTGTAACACACCATAAACAAATATACCTGAAGTTTGTTCCAAAGGGAGACATTACTTTAATTGTACTAAATAGCAAGTAAACCTGCCCTCTACAGACATGATCTCTTTCTTCCAAGTCTGTTTACCTTACTAACATCCTTGAAAAGATAATTTGGAACAGAACAACAATTTGTAACTTTGCTTGCAAATATGTAGAAACTTGAGAGACCCATGAATAGTTGCCTCCCAGTAATTAACTGGTCCATATATAAGAATTTGATGGGGACAGGTATCTAAACATAGAATGACTAAGGATATCAGACGTGTGCATCAACACTGTTTTTCAAATATTGGGAAATTACTCTCCAAAGTTGTTATATCAATTTAGACTCCCATTATTGGTATAAAAACTTAGCCTCTGTTTGTCTCAGTACTTGTTTTAATCCTTTCCTAACTGATCGTGAATATCTCATTGTTGTAACCTTCATTTATCCAGTTCCTAGAAATATCAAATTTATTTTCACATTTCTTAGTCTTTAATATGGTTAGGCTTTGTGTCTCCACCCAAATCTCACCTTGAATTGTAATCCCATAATCCCCACGTGTTGAGGGAGAGACCTGGTAGGAGGTGATTGGATCATGGGGCGTTATCCCCCATGCTGTTCTTATGATAGTGAGTGAGTTCTCATGAGATCTGATGGTTTTATAAGTGTCTGACCGTTCCTCCTCCTCCATACTCTCTCTTGCCGGCCGTCATTAAGACATGCCTCTTCCCCTTCCGCCATGATTGTAAGTTTCCTGAGACCTCCCCAGCCATGCAGAACTGTGAGTCAATTAAATCTCCTTTCTTTATAAATTACCCAGTCTAGGGCAGTTCTTTATAGCAGTATGAGAATGAGCTAATACAGTCATTCAGGTTTCCTCACCTGTAAAGTTCCTTTTTTCATGCTTTATCATCCTTTTCCTGTACTGACCTGTCACCCTGCTGCTTAAAACCCTAGCAAGAGCATGCAGACAAACAGGTGCAGAGGCTGCAGGGAGTGCTTTTGGGCTCCATCCCCACAGCAGCATCAAGGGGTGAGTGTCTGCGACTCCCAAAGCCCAAATGGGCGTGTGTTACAGTGTGCTCTTTCAGCTTTGCTGTCTGCGGATGGCTTGTGTTAATCAGCTCAATAGACCCTCTGCCTTAAGACAAGGGCAGAGGGCCAGTGTGACAGCTTTCTGTATCCTGAGCTCTTGCCCAGTGTACCAGAAAAATCGGATCACACGTGGGCTCAAAGGATGAGTGCAAGGTTTGATTGAGTGGTGGAGGTGGCTCTCAGCAAGATGGACAGGGAGCCAGAAGGAGGAAATGGAGTAGGAAGCTGGTCTTCCCCTGGAGTTGGGCCACCTAGTGGCCAGACTCTTCTCTGACGGCCCCTGGCGGAATTCCCGTCAGTGTCCAGATGTCCCTCCTCTTCTCGCTTTCTCTTCCGCAACATTCCGCCATTGCTGGTCTGCAGGTCTGCTGGTGTCTGCTGCTCTGTTCTTCTGCTCCTCTGCCTGCTATGGTCTCAAGTTTATATGGGGGCAAGATGAAGGGCGTGGCAGGTCAGAGTGGTCTTGGAAAATGCAACATTTGGGTGCAAAAACAGGAGTGCCTGTTCTCACTTAGGTCTGTGGACACAGGCCCGAGGGTGCATCTCTCACCAGGGACCCCTTCCTTCTCTACCCAGCATTTCCCTGCCCGCCTCCCATATCATCTGTGATTTAAATTTCAAAGAACTTGAAACCCAAAAGTTATTCTTACCCAATTTCTAATTCCACTCATTGTGAACTAGAGACATTCTTGGCACTCAGTAGAATTTGAAGCAGCTACAGCTACAGGAAGGTAAGTAGTTTTTTCAAGGCCTCCGAAGTAGAAATAGTTCCACACCACGTTTCTAATGTACTTGGTTTTTTAAATTACATTTTTAATTTTAAGATAAAAAATAGATTCGCATGCAATTGCAAGAAATCAGAGAAACTGTGGATCTTTTGCTCAGTTTTCCCCAACATAGCATCTTGCAAATTGCAATACAATATCACACAAAAATATTTACATAGCTAGACTCAAGAGACAGAACATTCTACAAATATTTCTCATGTTGTCTTTTTATAGCCACACTCACTTCCCACTCACAGCCCTCCTTATTCCCTGGCAATTACTACTGTCCTTCATTTCTATAATTCTGTCATTTCAAGAATGTTATAGAAATGGAATCATACTGTATGTTACCTGCTACCTTTCAGAATTGGCTTTTTTTTCTTTTTTTACTCAGCATAATTAGAGATTTATTCACATTGTTGTGTGTATCAACAGTTCCTTTCTATTGCTGTGTAATATTGAATACTATGGATGTACCACAGTTTGTTTAATCATTCATCATACATTAAAGGATATCAAAGTCCTTTTGGGTTATTATGAATAAAGGTAATAAGGATTTTACATAAGTACATAAATACATAAGCATTTATGTATAGGTTTTTGTGTGAACATAAAAGTATGTCTCTAAGATGATCATTCAGAAACACAGTTTCTAGGTCATATAAGATTAGAATGTTTTCAATTTTTTTTAAATTAAAATAGTAAAGTGTTTTCCAGTTGGCTGCGCCATTTTACATTCCTACAATGTATGAGTAATCTAGTTTCTCGCATCCTTGCCAGCATCTGATGTTGTCACTATTTGTATTTTTACCATTTTGATAGGTGTAGAGAGATATAATTGTGATGTTAATTTCCACTCCCCTAAGACTAATTATGTTGAACATCTTTTCATATGCTTATTTGCCATCTGTATCTTCACCGCAGTGAAATGTTTCCTGACGTAATCTTCTTCATTTTCTAATAATGCTGGTTTTTTACTGTTTAATTTTGAGAATATATATGTAATATATATTAAGACCTAGATTTTGTCAAATACTATATGTGGTTTTCAAACATTTTTTCTCCCATTCTATTATAGCTCCTCTCTTCATCCTCTTAACGTAATCTTTTGCAAAAGAGAAGCATTAAATTTTGATGAAGTCTAATTTATTCATTTTTCAAATAAATATTGTTTGGGGTTTTTATCTAGGATCCCCTTGCCTAGCACTAGATCCTGAAGACTGAAGATTTTCTCCTGTTTTCTTCTAGAAGTCTTATAGTAATGTTTTATATTTAAATATGTGGTCTGTTTTGAGTTAAATTTTTTATAAGTTGTGAGAATCTGGTTGAAGTTTGATTTTTGCCTGTGGATATCCAATTGCTCCTGCACCATTTGTTGAAACGGCAATCTTTTTTTCCACTAAATTGCTTCAGTACTTTGGTCAAAACTGTTGGGTATATTTGTCTTGCTCTATCTCTGGGTTCTCTGTTCTCATTTCTTAGTCTATATGTCTCTCCTCTGCCAATACCATGCATCCTTGACTACTGTAATTATATAAGAAGTTGAGATCAGACTGATTTCTTCTACATTATTAGTCATTTTTAAAGACTGTTTTAGCTATTCTGGTTCCTTTCCCTTTTCATATAAATTATTGAATACTCTATATCTAAAAAAACTCTCACTGAGATTTTGATAAAAATTGCCTGACACATGAATATCAATTTGGGGAAGACTGGCATCTTGCTATGTTGAGTCTTCCAATCCAGGAGCTAGTATATTTCTCCATGTGTTTAGATCTTTTACTTCTTTTGTCAATATTTTGTAATTTTTCAGCATACAAGTTCTTTATGTGTTTTGTTAGATTTATACCAAAGTATTTCATCTTTTTTTTAGTATTTTTAATTTGTGTCTACATGTTCAGAGGTAGTATATAGAAACACAATTAATTTTCATATTTTTATCTTATGAGATCTTGCTGAACTCATTTAGTCATTTATAAGTTCTGCTCATTATATTTGTCTGAGTTTTTTAAATAGTTTTTAAAAATTTTTCTATGTTGATAATCTTGTCTTCTGCAAGAAATAACAGTTCTATTTTTCCACTTGTTCTGTTTTTATTTTATCTCCTTCACTTGCGTTTTGCACTGGGTAGAATGTCCGGCACTATTTTGAATCAGAGTGGCGACAGTGGGCATCCTTACTTTGTTCCTTATCTTAAGGCTTTTGTCATTATAATGTTAGCTATAGTGTTTTTTTGTATAAGCTCTTTAACAGTTGAAGAAGTTTTCCTCTATTATTTTATTTTTCCTAAAGTTTTTATTGTGAGTGGGTATTGAATATGGTTAAATGTTTTTATACATTAATATAATCATGTGTTCTTTCTTTTTTAGCTTTAATAAGGTGGATTACATTGATAAATTTTCAAATATCAAACCAGCATTACATTCCTGAAATAAAACCCACTTGGTTGTGGTGTATAATAATTTTTACATATTGCTAAATTCTATTTGCTAATACTTTGCTAAGGATTTTTTACATCTAAATTCATGAGGAATATTGATTTGTCAGTAGTTTTTTTTTTGTTTCATCTTTGTCTGGTTTTGATACCAGAGCAATACTAGCTACATAAAATTAATTGAGAGGTGTTCACTACCATTTTCAGGAAAATCATGTAGAATTGGTGTTAATCTTTTCTGAGTATTTGGTAGAACTTTCTAGTAAACCATTTATGTCCAGAGATATTAAAGGAGGAAGTTTAATTATGAATTTAAATTATTTAGTAGTTATAGAACTATTCTGAATATCTTTTATAATTATTGAGTTGTAGCTGTCATTTTTCAAGAAATTAGTCTTTTTCATCTAAGTTTTTAAACTTATAAATGTAAAATCACTAATATTTCCTTATTTTCTTTTTAGATTTGCAGAGAATGTACTGCTATCACCTGATTTTCTTTTTGGTGTTGGTAATTTGCATCTCCTGTTTTGTTAGTCTTGATAGAGGTTTGTTAATCTATCTTATTTTTTCAAAGAATTAGCTTTAATTCATTATGTTTTTCTATCTTTTTATTGTTTCAGTTTCATTAATTTCTGCCCTTATATTCATTGTTTTTATTATTCTGCTTGATTTGGACTTATTTTAATTTGCTCGTTTTCTAAGTTCTTAAAGTGGAGGCTTAGAGTTTTTATTTGAGACTTTTCTTTTTTCATAACTTACGCATTTAGAGCTATAAACATCTCTGTTATCACTGCTTTATCTGTCCTACAAATTTTGATATATTGTATTGCCATTTTCATTTCAGGTCAATGTATTTTTTTATTTCCTTTGAAAATTTCTCTTTGACCCATGGATTATTTAGAAGTCTGTTCTTTAGTTTTTAAGTGTTTGGCAATTTTACTGTTACCTTTTGGTTATTGATTTCTGGTTTCCATTGTAGTAGAGAATATACTCTATATGATTTCCATTTTATAAAAATTTGTTGAGGGCTGTTTTATGACCAAGGGTATGGTCTATTTTGTTATATAATTTGTGGAGCCTTAAAAAAATAATATTCAGCTCTTGCTAGGTGGACAGCTATATAAATATTCATTAAATCCTATTGATTGCTGGTGGCATTGAGTTGTTCTATATCCCTGCTGATTTTCTGTCTAGTTGTTCTATCAGTAGAAAGAGAATATTGAAGTCTATATCTAAAACTCTAAATTTGTCTGTTTCTCTTTTGAGTTCTATCAGTTTTGTTTCATGTATTTTGCAGCTCTGTTGTTTGGTACATGCGTATTTCAGATTGCTATGTCTTCTTGACTTATATATTTTTTTCTCAATCTATAGTGTTCTTCTCTGTCTGCGATCATTATTTTTGCTCTACAGTATACTTTTTATAATATTAATATAGCCCCTTCTGCTTCCCTTAATGTTTGCATGATATATTATTTTTCACTATTTTACTTTTGTCTATGTTGTTATATGTGAAGTGAGTGTCTTGTAGACAGCATATAGTTTGGTCATAATTTTTAATCCCCTCAGCCAAACACTCCCTTTTTGTTGATATGTTTAAGCAGTTTACATTTAATGTACTTATTGGTATGTTAGGACTCAAGTCTGCATTTTATATTTTTGTTTTCTAGTTTTCCTTTTTGTTTCTTTTCTCCTGCTCTTCTTTTTCTTACCTGAACACTTTATAGGATCTCATTTTGATTTATTTACAGTATTTTTCAGTATAATTCTTTATATGGCTTTTATAGTGGTTGTTCTGAGTATTAAGTTTATATGACATAACTTATCATAGTCTACTGGTATCATCATTTTAGGGGTTTTAGTGAAATATAGAAAGCTTATCTCCCTTTATGTCCCTTTACCTTCTCACATTTATATTACAGTCATCTTAAATATTTACCTACACAAATTGAGAATCAATTTAGACAGTGTTATACTCTCTACTTCAACTATCAAACATAATTTAGAAGACTCAAGAAGAGAAGGAGAACCTGTTGAACTCGCCCATGTGTTTCCTTACTGTGTTCTTCCTTCCTGCTGTTTCAAGATTTCTTATTTTATTATTCCCTTTCTGTTTAGAAAATTTCCTTTAGTCATGCTTACAGTGTAGGTCTCCAGGTGACAAATTCTTTTAGTTTTCATGGAATCTCTTGGTTCATGTTTTCTACCAAATTTAAAATGTTCTCAGCCATTATTTATTTAAGAGCTTTTTCAGCTTCTACTCTTTTTCTTCTACAACTCTGCTGACGCAAATGTTATATCTTCTGCTTTCTTTCCACAGGTCTCCTGAGGTTCTTTTTTTTTTTCTATTTTTTAATCTACTTTATCTCCCATCAGATTGTTTAGTTTCCATTGTTCAGTTTTCCAGTTTGCTTATTGATTTCTAATTTCCATTGTAGTAGACAATGTATGCTATATATAATATAATATTCATTTTAAAAATTGTCAAGGTTTGCTTATGGCCAAGGCTATAGTCTTATCTTGTTGTATATTTTGGGGTTCCTTGAAAAAAATTGTATTCCACTCTTGCTGTGTAGACTGCTATATAAATGTTAATTAAATCCTATTGATTTATGCCACCTGTATTCTGCTGTTGTGGCCATCCACTGAACTTTGTATGTGTTATTGTATTTTTGAGTACTAAATTTTTAATCTGGTTCTTATTTGCATCTTCTTTCTTTGCTAAGACTTTCTAATTCTTTTCTGAGGTTTTCTATTTTATAAAATTTGTTTCTAGTGTGTTTGTAGTTGCTTGTTGAAACAATTTTATTATGGCTGCTTTAAAATATTTGTCAGATATTTCTAATATATCTGATATCTCTGTATTGGAATCTATTTACTGCCTTTTTAATTTAGATCTTTCTGGTTCTTGGTAAAATGACTGATTTTCAATGGAAAGCTTAGCATATTTTAATTGTGCTATAAGATTATGGATCTCTTATTTAAATCTTCTGTCTTAACTGGCTTTTTTCTGATTTCACTCTGGCATTACAAGAAGGAGACAATTCCTCATTACTGTCAGGTAAAGGCAGAAAACCAAATTTCCCACTTGGCCTCTGTTGACACCTAGGAGGGAGGCTTCTTGTAACTGTTGAGCTGTGGTGAGAGTTTTGGCTCTGAAAAGAGTCTCCACTGACACTGTAATGAGGATGGTCCCATTACTGCTGAAAGATTATGAACATCTTGACTCTTCACAAAGCCTTTTCTGACACCATCTCAGTAAGGAAATAAGGGGTACCTTATTGCTGCCAGCCAGAGGTAAAAGTCAAGCTTTCCACATGGTCTACAGGTAAAGGGTGGCCTTGTTATTGTCTTGCTTGAATAAAAGTCCAATTTCTCTACTTGACTTTCTTGACACCACCCCAGCAGGGGTATTGAGGCATTTTGTTACATCTTTATGAGGCTCACCCCTCAGCCTTTGCTAAGTCTAGGCTCACCACTCAGCCTTTGCTTGCATGACTTGGAATAAGGCTAGGTCATCTGCAGTATTGTGCTTGAGTAGGGTTGTTATTGTCTAAAAGTTTTCTGTCTCACTAACTGGCCCCTTTCCTCATCCTTGGCTAGAGAGATCAGGCTTTTATTGAAGCTCTTGTAAAAAAAAAATCTGTGCCCATTGGTATTTCTAGTTTGATGGCTTCTCTAGTCCTAAGTGTGGTATATATTAGGCAAAAACAAAACCTAGCTAACTTACCACCTTGTCATTCCTCAGGATCCGAGGTTTCTAGCTGGTCTGCTCAGAGTCTTCTTATGCTTGCTTTATGTACAATATCCAGAGTTTTAATTTTACTTAGCACAGGTAATAGAGAAAAAGTATTTCCATTCAATTTTCCTGAAAATGAAAGTCCACTGACACTGTAGATTTCTAAGAGCCTGAAGAGTTAATAGAACATACAAGTTTTTTTAGTTAGCAAAATATTGGAGATAACCTTCTGCTTCATATGTACAGATGTTCCCTAGGCCACACACAAATTTGAAAAACAATCTAATCTTCAGCCCCCTAAAGTAATTATCACTGGCAAAATTATGTTCCCAGAACACAATATTTACCATTGCCAAAAAGCATAGCAGAAACTCAGTGATATGTGAGTGAAAGGGAAAAACCTGGTATGGTCTTACCATATTGCTAGGTAGTTTGTGCCATATTTCTTGAATTAATGACTTATGAGTTTAAACTTAATTGAGAGAAATCTTCCAGCAATATTTTGGCATTATGCATTCACCTATTTTAGAAGAAAATCAACCTGTACATAATTTATTTCTAGTTGATACCCTGGTGTTTAACCTAGATCCCTTGTAGTGCCAACAAAGCCATGTCTTCAATTGCTGATGACTGACAGCTAAGTCCTCACTGGGACTATTTCTTGGCTAATGGGATCTACTTCACTAAAGCCCACAGCCCTCCCAGGAGGCTGTGGCTCAGACAATGACAGACTCATGTAGGGATACAAAGTGCTGTTTTCTTGCTGCAATTTGAGACAACTTTGAAAGGCCATTCTAGTTTCACAGATTTTTGTAGAACCTGCTAAGAACTCAGTTGCCACCATATCATGACTCGTTTTCAACCAATGCTGTCTTCTGTCTTCCACACTTCCTTATAATTGTATCTTCTGATAAATTTCCTGCATGCATTATTCATATTAAATTACTTTTTCTTGGAAAAAAATTTAAGCTCTTAATGTCCATTTCTTACTTGAACCTTGTATTTCTCACTTTATCCCAAAATGAGTGCAAAACAGCATCAAAATTAACCTATGGACAGAAAATTTTGGTCTTGTGCCTTATTAACTCTTTCTATAATCGTTTGAAATGGAATTGCTTTGGCTTCAGATATCTGATCCCCAGGAAGTTTTCTCCCTCATATGTCCTTAATAAACTAGAGTTAACTAGAAGCCTCATAATGGATAGGGAACATTTGCTGAGTATGTAGACACTACTCAGGGATTCAAGGGTTTCACCTCTAAGGAGCTTTCCTTGGCCATGAGTCCAACATGGCACTAGAGGCAGTGCACACAGGGCTATGCACTTTGGCCTGACACTGACAATTGAAGGCCAGGATTTCACTAGTGCTCTGGAGTGCACATTGAGCTTAGCTTCCTTGCACTTGAACAGTTTTAAATATGTTTTTGACCACCATTGCCCATGAAGCTTTAAAAAAGTCTTTCTCATATTTTTGAATCTTTGCCTTACCTTTCCTTTTTAAGAAGAGATATGCCTGCATATTCAGCTACAATGGCCTGCACCCTGAGGCTGTCACCTTGGCAGAGGCCTGCAGATATGGACCTTTTACAAGGTCAGCATGGGTTGGGAAAATGAATGCTTGCTGCCTATAGTCTAATATTTGCCACAGCTGCATCTCTACTTTTCCACACATGAATTTGCCAGGGTCACTCATAGACTTTCCCAGATTTTGAGAACCTTTGCTTAAGTCTTGACTTTTGCTTAGATTATTGTCTCTCTATAAGAATCCTCTTGCCTCAGGAAGAAAAATCACCACAAATTACAGTCACCCTCCAAACTATAAATAAAGCATGCTGGCTTAAAGCTTCTTGCCCAGCTGCAGCATTTAAAAGCTTGGACTGATAAAAGCTCCCCAATTAAACAGTCAGGCCCCAAATGCTCTGCCATCACAAAGCCCAAGGTTTGCAGCCAACACTGCCTAGACACTCCAAAAGCTTCTCTTTGTGAAATTGTGTTCATTCAATTTCTACTGTTTTACTTATTCATTCCTCAATGTTCTCTATGTGCAAGATATGCCTCTTGGAGGAGGCATATTAAGCACCTCTCTTTTTCATCTGGTATCTGAATAATTTTGGCAAATGGAGGCCACCTTTTTGCTTGGTATGAAAACCAAATGGGCCTGTTTAATGGACTCCAGAATTGGGTAGATTTATCTACCTGGCCTTTGGTAGTCCTCAGCATGGGCAATGTAAGATATTAGGCACCAAAGCAAGCCCAAGTGATTCTCAATTTCACAATCAGATCAGTCACTCCAACTACCCAGGACAGAGTAAATACAAGAATGGGGAAAAGCCAGAAATATCTCTGGAGAAAATGTTATTTTCTGAAACCATATGATTGCAGAAACGTGTTCCCTCTGATTCATTATTCAGAAACCTTTTTATATATTAATTCAAGCTTTTCTCTATGTACACACACTTTTTAACTAATCAATGATACATGTATGTTTTCATTTTACAAAACAAAATTGTAGTTATGAACTTCTCATAAAAATGGTATCAAACTGGGGCCAGGCACGGTGGCTCATGCCTGTAATCCCAGCACTTTGGGAGGCCAAGGCAGGCGGATCATGAGGTCAGGAGATCGAGACCATCCTGGCTAACACGGTGAAATCCCGTCTCTACTAAAAATACAAAAAATTAGCCAGGCGTGGTGGTGGGCGCCTGTAGTCCCAGCTGCTTGGGAGGCTGAGGCAGGAGAATGGTGGGAACCCGGGGGGCAGAGCTTGCAGTGAGCCGAGATCACGCCACTGCACTCCAGCCTGGGCGAAAGAGCGAGACTCCATCTCAAAAAAAAAATGGCATGAAACCATGCATGTTGTTCTATAACTTACTCCGAATAAAAATTAGAAGCATATTATAGATTTTATTCCATGTAATTTCGTAGAGGTCTACAACCTTCTTTTTAATATTTACTTTATAGTATATGATATAGGGAAACTATAACTTATTTCAGCATTTTCCCAAGTAAGTTCTTTTAGTTGTCTTCAAGTTTCTGCTATTAAATGTACACTTAATACACATATGCACATATACATATTTTGGAAATATAGATACATAAATTGGAAATATTATATTAATCTATGTAAACTTATACATACTTTCACCTTCCAGAATTTTTGTTCTAATTAGTACGTACCCAAAGCCTGTGTGAGATTCCCCTTCTTCCATACCATCAGTGATACTGAATATCTTCAAGTACTTGGAATTTAAATAGAATTTAACTGGTGAGAGTCTTTAAAAAATGTTTTTGTAAATTTCATAATTATCATTAACTTGTAGGCAACACTCGGAATTCATGTTAATTATTCTTTCATACCTACTTTACAAAATATACACAATAGCTTTTATCTTTCCTGTACTAATTTTGGCTTCCTTATGTAATATTTTCTGCCACAATGTTTAAAGCCCAATTTGCATCAAATAGCAAATGCAATAAAACATTATCATCTGTTTTACTGTGAAGTTCCCAAAGTCTACCAGCAATAAATACAGACATCAAGATATTAACGTGCTTTTTTTCTTTGTCTATAAGTTGGGTCTAAAATGTTTAAGTCAATAAAATTAATTATAATAATATAGTTATGCAAATATCGTGCAGAGCCAAAGGGGGTGATTGACCTAAAGAGAAATAAATGTTACCATATGCTGCTAAATAAACCATGTGTTTCTCAATTGAGTGTTACAACTCTTAAGAATTTGTTAAATTTCTATAATTGCATTTTAGCTTCCTTTATTGTTCTCCTAATATCAGCTGCCACAACCAGCTGCCACAATTTCTTTTTTTGAGATGGAGTCTTGCTCTGTCACGGAGGCTGGAGTGCAGTGGTGCTATCTCGGCTCACTGCAACCTTGGCCACCTGGGTTCAAGCGATTCTCCTGCTTCAGCCTCCCAAGTAACTGGGATTACAGCCACCCACACCCATGCCCAACTAATTTTTGTATTTTTAGTAGACACGGGGTTTCACCATGTTGGTCAGGCTGGTCTCAAACTCATGACCTCAAGTGATCCGCCCGCCTAGGCCTCCCAGAGCGCTGGTATTACAGGCATGAGCTATCGTGCCCAGCCACAATTTCTTATCTCATGTCATCTTTTTCGTTGTTGTTTTGTTCAAATACATCCTTAAATAATTTTTTCAGATTCAGTACATGGATGTTATTGTTTCTGAGTTCATGCATTTCTGAATATGTCTTTAATGCAGTAAGGGGTTTGCTTCTAATAGCCGGCATTATTGCTGAGATATGATATCAGTCTGATTTAGTGGAAGTTTTTTATTTTCTCCTTTCAGGAAAAACAGATTTTTCTATTTTTCTGCAGTGTTCTGAAAAATGAGTAGCATGTGTTTAGGCATTTCTTTTCTTTCTTTCTTTTTCCTATTTTTAGTTTTCTTGCCAATCAGAAGAAGTAAGTCTTTATTCAGTTCAGGAAAATGTTCTAATAATTTGCTGATTATCTTCTCCCTCCATTGTATCTACTTATTTACTTTGATTTTTGGTTTTTGGGATAGAGTCTCACTCTATTGCCCAGGCTGGAGTACAGTGGTGTGATTATTGCTCACTGCAGCCTCGAACTCCTGGGCTTAAGCAATCTTCCTGTCTCAGCCTCTGGAGTAGCTGGGACTACAAGCACATACCATCACACCTGACTACATTTTAAAAAATTTTTTGTAGAGATGGGGCCTTGCTATGTTGCCAGCTGGCCCCAAAAGATCCTATGACCTTGGTATTTTATTTTTAAAGTTTCGTTTAGGTAGATTTTGATTCTCTCAGGTATACCCCCTATGACTTTACATTTTTTGCTCTTATTTTATATCTCTTTGGGTTTTTGCCCTAGTTTCTGCAACATTTTCTTGATTTTTGCTACCTTTTTGCTAATATGTTTCTTGTCATGCATATTTTATGGATAAAATTTTAAGCTAAATTAAACTTTTGGCAATCAAATATCTAATTTTCAAGAAATAGTTATCCCTACTATTATGTGACTACACTATCGACTTAAGTCTTTTTACTCTAATCATCTTATCATTATTATTATTTTCATTTTTGTTACTCCCTGAGTTATCCATATCTTTCCCAGGGTCAGTTTTATGTTGGTCCTTTACTTTCATGCTATTGGGGTTTTTTTTAACGTTTCTGGTAAAAATGGCTAGCTAACCCCCCCACCCCCGCTGCACCATCCCGCAACACAACTTTTTTTAAGTATAATATGCTGGAATTTCTTTTACAGTTGCAAAGGTCTCTTTCCCTTACAGATTCCTTCTTTGATCGAAAGATCCAATTTGAAACTCTAAGTGGATGGAATTTGTCCATAGACATATTTAATTTTAGGGAAATCAGGTAGGCAAGCAGGTAAAGGAATAATTTGGTAAAATAATAGGCTTTTCTCTGGGAATGGAGCATTTTAATGAAATTCTCTTTGGATGAGATCTACCTTCATATTTTTTCTCCATATCTTTGTCATTTGTTAAGAGTTAAACTTTTTACACTCTTTCCTGCTTCTGTTCTAGACCTCCATACCCATTCTGGAAGTCTTCGCCATTCAAATTGTTCATTTTCTATGGAGAGCAATTTCTTTGGAAGCGTTATCGTGGAAAACCAACTTTCTTCTTATACTGAATACTTTAAATAGCATTAGGAAAACAACATGCTCAAGTGCTCTAAGAAGAAATTCCCTCACTACTTACTCTGTGTATTAGTCATGGTTCTCTATAGGGACAGAACTAATAGGATGGATGGATAGATGGATGGATGGATAGATAGACAGAGACAGATAGATAGATAGATAGATAGGGGAGTTTATTAAGAATTAACCTTCATGATCAGAAGGTCTCACAATAGGCTGTCTGCAAGCTGAGGAGCAAGGAGAGCCAGTCGGAGTCCCAAAACTGAAGAACTTGAAGTCCAATATTTGAGGGCAAGAAGCATCCAGCACAGGAGAAAGATGTAGGCTGGGAGGATAGGCCAGTCTCCCCTTGTCATGTTTTTCTGCCTGCTTTATTTACATTCACTGGCAGCTGATTAGATTGTGCCCACCAGATTAAGGGTTGACCTGCCTTCCCCAGCCCACTAACTCAAATGTTAATCTCTTTTGGCAACACCCTCACAGACACACCCAGGATCAATACTTTGTATCCCTCAATCCAATCAAGTTGACACTCAATATTAACTGTCACACTCTGGTAACTGTCTGACCTTCCTCCACATTCTTTTTACTGGTCACATCTGGTCACTGGTGGAAAAAATACAAAAGCAAAGCTAGTTCTCATCTTAGGTGCTTTGGGTTGAGATTATTTCTGCTCTGTTTTTTAAAAATTTTATTCATTCTTCAACTGCTGGTTCCAAAGCCTTAACTTTTTTCTCCCAATATATATTTGATCAAGTAGTAAATTCTATGGGCTCTACCTTCACAATATATCCAGAATCTACCTACATTCATTGTTATTAATTTGTACCCCTGGTGTTCGGCCAGTATCACCTTCTCCCAATCTATTTCAGCCAGTGACAATGAGGACATGCCTCAAAACTTTAATATCTAAGAATACCTCAGGATTGAGGTTTTCCAAGTTACAAATTACCCAGTTGAGACTAAGGATTCTTACTGTTTCAATTTGATTTTATCTTCTTGGTTGACAGGTGAGTACTCAGAGAAAAATATGGCAATGTTATTTGCTAAAGCTTTCATTAAAAATAGTATAATGACATTATGTGTAAAAGGACTGTCAGTAAATCCTTCCAAAAATACAGGAGTATAAACCCACTGGAACTTCTATTCACTATTTTAAAGAGAGTAAAGACCGTATACCAGGAATCATGACACTAAAAATTTTATAAATGTTATATGTCCTAACATTTTTAACTTGTAAACAGTTGTCTTTTCCAACTGGTTTCCCACACAATATCAGAGAGAGAAAACTCAAAGTATAATAAATATGTAATTAATGATTGTTTAAAATGTCTGTTCCATATGATATTACTCTGCTTCCAAGCCAAGGGAAGAAACTCCAGATCAATCACAAAAGGTTTTTTCACTGAACTTGGCCTAAGAATACCATTCTTACACAGCACATCAGACTGTAAATAATAGTTTGAGCCAATGTAGGTGAAGATACCTGCTGTCTACCCCTGACTTAAAGGCTCGCCATTGAGAGCAGCAATAAAGAGGTGTCTTAGTCTGTTTTTTTGCTGCTATAACAGAATACCACAGATGGGATAATTTATTTCTTATGGTTCTGGGGGCTGGAAAGTCCAAGAGCATGGCAATGGCATCTGGTAAGTGTTATTCCATGGCAGAAAGTGAGAGACAGAAGCAAGCATGCAAGACAGAGAAAGGAAATTGGGCTGAACCCACTTTTATAACAAACCCAGTCTCATAATAGTTATCCACTTCCATGATAACATCATTAATCAATTTATGAGGGCAGTACCCTCATTACCTACCCACCTCTTAAAGGTCCAATGTCAGTTAAATCTCAACATAAGTTTCAGAGGGGACAACCATTCAAACCATAGCAGGAGGCATTGATGAGGTTGGGGAAGGAATTTGTAGTGGCAGTATGCTATTACTCAGCAAGACATAAACATGGAGAGAAAATTCCTAAGGTGTAGAATTCATGATAGCAGCTGCTAGAAGGAAAGGAAATCAGGCTGAGTGTCTGGAGTCTATGACAAAGAAAGTGAGAAAGATTATCATAAGGAGCTGAGCATCTGGGTCTGAACATGGGTAGAAGACATGGGCAGGAGAAAGTCATTTAGGACTGTATATTGTACTCAGTTTATGCCCCAACCTAAATCCATGCAATTATGCCTTTCCTCCCCACCCACCCTGACTGTAGCCAAGGCCACTTATCTTGCTTTCAGACTGAGCAAAACCTAACAAAGGTAGTGAATCCAAGTTGCTGCTGCTGCTGCAGTGAGTGTCCTCATGCACAGCTCTGACTTGTAAAGATTGCTGTGCCTACACATTGAACAAAAAAATCCCATGGGACTCTGGTTTTCATAGTGCCTGCCAGGAGTGATTGAGAAGTGTGGTTAAGGCCCCATGAAGTAGTCTTTGACTGATGGGAGATGAGAGACAGAAAGCAATCAGAAGATATATTATTCTTTCTTCCTCGCTGTATGCACAGTTATTCTGAAACAGTAATTTCTATAGCTTCTTTGAAAACATCTCACAAGACCAAGGAATCAGCTGCACTTGTCACAAAGCAGTCAGTAGCTTGGTGTCACTCTCCTTGACTGTGTTCTTTTTCCTTCCTCACCCAAATTTTCCTTTCTCCTTTTTGCTTTCCTCCTACTTCTGCATGATCACAGCCCCCAGAAAGCTTTTGTTTTGGATTGTTTTCTACATAAATCTGGCTGAGGCAGGCTGAAATGCATCTTGTTTATTTATGCAACAAGCATGTTTTAAGCAGTCACTAGTTATAGACACAAAGTACCACCTCTGTAATCTACCGTGTAGGGTGTTGTGGAATTAAATGTGTCAACCTATGCAATACGCCAGGCATAATGTCTGATACCAAGCATTATTTCAAAGAATGTAGAGCTAGCCATTTAGTTTGCTTTCTCCCCATTTTGTCTGTGACTACAGAAAAAATAATAATAACTGGCACTATTATTTGGTGGTTGCGATCCTTGACCACCATTGGAAAAGAAAGGCCAAAAAGTGCCTATCAAAGTAAGCGCCATCTATGCTTGGCCTTTAGGCCAGACTGTCCTGATCATCAGTTTCTGGCCAGGCTGTTCATTACCAGAGATGAGCAAGTCTATTGCAAAAAAACTGGAGTGGTCATTTCTTTGTGATTTCTCCTGGAAACCCATTTTAAATGTCTCTTCTGAAGGAAATAGAAAAATGCTGTGGTATCCAAACAGTTAGCAAATGTCTGAGAGTTGCAGTTTGTGTCGGATACTCTGGTTTCTGGTCCATTTATAGTTGCCTTGTGGAGTTCCAAAACCTCAGAGGTAGCTGAGGAACTTTAACATCACCTTAACTCCATTTCAGGACTTGCCTATGGAAGATCTTTTTATTAGAATAGGCATCAAAAAATATCCAGAGTTCTTGCTCTGTGCATGGCAACCTACTCGACTCTGGAAATGGACAATGACTTGGGGTCGTTCCCAACAAGATAAACTCCAGCATATATTCTGGTTGGGGAGACACATATGGAAGTAGACGGTATCAATGCAATGTGTAAGACCTATGGGAACAATAGCAAAAGGAACTATGTAACTACTAAGGAATCAGAAGGAACATAAATGAATCATGTTATTCTGGTCTGACAGAAACCCCAAAAGGTCACAATGATAGGAAGGCAAGCTTGTTTTCTTAGGTGAATCCCAAAGGGCTAATGGTACATTATATATAATGGAAGAGACACAAGCTTTGATTTAGACACACTTGAGTTTTAATCCCAAGTCTACTTTTTAACTGTGTGAATTTCATTATCACTTTATCTTTCTTATTTCTATATCTAAAAAATGGGCAAAATAGTACCCACGAAATTTATATTTTGTGAGAACCATATAGAGACAAAGATATACTAAGCATGTGAGAAATAATAGTAGCTTCCCGAGATTAGATGCTTTCTACCATTTTTGAGCTGCCCCGGGTAAAAATTCCCTTTCTCTAACACTGGTGTTCTCTATGAACTCTTACTCTTACTGAATCTTCCATCTAATCCCTTTCCCACCTTATAGGATACCAATGCTACTCCTCTTCAAATAATCAAGTAACTGTTTCTAGATGTTTTGTTTTACCTCAGAGTGATCTAAATTCATGATTAGATTATGATGAAAGAAGGAACCCTCCCTCTAAAGACAGAGCCTCCTGACCCCACCAGGGAAGGAGTTAGGATGAGTGCTGGTTCTGCATCTTAAATTAAGTAAAAAAAAAATCTTAATCCCATTAAGATCAATCATCTTTTTCTAAATCTCTGTCTAACCTAAGAATTATTAAAATGTAATTTTGACCCTATTTCAAACGAATGAACAACTCTGGCCTTATTATATGAAGAGAGACAGGTCTCTCCCTGTCCTAGCTTATCATGTTATGTTTCCTAAGCTAATATGCAATATGTGACATGCCCATACTGTTTTTCTCATATGGAAACAGGTTGTATATTGCTGGCCTGTTTGTTTGTTTGCTTGTGGGTGTGGTTGAATAAAGAAAAGTTTGATTTTACAGTCCCGTATACTTGTTTTATACTATACTTGTTTTCAGCAAGTTCTACCTCTTGGGGTAAGGGCATTTGTAATGTTTTAATGATAGTATGATGTGATAGTGTGAGCTAGCATATATAGAGCACCTTCTACTACACAAAGCCCTTTACACGCATACATTAACTCATTCATCCTTATAATGTCATCATGGGTTTGAAATGACATTGTTCACATTGTTTATTAATGGTGAAAGAGTTTTAGAACAGATAAATGACTAACTCAAGATTACATAGCAAATAATGTCTAAGCTAGATTTCTGAATTCACCTAATAAGTTTCTGCCACATAATGGAGGACAAATAATTTTAATGCACTTAATTAAATTTAATCAAGTTTGTAATGGCAGTTAAATAATATCTGAGGTTCCTCTGAGATTTATCAGTTTAAGATTTGAACATTATTGCCCTCCTGCCTCACTTAGTAGTTTTTAAATCCATAAAAATATAAAGTTTCGGAAGTATTTTTCATTGTCTTGGTGGAAATTGGAGCTGAAACAGCAACTCTAACTTTGACAAATCGTTTGACACACAAATTTGAGAATAAGTGTTTATGGATCAAGTGAAGATCAACTTGGGACACTCTACTTGAATCTTGAACTTATTGTTTCCCAATACGGGGTGGTAGCTAATGGCTCTATATGTCATCCTATCAGCTGTCATGAAGTTAAAAGGATCTTCTCTTACCTCTAACAAAGAGATACCTTTTTTATATGTGACCTGAAAATTCATGCACACCAATCCTCTGCGACACACAATTTACCTGTATAATAATCCTGCACATGTATCCCTGAACCGAAACTAAAGTTTTTTTAAAGATATAAATTAAAATATTTTATTTTATTTTTTTTTTGAAGTGCCAAGATTTTATTTGAATCTCTTTTGATGGAAATATTTTCTTTCTTTTTTTAATTATTATTATACTTTAAGTTTTAGGGTACATGTGCACAATGTGCAGGTTAGTTACATATGTATACATGTGCCCTGGTGGTGCGCTGCACCCACTAACTCGTCATCTAGCATTAGGTATATCTCCCAATGCTATCCCTCCCCCCTCCCCCCACCCCACAACAGTCCCCAGAGTGTGATGTTCGCCTTCCTGTGTCCATGTGTTCTCATTGTTCAGTTCCCACCTATGAGTGAGAATATGCGGTGTTTGGTTTTTTGTTCTTGCGATAGTTTACTGAGAAAGATGATTTCCAATTTCATCCATGTCCCTACAAAGGACGTGAACTCATCATTTTTTATGGCTGCATAGTATTCCATGGGGTATATGTGCCACATTTCTTTTTTTTTTTCCCCAACTCATACTCTTTTTTTTTTTTTTTTTAATTATACTTTAAGTTTTAGGGTACATGTGCACATTGTGCAGGTTAGTTACATATGTATACATGTGCCATACTGGTGTGCTGCACCCACTAACTCTTCATCTAGCATTAGGTATATCTCCCAATGCTATCCCTCCCCCCACCCCCGACCCCACCACAGTCCCCAGAGTGTGATATTCCCCTTCCTGTGTCCATGTGTTCTCATAGTTCAATTCCCACCTATAAGTGAGAATATGCGGTGTTTGGTTTTTTGTTCTTGCGATAGTTTACTGAGAATGATGATTTCCAATTTCATCCATGTCCCTACAAAGGACATGAACTCATCATTTTTTATGGCTGCATAGTATTCCATGGTGTATATGTGCCACATTTTCTTAATCCAGTCTATCATTGTTGGACATTTGGGTTGGTTCCAAGTCTTTGCTATTGTGAATAATGCCGCAATAAACATATGTGTGCATGTGTCTTTATAGTAGCATGATTTATAGTCATTTGGGTATATACCCAGTAATGGGATGGCTGGGTCAAATGGTATTTCTAGTTCTAGATCCCTGAGGAATTGCCACACTCACTTCCACAACGGTTGAACTAGTTTACAGTCCCACCAACAGTGTAAAAGTGTTCCTATTTCTCCACATCCTCTCCAGCACCTGTTGTTTCCTGACTTTTTAATGATTGCCATTCCAACTGGTGTGAGATGGTATCTCATAGTGGTTTTGATTTGCATTTCTCTGATGGCCAGTGATGATGAGCATTTTTTCATGTGTTTTTTGGCTGCATAAATGTCTTCTTTTGAGAAGTGGCTGTTCATGTCCTTCGCCCACTTTTTCATGGGGTTGTTTGTTTTTTTCTTGTAAATTTGTTTGAGTTCATTGTAGATTCTGGATATTAGCCCTTTGTCAGATGAGTAGGTTGCGAAAATTTTCTCCCATTTTGTAGGTTGCCTGTTCACTCTAATGGTAGTTTCTTTGGCTGTGCAGAAGCTCTTTAGTTTAATTAGATCCCATTTGTCAATTTTGTCTTTTGTTGCCATTGCTTTTGGTGTTTTGGACATGAAGTCCTTGCCCATGCCTATATCCTGAATGGTAATGCCTAGGTTTTCTTTTAGGGTTTTTATGGTTTTAGGTCTAATGTTTAAATCTTTAATCCATCTTGAATTGATTTTTGTATAAGGTGTAAGGAAGGGATCCAGTTTCAGCTTCCTACATATGGCTAGCCAGTTTTCCAAGCACCATTTATTAAATAGGGAATCCTTTCCCCATTGCTTGTTTTTCCATTTGTTTGTATCCTCTTTTATTTCCTTGAGCAGTGGTTTGTAGTTCTCCTTGAAGAGGTCCTTCACATCCCTTGTAAGTTGGATTCCTAGGTATTTTATTCTCTTTGAAGCAATTGTGAATGGGATTTCACTCATGATTTGGCTGTTTGTCTGTTGTTGGTGTATAAGAATGCTTGTGATTTTTGTCCATTGATTTTGTATCCTGAGACTTTGCTGAAGTTGCTTATCAGCTTAAGAAGATTTTGAGTTGAGACAATGGGGTTTTCTAGGTATACAATCATGTCGTCTGCAAACAGGGACAATTTGACTTCCTCTTTTCCTAATTGAATACCCTTTATTTCCTTCTCCTGCCTAATTGCCCTGGCCAGAACTTCCAACACTATGTTGAATAGGAGTGGTGAGAGAGGGCATCCCGTCTTGTGCCAGTTTTCAAAGGGAATGCTTCCAGTTTTTGCCCATTCAGTATGATATTGGCTGTGGGTTTGTCATAGATAGCTCTTATTATTTTGAGATACGTCCCATCAATACCTAATTTATTGAGAGTTTTTAGCATGAAGGGTTGTTGAATTTTGTCAAAGGCCTTTTCTGCATCTATTGAGATAATCATGTGGTTTTTGTCTTTGGTTCTGTTTATATGCTGGGTTACATTTATTGATTTGTGTATATTGAACCAGCCTTGCATCCCAGGGATGAAGCCCACTTGATCATGGTGGATAAGCTTTTTGATGTGCTGCTGGATTCATTTTGCCAGTATTTTATTGAGGATTTTTGCATCAATGTTCATCAAGGATATTGGTCTAAAATTCTCTTTTTTGGTTGTGTCTCTGCCAGGCTTTGGTATCAGGATGATGCTGGCCTTACAAAATGAGTTAGGGAGGATTCCCTCTTTTTCTATGGATTGGAATAGTTTCAGAAGGAATGGTACCAGTTCCTCCTTGTACCTCTGGTAGAATTCGGCTGTGAATCCATCTGGTCCTGGACTCTTTTTGGTTGGTAAGCTATTGATTATTGCCACAATTTCAGATCCTGTTATTGGTCTATTCAGAGATTCAACTTCTTCCTGGTTTAGTCTTGGGAGAGTGTATGTGTCGAGGAATTTATCCATTTCTTCTAGATTTTCTAGTTTATTTGTGTAGAGGTGTTTGTAGTATTCTCTGATGGTAGTTTGTATTTCTGTGGGATCGGTGGTGATATCCCCTTTATCATTTTTTATTGAATCTATTTGATTCTTCTCTCTTTTTTTCTTTATTAATCTTGCTAGCGGTCTATCAATTTTGTTGATCCTTTCAAAAAACCAGCTCCTGGATTCATTTTTTGAAGGGTTTTTTGTGTCTCTATTTCCTTCAGTTCTGCTCTGATTTTAGTTATTTCTTGCCTTCTGCTAGCTTTTGAATGTGTTTGCTCTTGCTTTTCTAGTTCTTTTAATTGTGATGTTAGGGTGTCAATTTTGGATCTTTCCTGCTTTCTCTTGTGGGCATTTAGTGCTATAAATTTCCCTCCACACACTGCTTTGAATGTGTCCCAGAGATTCTGGTATGTTGTGTCTTTGTTCTCGTTGGTTTCAAAGAACATCTTTATTTCTGCCTTCATTTCGTTATGTACCAAGTAGTCATTCAGGAGCAGGTTGTTCAGTTTCCATGTAGTTGAGAGGTTTTGAGTGAGATTCTTAATCCTGAGTTCTAGTTTGATTGCACTGTGGTCTGAGAGATAGTTTATTATAATTTCTCTTCTTTTACATTTGCTGAGGAGAGCTTTACTTCCAAGTATGTGGTCAATTTTGGAATAGGTGTGGTATGGTGCTGAAAAAAATGTATATTCTGTTGATTGGGGGTGGAGAGTTCCGTAGATGTCTATTAGGTCCGCTTGGTGCAGAGCTGAGTTCAATTCCTGGGTATCCTTGTTGACTTTCTGTCTCATTGATCTGTCTAATGTTGACAGTGGGGTGTTAAAGTCTCCCATTATTAATGTGTGGGAGTCTAAGTCTCTCTGTAGGTCGCTCAGGACTTGCTTTATGAATCTGGGTGCTCCTGTATTGAGTGCATATATATTTAGGATAGTTAGCTCTTCTTGTTGAATTGATCCCTTTACCATTATGTAATGGCCTTCTTTGTGTCTTTTGATCTTTGTTGGTTTAAAGTCTGTTTTATCAGAGACTAGGATTGCAACCCCTGCCTTTTTTTGATTTCCATTTGCTTGGTAGGTCTTCCTCCATCATTTTATTTTGAGCCTGTGTGTGTCTCTGCACGTGAGATGCGTTTCCTGAATACAGCACACTGATGGGTCTTGACTCTTTATCCAGTTTGCCAGTCTGTGTCTTTTAATTGGAGCATTTAGTCCATTTACATTTAAAGTTCATATTGTTATGTGTGAATTTGATCCTGTCATTATGATGTTAGCTGGTTATTTTGCTCGTTAGTTCCTGCAGTTTCTCCCTAGTCTCGATGGTCTTTACATTTTGGCATGATTTTGCCACGGCTGGTATTGGTTGTTCCTTTCCATGTTTAGCGCTTCCTTCAGGAGGTCTTTTAGGGCAGGCCTGGTGGTGACAGAATCTCTCAGCATTTGCTTGTCTGTAAAGTATTTTATTTCTCCTTCACTTATGAAGCTTAGTTTGGCTGGATATGAAATTCTGGGTTGAAAATGATTTTCTTTAAGAATGTTGAATATTGGCCCCCACTCTCTTCTGGCTTGTAGGGTTTCTGCCAAGAGATCCGCTGTTAGTCTGATGGGCTTCCCTTTGAGGGTAACCCGACCTTTCTCTCTGGCTGCCCTTAACATTTTTTCCTTCATTTCAACTTTGGTGAATCTGACAATTATGTGTCTTGGAGTTGCTCTTCTCGAGGAGTATCTTTGTGGCGTTCTCTGTATTTCCTGAATCTGAACGTTGGCCTGCCTTGCTAGATTGGGGAAGTTCTCCTGGATAATATCCTGCAGTGTTTTCCAACTTGGTTCCATTCTCCCCATCACTTTCAGGTACACCAATCAGACGTAGATTTGGTCTTTTCACATAGTCCCATATTTCTTGATTTCTTGGAGGCTTTGCTCATTTCTTTTTATTCTTTTTTCTCTAAACTTCCCTTCTCGCTTCATTTCATTCATTTCATCTTCCATTGCTGATACCCTTTCTTCCAGTTGATCGCATTGGCTCCTGAGGCTTCTGCATTCTTCATGTAGTTCTCAAGCCTTGGTTTTCAGCTCCATCAGCTCCTTTAAGCACTTCTCTGTATTGGTTATTCTAGTTATACATTCTTCTAAATTTTTTTCAAAGTTTTCAGCTTCTTTGCCTTTGGTTTGAATGTCCTCCCGTAGCTCGGAGTAATTTGATCGTCTGAAGCCTTCTTCTCTCAGCTCGTCAAAGTCATTCTCCCTCTAGCTTTGTTCCATTGCTGGTGAGGAACTGTGTTCCTTTGGAGGAGGAGAGGCGCTCTGCTTTTTAGAGTTTCCAGTTTTTCTGCTCTGTTTTTTCCCCATCTTTGTGGTTTTATCTACTTTTGGTCTTTGATGATGGTGATGTACAGATGTGTTTTTGGTGTGGATGTCCTTTCTGTTTGTTAGTTTTCCTTCTAACAGACAGGACCCTCAGCTGCAGGTCTGTTGGAGTACCCTGCCGTGTGAGGTGTCAGTGTGCCCCTGCTGGGGGTTGCCTCCCAGTTAGGCTGCTCGGGGGTCAGGGGTCAGGGACCCACTTGAGGAGGCAGTCTGCCCGTTCTCAGATCTCCAGCTGCGTGCTGGGAGAACCACTGCTCTCTTCAAAGCTCAGATGGAAATGCAGAAATCACCCATTTTCTGCGTCGCTCACTCTGGGAGCTGTAGACCAGAGCTTTTCCTATTCGGCTGTCTTGGCTCCTCCCCCTGATGGAAATATTTCAATTAAAATATTTTAAAGAAAGCAATTCTTATTATCTTGGAATAAAATTAAAGAGATTGTTAAAAATGAATCTTGTGTTTGATTTTGATGTATCTCTACCTGCCTCTGGAATGGGAACTCTTTCTCTTGGGTGGTGGTGTTAGAGGGGAAATAATATCTTCTATCTTGTATCCCCAGGGACTCTACACAGAAGATTGGCAGTAAATATTTGTTAAATGAGTGACTGATTCCTAAAGCCTCACTCCTCTCAGTGCTTAGCCAAGAACCATCCAGAAAAGAAGGTAGAAGCATTCAATTCTTAATAAACAGCAATGTCCTATCTATCTTCCAAGGCTTTACTGAGGCACTGACTCTTTGCTCTTCTTTTCTAGCCTGATGTGCTTTAGTCTTTTTCTGCTATCTTTTATAATCTTCTATTGCTCAAAAGCAACAAGGGCAAGATGATTAACCAGACTTCAGTTCCTAGTCTTAGGTCTTAAGCCTTAAGTATGATTAAATCAGTGTGATATAATAAACATAATTTGGGGATAAAAATATCTAGCCTCAACTCTATTTCTGGTTGGCCAAGTGACCTTGAAAAAGTCACTTCCCTTCTCTGTTTTTCTGCTTCATTTGTAAAATGAAGGGTTTTTTGGCAGAGATAAGTTGTTTCCTGAATAGTAAAAATGAGACAATTTGCAAATGTATTTGGAGAATAATTAGGCCCTCTGCAATGAAATTATCAATAAAAAATGATAATTCTTGGAAACAATTAACTTCAGTTAAACAGTGATTTCGTCAGAACCCTCACGTGTTCAGGAAAATGGTGTGTACATTTATACACTCTCTGACATTAATTTATGATGCTATGGAAAAAGAGCATCTGTTGAAGTTTTGGAGAAAATCAAAATTGGTACTAATCTTCTATGGCAGAAAAATATGATCATGGTAATTATTGCATAATTACGATGCCCTGAATCTAATTTTAGCATCTGGGCAGAAGAAAAAATGAAACACTAATATAAAGGAAGAGCAAAACACAACTTTCCACTTTCCAAAGATAATGGAGCCATAAGAAATAAGATGATTGGGTTATAAAAGAACAAATCCTTATCCACAAGCCTCATTACAACCCCTCACCCCTAATTTTCTTTTGTGAAAAAAATGTTCAATTTTCAAACCAAAAAAAGACGAAGAATAATTATAACAAAAAAAACTTCAACTAAGTTGGTTTGGTTTCGCTGCTGTTGGTGAAAGATGCTTCTGAGCCAAGTTGGACCCAGCAGACATTTTTCTCTCTACTTTCACTGAATGGGGACTGATCTGCATGCTGATGTCCAGACACTGTTCAATATAAAAATACATTTATGAACCAAAAAGAAAACACACTGCATATTTGTTCCCATGGAGAAATAATTTCCTGATGCTCAGAATTGAAACATATTTGAACAAAAAGAGAAAGTTTGGGTGTAGATCAAGATATAGACAGAAGAACATGGTTTTAAATCTTTGATCCTCTTACGACCTATGAAATATTTCCAGCCTCAATTTCTTATCTGCAATATGGAATAATAATACTTATTCATAAAATCATGAAGAATGATTATAATGTGGGTAAAGCACCTATCAGTGTTTGGCAAGTAGCAGATATTCATTGTTCTTTTCCCCATTGAGAAATATTTATCTAAAGTAGAGCCTTCTAACCAACTGCCTGCATCAATATCACCTGGCATCCTTCTTGAAAATAGGGATGGCCGAACATGTAAAAAACAATGGAGGGAGGAGCCAAGATGGCCGAATAGGATCAGCTCCTATCTACAGCTCCCAGCGTGAGCGACACAGAAGACGGGTGATTTCTGCATTTCCATCTGAGGTACTGGGTTCATCTCACTTGGGAGTGCCAGACAGTGGGCGCAGGTCAGTGGGTGCACGCACCATGCGTGAGCCGAAGCAGGGTGAGGCATTGCCTCACTTGGGAAGTGCAAGGGGTCAGGGAGTTCCCTTTCCGAGTCAAAGAAAGGGGTGACAGATGCACCTGGAAAATCGGGTCACTCCCACCCGAATACTGCGCTTTTCCGACCGGCTTAAAAAACGGCGCACCACGAGATTATATCCCACACCTGGCTCGGAGGGTTCTATGCCCATGGAGTCTCGCTGATTGCTAGCACAGCAGTCTGAGATCAAACTGCAAGGTGGCAGTGAGGCTGGGGGAGGGGCACCCGCCATTGCCCAGGCTTGCTTAGGTAAACAAAGCAGCCGGGAAGCTGGAACTGGGTGGAGCCCACCACAGCTCAAGGAGGCCGTCCTGCCTCTGTAGGCTCCACCTCTGGGGGCAGGGCACAGACAAACAAAAAGACAGCAGTAACCTCTGCAGACTTAAATGTCCCTGTCTGACAGCTTTGAAGACAGCAGTGGTTCTCCCAGCACGCAGCTGGAGATCTGAGAATGGGCAGACTGCCTCCTCAAGTGGGCCCCTGACCCCCAAGCAGCCTAACTGGGAGGCACCCCCAAGCAGGGGCACACTGACACCTCACACGGCAGGGTACTCCAACAAACCTGCAGCTGAGGGTCCCGTCTGTTAGAAGGAAAACTAACAAACAGAAAGGACATCCACACCAAAAACCCATCTGTACATTGCCATCATCAAAGACCAAAAGTAGATAAAACCACAAAGATGGGGAAAAAAACAGAACAGAAAAACTGGAAACTCTAAAAAGCAGAGTGCCTCTCCTCCTCCAAAGGAACACAGTTCCTCACCAGCAACAGAACAAAGCTGGATGGAGAATGACTTTGACGAGCTGAGAGAAGAAGGCTTCAGACGATCAAATTACTCTGAGCTACGGGAGGACATTCAAACCAAAGGCAAAGAAGTTGAAAACTTTGAAAAAAATTTAGGAGAATGTATAACTAAAGTAACCAATACAGAGAAGTGCCTAAAGGAGCTGATGGAGCTGAAAACCAAGGCTCGAGAACTACGTGAAGAATGCAGAAGCCTCAGGAGCCCATGCGATCAACTGGAAGAAAGGGTATCAGCAATGGAAGATGAAATGAATGAAATGAAGCGAGAAGGGAAGTTTAGAGAAAAAAGAAAAGAAAGAAATGAGCAAAGCCTCCAAGAAATATGGGACTATGTGAAAAGACCAAATCTACGTCTCATTGGTGTACCTGAAAGTGATGGGGAGAATGGAAGCAAGTTGGAAAACACTCTGCAGGATATTATCCAGGAGAACTTCCCCAGTCTAGCAAGGCAGGCCAACGTTCAGATTCAGGAAATACAGAGAACGCCACAAAGATACTCCTCGAGAAGAGCAACTCCAAGACACATAATTGTCAGATTCACCAAAGTTGAAATGAAGGAAAAAATGTTAAGGGCAGCCAGAGAGAAAGGTCGGGTTACCCTCAAAGGGAAGCCCATCAGACTAACAGCGGATCTCTCAGCAGAAACCCTACAAGCCAGAAGAGAGTGGGGGCCAACATTCAACATTCTTAAAGAAAATCATTTTCAACCCAGAATTTCATATCCAGCCAAACTAAGCTTCATAAGTGAAGGAGAAATAAAATACAGACCAGCAAATGCTGAGAGATTTTGTCACCACCAGGCCTGCCCTAAAAGACCTCCTGAAGGAAGCACTAAAGATGGAAAGGAACAACTGGTACCAGCCGTTGCAAAATCATGCCAAAATTTAAAGACCATCGAGACTAGGAAGAAACTGCATCAACTAACCAGCAAAAGAACCAGCTAACATCATACTGACAGGATCAAATTCACCCATAACAATATGAACTTTAAATGTAAATGGACTAAATGCTCCAATTAAAAGACACAGACTGGCAAATTGGATAAAGAGTCAAGACCCATCAGTGTGCTGTATTCAGGAAACCCATCTCACATGCAGAGACACACATAGGCTCAAAATAAAAGGATGGAGGAAGATCTACCAAGCAAATGGAAATCAAAAAAAAGGCAGGGGTTGCAATCCTAGTCTCTGATAAAACAGACTTTAAACCAACAAAGATCAAAAGACACAAAGAAGGCCATTACATAATGGTAAAGGGATCAATTCAACAAGAAGAGCTAACTATCCTAAATATATATGCACCCAATACAGGAGCACCCAGATTCATAAAGCAAGTCCTGAGTGACCTACAAAGAGACTTAGACTCCCACACATTAATAATGGGAGACTTTAACACCCCACTGTCAACATTAGACAGATCAACGAGACAGAAAGTCAACAAGGATACCCAGGAATTGAACTCAGCTCTGCACCAAGCAGACCTAATAGACATCTACGGAACTCTCCACCCCAAATCAACAGAATATACATTTTTTTCAGCACCACACCACACCTATTCCAAAATTGACCACATACTTGGAAGTAAAGCTCTCCTCAGCAAATGTAGAAGAACAGAGATTATAACAAACTATCTCTCAGACCACAGTGCAATCAAACTAGAACTCAGGATTAAGAATCTCACTCAAAACCGCTCAACTACATGGAAACTGAACAACCTGCTCCTGAATGACTACTGGGTACATAACGAAATGAAGGCAGAAATAAAGATGTTCTTTGAAACCAACGAGAACAAAGACACAACATACCAGAATCTCTGGGACGCAATCAAAGCAGTGTGTAGAGGGAAATTTATAGCACTAAATGCCCACAAGAGAAAGCAGGAAAGATCCAAAATTGACACCCTAACATCACAATTAAAAGAACTAGAAAAGCAAGAGCAAACACATTCAAAAGCTAGCAGAAGGCAAGAAATAACTAAAATCAGAGCAGAACTGAAGGAAATAGAGACACAAAAAACCCTTCAAAAAATTAATGAATCCAGGAGCTGGTTTTTTGAAAGGATCAACAAAATTGATAGACGGCTAGCAAGACTAATAAAGAAAAAAAGAGAGAAGAATCAAATAGATGCAATAAAAAATGATAAAGGGGATATCACCACCGATCCCACAGAAATACAAACTACCATCAGAGAATACTACAAACACCTCTACGCAAATAAACTAGAAAATCTAGAAGAAATGGATAAATTCCTCGACACATACACTCTCCCAAGACTAAACCAGGAAGAAGTTGAATCTCTGAATAGACCAATAACAGGATCTGAAATTGTGGCAATAATCAATAGCTTACCAACCAAAAAGAGTCCAGGACCAGATGGATTCACAGCCGAATTCTACCAGAGGTATAAGGAGGAGCTGGTAACATTCCTTCTGAAACTATTCCAATCAATAGAAAAAGAGGGAATCCTCCCTAACTCATTTTATGAGGCCAGCATCATCCTGATACCAAAGCCGGGCAGAGACACAACCAAAAAAGAGAATTTTAGACCAATATCCTTGATGAACATTGATGCAAAAATCCTCAATAAAATACTGGCAAACCGAATCCAGCAGCACATCAAAAAGCTTATCCACCATGATCAAGTGGGCTTCATCCCTGGGATGCAAGGCTGGTTCAATATACGCAAATCAGTAAATATAATCCAGCATATAAACAGAGCCAAAGACAAAAACCACAGGATTATCTCAATAGATGCAGAAAAAGCCTTTGACAAAATTCAACAACCCTTCATGCTAAAAACTCTCAATAAATTAGGTATTGATGGGACGTATTTCAAAATAACAAGAGCTATCTATGACAAAGCCACAGCCAATATCATACTGAATGGGCAAAAACTGGAAGCATTCCCTTTGAAAACTGGCACAAGACAGGGATGCCCTCTCTTACCACTCCTATTCAACATAGTTGGAAGTTCTGGCCAGGGCAATTAGGCAGGAGAAGGAAATAAAGGGTATTCAATTAGGAAAAGAGGAAGTCAAATTGTCCCTGTTTGCAGACTACATGATTGTATACCTAGAAAACCCCATTGTCTCAGCCCAAAATCTCCTTAAGCTGATAAGCAACTTCAGCAAAGTCTCAGGATACAAAATCAATGTACAAAAATCACAGGCATTCTTATACACCAACAACAGACAAACAGAGAGCCAAATCATGAGTGAAATCCCATTCACAATTGCTTCAAAGAGAATAAAATACCTAGGAATCCAACTTACAAGGGATATGAAGGACCTCTTCAAGGAGAACTACAAACCACTGCTCAAGGAAATAAAAGAGGATACAAACAAATGGAAAAACATTCCATGCTCATGGGTAGGAAGAATCAATATCATGAAAATGGCCATACTGCCCAAGGTAATTTGCAGATTCAATGCCATCCCCATCAAGCTACCAATGACTTTCTTCACAGAATTGGAAAAAACTACTTTAAAGTTCATATGGAACCAAAAAAGAGCCCGCATCACCAAGTCAATCCTAAGCCAAAAGAACAAAGCTGGAGGCATCACACTACCTGACTTCAAACTATACTACAAGGCCACAGTAACCAAAACAGCATGGTACTGGTACCAAAACGGAGATATAGATCAATGGAACAGAACAGAGCCCTCAGAAATAACGCCGCATATCTACAACTATCTGATCTTTGACAAACCTGAGAAAAACAAGCAATGGGGAAAGGATTCCCTATTTAATAAATGGTGCCGGGAAAACTGGCTAGCCATATGTAGAAAGCTGAAACTGGATCCCTTCCTTACACCTTATACAAAAATCAATTCAAGATGGATTAAAGACTTAAATGTTAGACCTAAAACCATAAAAACCCTAGAAGAAAACCTAGGCATTACCATTCAGGACATAGGCATGGGCAAGGACTTCATGTCCAAAACACCAAAAGCAATGGCAACAAAAGCCAAAATTGACAAATGGGATCTAGTTAATTAAACTAAAGAGCTTCTGCACAGCAAAAGAAAGTACCATCAGAGTGAACAGGCAACCTACAGAATGGGAGAAAATTTTTGCAACCTACTCATCTGACAAAGGGCTAATATCCAGAATCTACAATGAACTCAAACAAATTTACAAGAAAAAAACAAACAACCCCATGAAAAAGTGGGCGAAGGACATGAACAGCCACTTCTCAAAAGAAGACATTTATGCAGCCAAAAAACACTTGAAAAAATGCTCATCATCACTGGCCATCAGAGAAATGCAAATCAAAACCACTATGAGATACCATCTCACACCAGTTAGAATGGCAATCATTAAAAAGTCAGGAAACAACAGGTGCTGGAGAGGATGTGGAGAAATAGGAACACTTTTACATTGTTGGTGGGACTGTAAACTAGTTCAACCATTGTGGAAGTGAGTGTGGCGATTCCTCAGGGATCTAGAACTAGAAATACCATTTGACCCAGCCATCCCATTACTGGGTATATACCCAAAGGAATATAAATCATGCTGCTATAAAGACACATGCACATGTATGTTTATTGTGGCATTATTCACAATAGCAAAGACTTGGAACCAACCCAAATGTCCAATATTGATAGACTGGATTAAGAAAATGTGGCACATATACACCATGGAATACTATGCAGCCATAAAAAATGATGAGTTCATGTCCTTTGTAGGGACATGGATGAAATTGGAAATCATCATTCTCAGTAAACTATCACAAGAACAAAAAACCAAACACTGCATATTCTCACTCATAGGTGGGAATTGAACAATGAGATCACATGGACACAGGAAGGGGAATATCACACTCTGGGGACTGTTGTGGGGTGGGGGGAGGGGGGAGGGATAGCATTGGGAGATATACCTAATGCTAGATGAAGAGTTAGTGGGTGCAGCGCACCAGCATAGCACATGTATACATATGTAACTAACCTGCACAATGTGCACATGTACCCTAAAACTTAAAGTATAAGAAAAAAGAAAATAGGGATGGCCTTTGAAATAGGAGAGTACCTCGCCTGATTTTTTCTTGTCCCATGACTTTCACAGGTAGCTGAACTATCTACTCAATAAGATTTTAAAAATATTTTCCTGGAGGAAGATTCAACTAGGACTCAATACTTTCATCACCAAATATTTTCACCAATTTCCTGTCATTCTCATGATCACATTCAGGATTTATGCAAATCAGGATGACCAGAGACATAAATACTCCCCTACACTATATTTAGCATGGGAAGACAGTTTCACATTCATTACCCTGAATAATGGGATAAAATAAGTTATGAGAATTTAGAATTCTTCAAAGTGATAAAACTAAGTTTAAAGATCAAAAGAACAAAGACTCTGAAGAGTTGTTCATTTTTTCTACTCTATCAATCACTAACCCAGCTTTCTCTATGTTTGAGACTTTTACTATCATATAAATTATAGAACATTTTGTGATTAGAAAACATTTTTAATAAAACCAGTAAAAATACACATATAAATTCAAATATATATAGATGCATACAAAAAGCAATTGCATTTATTCAAATCAATTTGTAAATAACACTAAGCTCTTGATAATATTTGTAGTTTGGGGTTCTTCCTGTTTCATTTTATTTTGCTTTTGTCTTGAGCAAGTGATTCCATTTTGAACAAAAGATGTCTTTTTAAAAATTTCTTCCATTCTTTCCTTCCACCCACCCAAGAGGTTGACTTTGTGGGTTTTCCTTCCTTTCACTCATCATGAGAAGATCCTTCACAGCAGAATCAGAAATTTAATACAGGGGCACTTTTTCAAATCTTACAAATTTTTTCCACATCTGCTTTTTCCCCCTTCGGGCTGATGTCTTTATCCTCAAGCATAAGTGACTGTCAACATCAGAAGTTATGAAGAGAAGGCAAAAAATTGATGTTGTTTTGGGACGAAATTGATTCTGATTCTTAAGAATATTTTTTTTTTTAGCATACACAAATTTCCCAAAAGAGACAGGAAATGTCACGAGCTTTAAACTCTTCTAAAATTGGCTGATACGATTTCCACTGTGAAATAACATCTTAAGCTTCAGTGGCAAATATTTGCTCCTGGAAATGGATGTCAGATTTGGATACACATGCTGGGATTCTGAACAGGGATACTCTGGTTGCACAGTCCATTCACAATAGACTTACTGAAGGAGAACGTTGGACTCCCTGCTCTCATCTGCTGGAAGGTCAGCTGCTGGCTCCCACTCACTGAAAAAAACGTGTTTTCTCTTGGTGCCAAAGTATTTAAAAGTTCCTTTAGAAGAATATGATTTCCCCCCTCCCCCACCCCTACTCCCACCTATGGTCTCTGACCTTTTCTTGGGCTCCATTAAAGGCAACTTTACATACTACTGTTAGAAAACTACACAAAAAGCAGGACTTCAAAGTTAAGCAGTGGTAACTTATCTTTTGTCTTGACCTACTTACTAAAAATAAAATTTCAAGGCCCTGAAAAATACAGCATCTTGCTTTGTTACTAGTCTATCTTGTCTTATTCATTTACTCATCCACTTATTCCATCATTCTTTCAATCAGCAAACATTCATCGGTCCACCTTGCAAGACAGTGTTAGGTCTAATGAAGATCATGATTATGGAGTGATTATGATGATGATTATAGTGGTGGTGTCAATCAAATTACTTGGATACCACTTCTCAGTCAATAGTGCACCCTATATACATTTTTGATTCTCACCACTCTCATTCTGTTTCTTCAAGCCTCATTAGCTCCATTACATAGATGAGAAAACATTGATTGATTGATTGATTGATTGACTGTGATGGGTTCTGGCTATGTTGTCCAGGCTGGACTCAAACTTCTGGGCTCAAATGATCCAACTGCCTCAACATTTTAAGTAGCTGGGAGTATAGGCATGTGCCACTACACCCAGAAAGAAAACTTTTACAGTCACACAAGAATTGAGTAAAGCAAAGATTTCAACTCACATCTCTTGCTCCAATGACTGTATTTTTTCACTATATGTAAAGGGATATAATAAAGAATGGCAGCCTTTGTCCTAAAAAATCCCTTAGTCAAATGGAATAAACAAAAACATGCACAGAAATAGTGGTAATAACTAGAAAAAAATACAGTGATTAAAATCATACTCATTTCAAGTATAAAAAATATTCAATTATATTCTATAATGACATGGTTTTTTTTTCTTCAATGTATACTCTTTTCATTTTACTCAGGTAACCCTTCTTAGTATTTCAGGAAATAATATTCTTATTCTTGCTCCACAGTCTTCAATTTTTCCTCTTTCTCATGTTTTAATTCATCAATAAAGTCACTGTTCTCCATGAATTCATTTCTTGCCTCATTATCTCAGCCCTCAAAGACTTCCTTTAGTACAGCACTTACACACTATACTACACAATTCGAACCCAGTGTCATCTTGCTTTTTATTTTTTATTTCTTCACTCAATAGCAATCACAGTGTGATGGGCCAGAAATAATCATAGCATATTACATTTTTAGATTGTAGATTGTATTCACATACATTATGTCATATAAGCTTTGAGTTAACTCTGTAAAGTAGCTTTGGTGACCCATGCCATACACATAAGGAAGTAAGGCTCAGAGCATTCAGGTAATTTGCCAAGATCATAAAATGATAATAACTTATTGATAAAGCTGTGAATAGTAAATAAGTCAATACACGTAAAACTCTAAAAATTGTGCCAGAGATTTGGTAAATAATAAATTTTAGGTATACAAGTAGAAATTCAGGAACATGAACTGAGGTTTCCTACAAGTTCTATTTTGCCTACAACACAACTCTGTATAAGTTCCCAACTTGCCCAAAACCCGGTGCTTGTTTTCAAATTCTATTTCCTAGAACCTTAATTGTCTGGTTTTTTCATGATGTAAATGGATTTTATCAGAGAACGCTAACATATGAATATTGTTTGCCATTCTCATGACCAATACACATAATAGGAAAGACTAATCAATCTTGGGACTCTTTGAATACCATATGTAGCCATAGAATGCCTCTCCATACAGCAGTCTAGGAATATACTACCAAACTACTATTATTGTCTTGTTAGTTAAAATCTACCTATGTCTAGACTGGAGGACTACAATGTCAATTTAAGCTTTGTGATTTCAGTTGTTTAATAAGTTTGGCAGATCTGGTTGACCTTAACAATATCTGTAATTACAGGAGTCTCTGATTAAAGTATATGAATTATTTGAAGGCAAAAACTATACCTTATATTTCTTTGTACCTGCAAAGTTCTCAAGTTATAATTGGGTGCATAGTAACTGTTCAAAGTATTCTTAATGAGGAACAAAATAAAGTAAAATAAAATAGAGTTTTTTCATTCAATAACAATCAACAGAAATTTATTGAATGGCAGGGTATGGCAAATTCTGGTTAGAATTTAGAAATACAAGATGTTCTCTACCTACATATAGCTTACGTGGAAGCAAATACTGACTAAATAATCTCAGAAGTTCATAATTTAATAGCAGAACAAAGAGGAGTTGCTGCTATCACAGAATAGATTGTTTCAAGCAAACATTCATGTCAATATATGAGTATGAATGGTGGGTGCTTTGTGAAAACATGATTGTGATTCTTGTGAAAAAATGACTATAAAGAAATGTTTTGACAAATGGGGATGTTTGAAGTCATTCACAAAGCAACCAAGAAATTTAGCACTGGAAGGGGCAAGATTCCATAAAGACACTCCCCTCAAGGCAGTTTTCAATTTCTAAATTATGCTGGGCCAAGAAGCCAAACAAAAGGTGGTCAGGTCCTTTCCACTCAGAGACACCATCCTCTATGGAAGAAGCTGTTTCTCTTTCTCTTCTCTCCTACCTATTAAAAACCTCTGCTCCGAAAAAATAAAAAAACAAAAAAACAAAAAAACAAACAGTAAGGGTAGCCCAGAACTCTCAGCAGTCTTATAAGACAAGGGAGAATTAAATTTGTGCTCAGAAGTGAGTTGGACTTTCTCTAGTGTTTTTACATGAAGGGACTTGACAATTCCTAGGATGCGTGAAGGCGAAGATCCAGTAGAAAGTGGCAACTAAGAAACTAAAACAGAAAAAAACATAAGTTAAATTATGGTGCTTGGAAGACAAAAACTGCAGTTCCGTTTTTAGTAAAGAGAAAGAAGCTTAGTAAACACTAGATTTTCAGTTAAGTTTCCTGAAAGATTGCATCCTATGAATGAGGACAAACTGGAAATAGATCAGCCTTTACTATGACTGAAAACCAGCCTTAAACTGTTCAATTCTTGATTGTTACAAGGTACTTCTCTCACTTTCTCAACCAATCAGAGAGAAAATTAAATGTTCCCTGAAAAAAAAAATAACATTTTTCAGAGCAGCTACTATTTTCCATAAACAATATTTGGCATTCAATAAAGAAAATACCAGGAATGCAAATAGTTAGAATCAAAAGCTGAAAACCAAGAGAATAAAAGGCAATAGAGGCAGATGCAAAAGTGAACCAGTTTTTTAAATTATTTAAAGCTCTAAAATTGGAAAATATTAAAAAATTTTAAATAACTGAATAGGATGTTTAAGAAAACAGATAATAAGATCAAGAATTTTACATGACTATTAGAAGCCATAAAATAAAATGGAAATCTGGAACTGAAAATTCAAATAAATTTATTATGACAAAAACATTAAATTGGTTAAGCAACAGTGTAGATGAAGTAAAACAAAGTAATTTAAGTAGCAGTTAGGTCTGTTGAAATTTTCCAATTGTACAACAAGGACAAAATGAGAATAAACAATGGAAAATAAAAAATTATGAAAATAAATTTTTTTAATAAAATTAAAAGTGAAAAGAAGAAATAAAATTACATAAAGACATGAGAGATAGTGAAAAGACCTGCTATATTTATAATTGGAGACCCAGAAAGAGAAAAGAAATAATACATGTCAGAAGCAATATGTGTGATCATATTGGCTGATTTTTTTTTTTTTTTGAAATTGATGAAAGTCATCAAACCAGAGATTCAACAGCCAACCACAAACCCCAAAAACCTAATAAAGAGTGAAATTGTTAAAAAACAAAAATGAAAGAAAAATCTTAAAAGCAGCAAGAAATAAAAATAAACTATCAAAAAAGATTAAACAATAAAACTGAGAACCAAAAACTCATGGGCATTGTTTACCAAAAAAGCAAGTATCCTCATGAACTCCAAAATACAAGCAAGTGAAGGCAAATCACCAGTAACCTGAATAGAATCAGCAACTAACTAGAAGAATCAGAGGGAAACAATGGGGTGACACTGAGGAGAATAGAATACTGGATAGCAAGGTAGGGACCAAGGCCTTTGACCCTTGAAGATTTGCTGAAAAAAAACATCAACTGGCAAAAGGCTGATTAATTGAAGAAAAAGTATTCAAATTTATTTAGCATTTATACATTGGAGTCTTCACCATGAAGATCCAACTCTCCAGTGGGATACAGAAGCTGGCATACCACCTTGGAGTTAGAGAAAAAAATGTGGGGTTGGTGCATGACAAAAAGTTTATGGTGGTAAATCAAGTTTTAATGGCAAGGCAGACTATGGAAGCAGGAGAGGCTCCATGCAGACCTAGGAAGTCACAGGCAGGCTTGGCCGGGAGGGACAGAGAAGACGTGGCTGGTAAAGGTGGTCTTGTTATATAGATGAAAATTCACTAGTAGCTGCCCTCAGAGAGAATAGATAGTAAAGTATTATTTTAGATCTTAAGGTGATAGACTCAGTTAATCTTTCCTACGTCTGGACAAGGAAAGGCCAGACTGCATTAATGCAGATTTTTTACAAATGCGTATTTCCCAGCAAAAGATGGCTTTGTAGGGCCATTTCTGTTTGCTGGCCCTCTAACAGGCATCTCAAAATATGTCAGAGAAATATGTCTTGGGTTAAAATGTTTTTATTTCTTTCAGCGAAGTGGGACAATTTGAAAATACCAGCTAAAACTTAGGTATTCTTTACCACTCCAGCAAACGGTGAGTGTGAAATGCCTGTTTTAAGGAGCTGGATTACTCTAGATTATATGAACTCTCAAAACTCACCAGCCAGAGTTCGTCTTCAGAGCAAGCCTCCACAAAGAGAAATATATAGAAATTGAATCAAAATGGAACTGAAGAACTGGACAGAGAGAGAGAAGAGAAGGTGAAGTTAAAAGCAGAAGAAGAGAAAAGAGCCATGAAATCCTTGAAGGCAGGCTCCCATATTTTCAAACACTACTTAAAACAGCAAAAAAGGAGATGAAGTTGAAAGTGTTACCCTGAACTGTAGTATCTTCTAAAAATCTATGTAAATTAACTTTACATAAAACCAACCAATAGAAAAATGTTGAAATCATATCCTATGCAAAGTGATCATAAGAAAAAAGTGGAACAAAAAGCAGATATTAAATCCCTAGAAACAATAAAATTATAGCAGAAAGTTGTGCACAATATAAAAATTATAATTTTATATTTCAAAACAAATTAAATATCTTAAAATTATAGAAGACATTAAAGAACTATATAAATCAAAGTTAGAAAAAAACCCAGATGTGAGTTGGGAAATCTGAAGAAAATTTAAAAGAGAAATTTAAAAATATTAATATAAAAAATGAAGACTAAACTGGAAAGATACACTAGAGTGAATAAACAAAATAGAAAATACTCAGATGTTTTGTTTTAACTTCCTATTGTATGAGTTTTGGAGACCAACATAAGATAATGACTTGCCTCTGGATATGAAAGTAAAAAAACAGACACAGGCCTATGTAGTGATTTCTTACAGAACAACACAGCAGAAAGCAAATCCCTAACAAACCATGTGGACGTGGCTTTTACAGATGGTTGTCCAATCCCTGCATGCTATTGCTTGCTTATGGATGAGTGAAAGGAATAAAAATTTTAAGTTATAGCTACAGTTTCTCTACCTGTACATTCCAATACTGACCTTGCATGGTTTCTTTGAGGGCTAAGTATGACAAAAGGATGCAGTGATTTCGAACTTAGATTTTAAAAAACAAATATGACTCTTTTGAACTGTGTGAACATAGGCACATTGCTGGATCTGAGTAATTTCATGTGCTAAGAGGGAATAATAGCATCAGCCTTAATGCTGCATTATTGCATTTAGCATTATTTCTTTCTGAAGATGAAAGAAGACAGACATCATTATATTTAACAAAGTGCCTGGCACATATAAAATAGTCAATAAATGTTATCTATCATTGCTATTATTACCTAATACTGCGCATAGTAAGCCCTGAACCTGTTCCTGGCATGTGGAGCCATGTACTATGTTCATGACATTAAACAAAGTAGTAGCTATATAATGAATATATAAATGTGACTTTTATTATTACATCCCTGTAGTTTTGGCAAGTAGTTTACTAAAAGGAAGTTCCAATTTTGACTTAGCATGGAGTTTGTTTTTATCCTGGGCATGTTATCTACCCAGCTTACCTTATTCTTCCTTTCTTCGAAACAGGAATCATGCTTGTTAATTGACTGGGATGTTGCAAGGCCTTATATCTGAGAAGTATATCATCAAGGAATAGAGAAGATGAGTCTTAGAGAGGAAATGGAAGCCCCTGTCAATTAGGAGAGGCAAAGGCTCTATGATACAGCATAGCCTAAGAATTTCGTTGATACAGAATTCTAAGTGTGAAACGAATGAATGGAGTGACCACTCCTCCCTACTAAAGAATCTTGTAAACACTAGTTTTAAAAGCACAAACGTATTATATCATATACCTATGTATAATGTCATTTTGCTACTTTTCTCTTCCAACTTCTCAAATCTTTGAATGCAGGGGTTTTTGGAGTTATTCCCTGTGTATTATTTCGACTGATATGTAATAGCTGCTCAGCGAATGTGTGTTGCTAAATAAGAGATGGAGTACAGACAAGCTGAAATTGCACATTTATGTTGCCATTGTACTGCTCAAAAAAAAAAAAAAATTAGAATTAGGGTTAAAGAGAGTGCTCAGGCCCTAGACTAGGATTTATTTGCTGTATAATAAACTTTATGCAAACAATTAACCTCCCTGCTTCTCAATTTTCTCCTCTATAAAATTGGGTTATTACAAAATTCTTTGTAACATATTATGGAGTTCAATTAGGATAAGTTAAATATTGGAAATCTGAAGCATTATGCAAATATGAGGCATTATTATAATAATTATAACAATATTGTTTTTATTCTTAATTGCTACTCTTGAGTACTCTGTTGCTCTGCAGATATCTCTCTCCCTGCCTTCCCCAGGGTGTTGGCATACCAGGATGCCTCTTTAGAAAAGAAATTGTACGATCGACCTAAGGAAACAGAATTTTCCATCCTGGCATTTGCATAAAGGCCACACATGCATAGCCATATGCTGATTTAACCAACAGCTTTCACACTTATAATCGAGTTTGCTACTTGTTCTGCGATATCTACTCTCCCTCTATTTCTTATTAATAGAACAAAATTTTAGTTGGGAATATGGCTACTGAGAATAAAGATTACCTTTCTCAGCTTCTTTGCGGCTAACTCTGATTATGTGTCTAAACTTTGGTGCATATTTTGGTAAACGGAAATTCTTAAAGGGAGATTCTCTACTTTCTTCCTGCTTGCTGGAATGCAAACATGATTGTTGGATTTGAGCAGCCATCTTATGCCAGGAGTTGGAAACCATGCAGGCAGATCCTGGTCATTAGCACTACAGACCTCTATACCAAACTGGATTTCTGTGAGACTCCAGAAGAAAGTAAGCAGCACAAGGAGTTTCTTCATGTATTCTTCATTTCCCACACCCCATTATACGTGCTTTTGCTGTAATCTGGAATCAGTTGTACTAATCTACTGCACATACCTAGATTCTATTGATAGTCTATTCCAGGATTGATAACTTTGAGCCCAGATAACTTGCAGTAAGATTTATAACAAGATTTCAAAAATATTCTTTCCTATACACCAAATAGTTTTGGTTAGAGAAAACAAAACTTTTGGCATAGCAACTTCATTTGTAGGAAGTTACCTTCTTAAAATTGTTTATCTGTGGACAGCTATGCTGCTATTAGTAGGGAATGGTTTCAGGCAAGAGGTTACAGAAGGATGGAGAGGGCCTGGGCTTTGGGGTTCCAGGGGTATGGAAGTCAGCAGAGCTGAGAGTAGTTCCCAACAGCCAGAGTGTCCATGGATCAAGCCCTTTTGTGAAGCTGGAGGTACCAGCGCTGGTCCAGGATGCGCAGCTGTAAAGTTGTGAATATATGTATTTGGTCTTTTTCCTTGTTTGCTGGCCTACAACTCTTAAAATCCTTGGAATCTTCAAAGTGATGTGTCTTTTTGTATGCTAATGAGTTGACTAATGGCTGGCAGCCTCTAGGTGGCTTCTGGATAAGAGCTGGTCACCAGGAAGACCAAGGCCAGATTAGAGGGTTGGGACATTCGGTCCTACTCCGCAACCACCATGGAGACAGTCTGAAGGTTAACTTGATCACCAATGGCCAATAATTTCATCAATCATGCCAGTGTAATGAAGCCAGCATAAAAACTCAAAAGGACAGGGCTCAGAGAGTTCCATTAGCTGAACATTGGAGGTTCCCACAAGTGGCATGCCCGGAGGGGGTTATGGAAGCTTCACACCCTTTCCCCATACCTCACCCTGTGCATCTCTTCATCTGTATCTTCTGTAATATCCTTTATAATACGCCATTAAATATAAGGAAGTATTTCTCTGAGTTCTGTGAGCCACTCTACCACATTAATCGAACCCCATGGGGAAGCTGAGTAAAGTTTCAAGTGGAGTAAAATTGCTGATACCGTGACCATCAGGTCAATGTTGCTGGAAGCACAGGTAAAACAACCTATGGCTTGTGATAGCCATTGAAAGTGAGGCTCAGTTTTGTGAGACTGTGTCCTTAGCCTGTGTGATCTGATACTATCTCAAGGTAAGTAAAGTCAAAATTGAATTGAATTAGAGGGCACCCAGCTGGTATCCACTGCAGAAGTGATTGCTTGTTTGTTGGTTGGGAGAAATTCCCACACATCTGGTGTCAAAAGCATGTTGTGAGAGTATGGTGGGAGAGACAACAGTTTATTTTTTCTCCACAGAACAGCTCATTCTACTTGGCCACACAAAGTAGAGAAGAGATTGTGTCCATGGGAGAGGAGGTCCAAATTGAGAGAAAGCTGGGGCAGGAGCACCCCTGATTTCTTTCTGTTTCTGACTCCCAGTAATAGGTACTAACAAGATGACTGCTAAGTAACAATTGCTTTTAATGGAATAACATAATTGTAGGCCCTGTTCTGTTGCTGACTTGGGCAAGTCATTTTACTTTTCTAGGGCTCAGTCTTCCAATCCCTATAATGGAACTGAAAATAACATTTACTTCTAGGATGGTATTAGGATGGAATAAGATAATGCATTAAAATATACTTTAAACCTCTAAAATCCTGTATATGTTTACATGGTTTAAATAAAGAGAATTTGTCTATATATTTCTGTGTTTAAAATATGCAAAGGTACTAACATTTTTGTGTCTATGGAGCAGTATTCATTTTTTGCACTGTGTAATGGTTATAATTCATTTCATTTCCAGAGACAGGAAACCTAGTAATTTAAGTTAAAGAGACAGTGTCTTATAATGATGTAGAGCAATTAAGCGAAAGCTAAGAGAAGTATCTGGAACCAGAGACAAGTCTGTCCTCAAGACCTCCTTTTTATCCTCATGCTTCTCTTCGTATCTCTGTCTTCTCTTTCACTTTTTTTTTTTTTTTTTTTCAAATTTCTTTCCTTTCCTTCTCTGGTCCAAATGGTGAAAAATATAGCTAATCCAGTGGTTTCCATTTTTATATTTTATCTCTTACAATCCGCAAGATATACATTTCAATTTTAAAGCTGAATTGAATAAAAATTTGATGACTGAATTTGGAACAAGTGCCTACTCCTAAACAAATCAACTCTGGGATCAAGTAACATTGCTGATACCATGACCATCATGTCAATATTGTCAATGAATGGGTCATTCCCAGAAAAAGAGGGACCCTGCTACTGTGTTGACAAAATAATAGGAACTCATTAAATATGTAACTTTTTTTGTGCACTAAAATGGTTAAATTTGGTGGTATAATTATATGTTTATTCCCTGGGACTCAATATACTTAAAAAATTACTACTAGCCAAATTTAATTACAATGTGAGTCCTCAAAACAATGTTCAAATCCAGATTAAAAAATCATTGTTAAATTAAGATTTAATTCGTATGACAAAAAATTAGCCCTTTTAAAGTGAACAGTTCAGTGACATCTAGTACACTCAAAGATGTTGTGTAACCATAACCTCTATCTAATTCCAAAACATTTTCATCACTCCAAAATAAAACCCTGTAAGCATTACCAAGTTAATTGCCATTTCTTCCTACTTTCTGTTTTTATGGATTTATCTACTGTGGATATTTTATTTAAATAGAATCATACAATATATGACCTTGTGTCTGGCTTTTTTTTATTTACCTTTATATTTTCAAGATTCACCCATTTTGTAGCATGCATAAATACTTTATGACTTTTTCATGAATGAATATTTCATTATGCGTGTGTGTGTGTGTGTATTGTTTCTCAGTGTGCATATGTGTGTGTGTGTGTGTGTGTGTGTCTGTGTATTGTTTCTTCATTCCATTCATTGATGGACATTTGAGTTGATTCCAACTTTTGGCTATTGTAAATCATGCTGCTATAAATATGCATGTGCAAGTATTTTGTGAGTATCTGTTTTCAATTTTTTGGCTATATACCTAGAAATGAAATTGTTAGAACACATGGTAATTCTCTCTTTCCCTTTTTGAGAAACCAGTACAGTGTTTTACAGAGTGCTTGAATGATTTTACATTCCCCGCAGCAATGTATGAAAGTTCTAATCTCTCTACATCCTTGCTAACACTTGTTGATTTTTGTGTTTCTGATTATAGACACTTTAGTGGGTGAGAAGTATTACTGCATTGTGGCTTGGGTTTGCATTTCCATAGTAACTAATGATGTTGAGAATATTTTCATGTGGTTCTTGGCCATTTGTATATCTTTTTTAGAGAAATGTATATTTAAGTTCTTTGCCTATTTTTTAATTGGCTATTGTTTTATTGTTGTGTTTTAAGAGTTCTTTATATATTCTGTATAGTAGACCCTTATGAGATACAAGATTTGCAAATAATTTTCTACATTCTGTAGGTTATTTTCACATTCAGATAATGTTCTTTGATGCATAAAGGTTTTAAATTTTGAAGTCCAATTTATTAATTTTTCCTTTTGTTATTCATGTTTTTGGTATGGTATCTAAGGAATCATCGTCAAATCTAAGCTGATGCAGAATTACTCTATGTTTTCTTCTAAGAGTTTTATAGTTTTAGTTCATATATTCAGGTTGTTGACACATTTTTACCTTAATTTCTGTATATGATGTGAGATGAGTCCAATTTCATTCTCTTGCAGTTGTCATAGCATCATTTGTTAAAAAGTCTATTCTTTCTCCATTGAATGATCTAGAAATAATTGTCAAAAATCAATTGGCCATAGATATATGGGTTTATATCTGGAGTCTCATCTCTATTCCATTAGTCAATATATCTACTCTTATGCCAGTTACACACTGTTTTGATTGCTGTATGTTTTTAGTATTTTTGAAATCAGAAAGCATGCGTCTTCCAACTTTGTTCTTATTGTTCAAGATTGTTTTGATTATTTGGGATGTTTCACAAATAAATTTGAGAATCAACTTTTCCATTTTACAAAAAACATTGTTAGAATAGCAGTAGAGATTGCACTGAATCTGCAAATAGCTTTTGGTGGTATTGCCATCTTAACAATATTAAGTCTTTCAATCCATAAACATGGAATGTCTTTTCATTTACTTAGAACTTCTTTAATTTCTTTCAGTAATACTTTAGAGTTTCTGGTGTGCAAATCTTTCACTTCCTTAGTTAAATTTATTTTATTTTTGGATGATATTAAAAGTAGAATTTTTAAAACATATATTTTTCTTGGACTGTTCATTGTTGGTTTTTAGAAACAGAACTGACTTTTCTGTTGATCCACTTTGCTAGATTTTTTTGTTAGCTCTAATTGTGTGTGTGTGTGTGTGTGTGTGTGTGTGTGTAGACTTTGAGATTTTATGTATGTTACTCTATCATGTCATCTTCAAATAGAGATAATTTTACTTTTTTATTTCAAATTTGGATAGCTTTTATTAATTTTTCTTGCCCAATTGTTTTGGCTAGAATTTTCAGTACAATGCTGAATTGCAGTGGTGAAAGTGGTCATCTTTGTTTTGGACCTACTGTTAGAAAGTTTTCAGGTTTTCACTATTAAGTATGATGTTAGCTGTGACTTGACTTTTTCATAAGTCCCCTTCTTCATGTTAAGAAAATTTTCTAAGTGATTTTTTGTTATCATGAAAGGATGTTGGATTTTACAAAATGTGTTTTCTGTGTCAAGTTAGATGATCACATGCATTTTTTCTTTTTTCTATTAATATGGCATATTACATTAATTTTTTATATTGAAAAACTCTTACATTACTGGGACAAATCCCATCTGCTTATGGCATTTAATTATTTTAATATGCTATTATAATTGGCTTGCTAGAATTTTGCTGAGAATTTTTGCATTTATATTCAAAAGATATATTAATCTCTAGTTTTATTTCCTTGTGATATCTTTGTCTGGTTTTGGTATAAGGATAATGCTGGCTTTATACAATGAATTGAGAATTGCTCCTTCATCTTCTTCTTATATATTTATTTGCCAGAGTTTGAGAAGGATTGGTGTTAATTCCTTTTTAAATATTTAGTAGAATTCACAAGTGAAGCCATCTGGTCCTAGACTTTTCTCTGTTGGGAGGTTTTTGATCATTTATTCAATTTCTTTACTTGTTATATGTCTGTTTAGATTTTTTATTTCTTCTTAAACCAGTTTTCATAATTTGTTTATTTCTAGGAATTTGCCCATTTCACTAGGTTATCTAAATTATTACTATATGGTTGCCATTGTGTTTTCTTATAATTCTTCTATTTCTGTAAGGATGATAGCAATGTCTCATTTTGGTTTTTGATTTTAGTTATTTCTGTCTTCTCTCTTCTGTTCTCAGTTTAGCTAAAGGTTTGTCAATGTTGAAAATTTCAAATAACCAACTTTTAGGTTTGTGAATTCTGTTGTTTTTCTACTTTATTGTGCTTATATTTGCTGTACTCATTATTATTCCTCTCCTTCTAGCTTAAGTTTAGTTTGCTTTTATTTTCTAGGTTTTTGAGGTGTAAAGTTAGGTTTTTGATTTGAGATCCTTCTCCATTAATACATGCATTTAAAGTTATACATTTTCTTCTGAGCACTGCTTCACTGCATCCCATCAGTTCTTGTAGGCTGTGTATTAATGTCCATTTTTCTTTAAATATTTTGCATTTTCTTTTTGATTTCTTTTTTTCTTTTTTTTTTTCAACTTGTATTTTAAACACAGCTGGTACATATGCAGGTTTGTTGTATTGGAATATTGCATGATGCTGAGGTTTGGAGTATGGTGTTATGAGCATAGTACCCAAAAGGTAGTTTTTCAACCCATGTTCCTCCCTTTCTCATCCTTCTAGTAGTCTGCAGTGTTTATTATTCTCATATTTATGTCCACGTGTGATCAATGTTCAGCTCCCACTCCAACGATTTATGTAATGAACCACTGTCAAATAGTGGCTATTTAAGAGTGTGTTGTTTAATTTCCATGTATTTGTAAATTTTCCAGTTTTCCCTCTATTAGTGATTTCTAGCTAACTTATATTGTAGTTAAAGAAGATACTTGGTAGGATTTGAGTCTTTTTAAATTTCTTGAGACTTACTTTTTGGACCTAATGTATGGTCCACCCTGGAGAAAGTTCCACATGCACTTGAGAATAATGTGTATTCTGTTATTCTTGTGTGCAGTATTATATTTGTCTGTTACATCTGGTTGGCTTATAGGGCTTTTCAAGTCTTCTATTTCTTTATTGAGCTTCTGTCTAAATGATTTATCATCTATGTAGATGATCTATCATCTATCTAGATAATTTTTTTTTTACCTGGATGATATATCTATTATTAGAGTTGGAGTATTATAGAACTGCCTATTACTTTCTTCAGCTCTTTCAGTTCTTTTCAAACTTATGATTTTTTTTTTCAGTAAAGAGACCAGTTCTTTTTTTTTTAACCCAGCCTAGGACAAAGCTGAAAACAGACCAATTATTTGCGGACCTTGCCCCCATATTTCTCATTATATCACTCTAATATATTTAACATTGATTTTTTTAAAATGTGGCAATAGTTTTTGTTTTTGTTTTTGTTTTTAATTTGCCCTTATATTAAGCAAGTAGTTGTTCTTCACTGGTCGAGCTACATAACACAGGATAGCCTTTCCAGCCTTCCAAGTGGATGTATTTCTGCTCTCTATTAATTACACTAAGTGCAGTAACATGGTCCCGCTTTTAAGCGAGGCAATTCTTAATTTACAGCTTTTCTCACCAGAAAATTCTTGCTCATGATGACTCAAAAGTAGGCCCTCAGTAAGTTGGTGTTTTAGTCCTAGCTTTAGGTTCTGGCATCACATGAAATAATCACCTTTTAAAAAAAAATTCCTTCTAAATTCTGAACTTAGGTATTACGGTATAAGCATAGCCTTTCAGGGACACAGGTGAAGAAAGTTATTGAACTGGCATGAGAAGGAACACAACAATGTCTTGTCATTAATAATCAAAAATATTCTACCTTTATCAATGAATTCAGTTAAATACAAGATAAGCCATGTTTAGTAATAGCATTTTTCTAGGTAGTAGTAAATGAAAAATAAATAAGAAAGGTGTATGCTCTGACCTTGATAAACTCTCATTCTATTGCAGGAAACAGATAAATGACAGAGAAAAACAACACTATGTGATAAACTCTGTAATAAACTCAATGTTTAACATGTTGCCTTGGAGATAAGGATACAATAGCAATTCTTCCAAGAGAAAGACAGTTAGAGAGAGATTTAAAGAAGAGGTCATAGTCAAGTTGGGTGATCTCAAGTTAGACAAGGAAGGAAAGGGAATGTGGGCAGAGAAATCAGCCTGCAAGAAGATATAAAAGTGGGAAAATGCTGTGTTCTTTAGGTGCAATAGGCAGAATAAAGACCACTGTTCCTCAAAGCTGCTCATGACCTATTGCACAAAGCCTCTGAATATGTTACCTTATATGACAAAAGGACTGTACAGATACAATTATGATAAAAATCTTAGAACAATAAGATTATCCTGGATTTTTTGTGGACTCCATGTATTTACAAGCATCCTTATAAAATAAGAGAAAAACAGCAAGATACGATCAGAATTGCAGAAAGATTTAAAAATGCCATGCTGCTGTCTTTGAAGAGGGGGAAGTGGGGCCATGAGCCGAAGAATTCAGTCTCCAGAGTCTAGAAAAGGAAATTAAACATATTCTCCCTTAGGGTCTCAAAAAGAAACCCAGCCCTGCCTGCACCTTGGTGTTTTTAGTCCACTGAGACTCATGATGGACTTCTGACCTGTGGCTTAATGAAATAATTAATGTGTGTTGTTTTAAGTCACTAAGTGTGTGGCAATTTGCTATAGCAGCATTAGGAAACTAAAATAGTGGGAATAAGAGGATGGCTGCAGTGTAGAATGTGCATGTGTGTGTTTATGTGTTGGAGTACAGAGGAAAGGAAGGTGAGAGATGATGGCAGAGCAACGAAAGACTGGAATCTATTGCAAAGGAATTTGATAATATGTATGGAATTAAGCAGTCTGAAATTTTATCCTTAGAGAAAGTGATCCTGAGCATATGATCCCATGTATAGAAGCTACCATTTCATTGGCTCATTGGCCTGGTTTTGCCTGAGTTTCATATTCGGAAACTATAAATCTTATCTTTCTACCTAGATTAAACTCCAGGTACAAATCTTGGGTTGTCTTTTCACTTTGGCATCCACTATTATTCCAACACACACACACGTCCCTCATTATAGTCTCCTGAATACCATTCTTTTAGGGCTTATTGAGCATTTTAGGGATGATAAGTGGTAATCTGTTATAAAAATAAAGCCACAATCTTTCATAAATGCTCTAAAACAAAAAAGTGTGTTTCTGTGAAAGAGATTAATGAGGAGCTCTTCATTAGATTCACTAGATAAAGGTGTCTTTAAGGTCTCTTTGCCTCTCTTCTGCCTCTAGCTTCCTGAGTCACTCACATCCTCTGTTTTTATTTCCTCCTTCATCATTTTGGTTGGAGGAAGTGGTCAGAACTATGACAGAGGGGTCAAGAAGGTGCATTAACATTCTATCTTTATCTTCTTAACCCTAATCCAGCTCATGTACTCATAATTCCGTTGTAAAACAGAAGCCTGGGTATATGCATGGCTAGATTCACCAATCATGTTAGTTGTTAAAGAAACTCTCAAAATAGGAAACAGACCACCAAAAATTAGGCCTGGGAGAAGAAGGAGAATATGAGGTACTAGAAGTTCTTGGAAACATGAAAAAGAGGCTTTTTGGATGTCAGCAGGGTTTCTCTGGACTTGGAATCATCCCTCTGCTGTGTATGACATTGCAAAATGCAGTAAGAGTTTCACAATCACCGTGTGGTTTGCTGTGAAGTCACTGGCGGCCTCTACTCCCGAAATCACTTCCCAATGAACACTTTGATCCTCTATGATATCAGTCTCTTGAGCCACTAATTGCTTCCAAGTGAATTTTGGCTTGCCAAGAGTCTGGGTGGTGTCTCCCATCTGATACAGTTCTTTGCACTTACATATTTGTTTGCTTCCAAATTCCTCTGAACAGTTTATGAACAGAAATCCTCCCAACACACCCGAGCTGAAAGATATGCAATTGTCTTGAAAATGGAGTATCAGTTCTTTCTTGCTACAGCAGCCAACTCCTGGGGAAATATACTACAGACGCAAGTTCCTAAAACTTAAGTTTTTCATCTCAAGGGAAATACATATCTACCTCTATAAATTTCAAGGTAATTGTATTAGAAAAAATGTGAGAGATGTAAAAAAATCACTGGAGGAAGGTGGTTATATAAGTCCCAAAACTTTCAACACTCTAGAGACTTGGAATTCGTTATTTAACTATCACTATCTTTCTTCCTCATGCCTACCTCCAACCAATGATTCTGTTAATTATGCTTCCTGAATTCTGAGTTCTCCAATATGCTGTGTTTCTTCCCACTTTTCCCTTCCTGCCCTTCTTTCTTCAATACCCCTCCTCTAAGATACATCACTTTTGATCTCCCCTAGAATTGTGAATAGTTTCTCAATTTCTAAACCTTCTTCTATTCATAATTTCAAGTGTCGTATTTGTATCTGTTAAATGAGCATACTAATCCTTATTTCTGGTGGTGGCTGTAAAGATTACATAAAGCAAACTTCAGTGTATCCGTGAAAACCCCTAAAGTATATCCTGGCATATAAACTTAGCTCAGTAAATGTTTTCTTCCCTCCTAGTTTCTGAGGATCGTCTTCCCCAACTCAGTCAGCCAGACTTGCCTTTCTAAGACAGAAATTTGACTATCTCACTACACTTTAAAAAAATCAACGGCTTGTTATTGCTCAAGTGATGAAGTTCAAACTGGCATGGCAGGGTCTTTACTGACTACAGTCTGTCTTGCTGCTCCTCTCTGCTCTGACTCTCCATTTGACATCCCCATTATAATCACTGCAAGTTATTTTTAAATGTCAAACTTGCTCATTTTTCTGTGCCCTTTGCACATGCTTTTCCCTCTGCCTCTAATGACGGAAATGTCTCATTGCCTTATTTAAGGAAATGCCTCTATTTCACCACTGGTTTGCCATCTCATCCTTCTGTCTATCTTTGTAACTTCTTCACTTAGCAAATTCACTCATCTTTTAGATCTTCAAGTTAATCTCTCTTCCTAGGTCTTCTCAAAACTCTTAAGCCCTGCCAATCGCCCATTATGTTTGCAGTGTTTATTATTGCCAAGATACTTAGCACATTGAGTTATCCTTGCTGGTTTGCATTCTGAGTTTTCAACCAGACTGAGAGCTCCTGGTGCACCAGGAGCTGTTTTGTTCAACCTTGTTTTATTATAATGTTGATCAGAAAAAAAAAATTGAGGACTGGCTAGGACCACTGTCTGTGTGGAGTTTACACATTCTCCCATTGTCTACATGGGTTTTCCCTGGATATTCTGGTTTCTTCTCACATCCCAAAGTTGTGCCATTAGGTTAATTGGCATGTCTACATGGTCCCAGTCCGAGTGAATATGGGTGCGTGTGTGAGTACGCCTTGAGGTGGATTAACATTCTAGCCAGGGATGGCTCCCACCTTGCACACTTAGTTGCCAGGGATAGGTTCCAGCCGCCCACATGACCCTGAACTGGAATAGTGGGTTAGAAAATGAGTGAATGAATACAAATTATTATAAGATAAAGATTCCTAAGGTATGTAATAGTCATACAAATGCACAACAGTAAACAAACAAACAGTGAGGGACAAAAAGCACTCAGAGGGCTGTCAGAATTACTGTTTTTGAATTTTGTGGTGGTAGGAGGGAATCCTTAAAATTTTTGTTTTGCAAACATTTATTCCTTGACTTGACCAACATCCACTAAAACCACTGTTACTCACTGATTCACCAAAAATGAGGTAAATAATAATTATCTTTCTTGTTTTTGTTAATCTTTTACAAATGTATGTGTATGTATAGCTCACATTTATTTCAATGTTTAATATCAAAAGTGTTTTTGGCCTTTATTTAGAAGCTTGGTTATATTTTTGTGACCAGAAATGCATCATTGGAACTTAGCTCTTGTTTATATCAATTAGCCTACAGTAAATTGGTTTCATTATACATTGTTTTGCTAAAAGTTGCAGTTTCTAAGAACCTATTGAAGCCATTAAGTGAGGACTTACTGTACACATCTTTATTTTATACTAGTTCATTCATTCATTCATCCAATATATATTGAGTATCTGTCATCTATCAAAAAGTATGCTAGGCTCTGTGGAAGATGCATAGATAAATAAAAATAGATCCTGCTGTCAGGAAATTTACAGTTTAGTTGGGAACATAGCGAATGTTTCACATACCTAGAACAGAAATTGAAAGTGTCAAACAAGTTTCAGAAAGAGAAACATAAAGCTCTCCAACTGTTAAAAGAGACACATTGAGTGATCCTTATCAACCAGCAAGTGGTCCTGAGTCCTAACACAGTTTCCATTCCATCTATTATTGTGCCAGAAACCAATATTCTACTGGCTTAGAGGATGTCAGCCTATACATGGGATATCTTGGCAATAATCTACAGGAAAGTGACAGGAGAGATTTGTTTCAATCCTAGAGAAAGGACGATATATTATTCATCTTGTTTACCTTTTGGACTCAGTAAAGTCTGGACCATTGTGAATAGTTAAATGTGTTTTTGTTGAAATGGCTTAAAGTGTTTATTTAATGAGATCAATGTGTAGTTCTAACGCAAATAATTTAAAGATTTAACTTGCTTTGAATTAGTGACATTGTCAAATTTTAAAAGCACAGCCTTAATGCTCCAGTCTTCATTTGTTCTTTCGTGTAATTATTTTCATTCATTCATTTAAGTATGTATGTATTTGTTTATGCAGTCAGACAATAAATACTCATTAAACTAGCTCTTTTTACTCTCTGCCTTTAATTGCCCTCTCTTTCTCATGGATTCATTTTTATTCCCAAATAAATTTTAAGCTCTCTTAGGGCAGGGACCTAGCCTCTCTCTAACATTGAGCTAAGTAAATATTCAATACTAAAAATTTACTTGGTAATTTCTGCTCTCCTCTTAACTGTGACAAGCAGCTCATGCCACAAACATATATTAAATGAATTCTTATTTATAACAATTAAAACTGATCAGATGGACCCTTTTCTGTTTCATCTCCATGGAAACTTTTATTTTGCCTGGCTGTGGATGAGGGAGGTGCACAGTGGCGATGACCTAACCTTGGAAAAACTCTCATTTCAGGTTGGAGCACTTACTCAGAAGCTCTGGCGTATAGGAAGCTCCCAGCACAGGGAACTTTAGAAAACTCATAAATGCAGGTCTCCAGATGCCAGAAGATTAAACAAATGCCAGCTTCACAAGGCCATGCTTTTCCAGCAGAAGAGAGATGCAATGTAAACAAAAAACTTGTAGGTAAAAATAAAATTTTGGAACAGAAAGAGGACACAAAATAAGGATTTAAGGCTGACAGAATGGGAGGAGAAAAAAACAAGAATTCAATATACCAACCAAGCAAAAAGGCTGCAGAGAAAGAAGTGAGTCCTTTGCTTCCTGATTCAAGGGGTCCAGTGACAGAGCATTCAATCCAGTCTAACAAATATTTATTAATGCTGAGGTGGAACTCGAGAAAGTGGGTGGGAGAGGAAGGTGGAATTGGGAGTGGATTTTGACTGTGGGAATGGGAGGTTGGGGAAAGAAACATTATTTACATTGTGCCAATTTTTCTATATATTTAATGCTAGTGAGGACTTACAGCAAAACTTTGAGACAGGCAATGTTATCCTTCATTTAGTAGGTAAGAAAGCCAAGACTTGGGGGTCAAGTAACTTCTCCAATCACATCTACACCGTTAATAAATGCCAGAACCTATTTCCAAATTTATGTGCATCTGATTCCAAAAATCTATATCCTACCCCCTACATTATTTTATCCCTATGCCTCATTCAGAGCAGTGTGATGGAGTCTGAGGATGGGAATATAACAAAGGAAGCAATGTAGGCCTTACATTTTAAAGTGTTCTGAACTAATAAGGGAAGAAAGGCATGTAGACAATGAGCCATATCACGTGATAGAATAAAATATGGGCTTGGCTAGATATAAACGACGTACTGAGGATGACAGATAAAAGAGCATTTCATTGATATTTCTGTAAGGGATAGTATGTACTCTCTAGTACTTACTAGATATGATGTTATTGGACCTGAATGCAAAGAAAGATATTGAATCAAGCTTAATAGGTTAAGAATTAAGGGACAACCATCATGCACAAAGAAGGGGAAGGGATTATAATGCATGGACAGAAATAAAGTTGAAAAAAATGCTTGCAGTTAGATCATGGAAATTCTTGAATACAGCCATAGGCAGTTTGGACTCAGTACTTTGCACGATGGAGGTCAATAGGAGATATTAATATTTGGAGAAGGAAGATAAGTGATCTGTTGTATTGATATCTGGGGAAAATCATTATTTAAAAAATAACCATAGCTTACTTTGAATAGGTGCTATAGAGTTTGGGGAATTATACAAGTATCTTTTCCTTCAAATTCCCATATTGTCTCTTAGCTAGATGGCCTGGAATTTTCTTCCTTTGTATTTAAAATTTGTAATAAGTAATCTAAGAATACAAACTAGAAGTTTTATTAATGTGTCTTCTCATGCATCACAAACCCAGAAGAAATGTCATAAACCTCCACATCTTCTCTACCTACCTGGGAAGAGCAATATTTTAATAATGAGGAGTATGGAAAAAGGTGGAGAAGAGGGCCTAGCTACAATGGCGTAGGTTCAGAATCATGACTGTGGTCTTTAGAAACCCTAAAAGGAATAAAGGTAGGCATCCCAGTCCTAGAGAAACTGGAATATCAGGCAGGTAGATAGGTATCAGACATTTACAAAATTCATACCTTGGATCCACAGTCTAGAACTTAGGGCAAAATTTGGAATAGAATCCAGAGCTTGACTTCCCTGGTAATAGATGACCAGGCCATGAGATTATTTTTCTTCTCACAGGGAAAAACTGGTTACAAAGAATGAGATGAGGTTAAGTCTGCTAGCAAAGCAGAATAGTTCCAGTTTTATAGTCAGATAGCCAAGGGATCAGAAAATGTGGCTAATTTATGCAATACAAAGAGACATCACAGGTTGTGTTTGGGGAAGTCAAAGGTCTATTGGAGTACTTAAATTTGAGAGAAGGCAATGAGTATCAGTTTTTCTAATAGGAATTTCTAGTGAAACAACAACAACAACAACAACAACAAATCGATATTAGGTTGTAAAGTAGGAGGTCAAGCAAAGCTCTCAGTAGCAAATAGATGTAGCCTTGATTACTGTCTTTCCCTTTGACTTGATGTGTTATGTTGATCTAGACAGAAAAGCTGTCTGAACCTTTATTCATTAATATGTGAAATGGTAATAAAGATGACTACTTCATAAACAGACTATGAGGATTTCAATAAAATAGTTTACCTGAAATGAAGATAAGCTGTCTGTGACAAGCAGGCTCTAATATGATACCCACCTGCTAGTGTTTATGCCTGTATGTGATCCTCTTCCCTTGGTTGCTGGCTGGCTTGACGATTTGCTTTTAATTAATTGAATGTGGTGAAGTGGCAGGATATCACTTCCCTGATTAGGTTACATATGACTGTGGCTTCTCTCTTGCTAGGGAATTCTTCCTCAATTGTTTGTTGAAGTTAACTATTGCATGAAGAGGCCCATGTAGCAAAGAACCAAGAACAACCTCCTGTCGGCAGCCAATGAGGAACTTAGACCCCCGATGTAACAGCACGCAAGGAATGGAATTCTGCCAATAACTAGATAAGTTTAGAAAGCAAATCCTTCCCTGGTTGAGCCTTCTGATGAGACACCAGTCCTAGCTGACACGTTGATTACATCCTGTGGTGGTTAATGTTGTGTCAACCTGGCTAGACTGTGGTTCTCAGTGGATTGGCTAAATATCAGTCCAGATGTTGCTGTGAAGGGTTTTTTTTTTTAAATGTGATTAAGATTTAAGTCAGTAGACTGAATAATTATCAACATTCATATAAGTAGACTTTGAGTAAAGCAGATTCTACCCATAATGTGGGTGGGCTTCATGCAATCAGTTAAAGGCCTTAAGAGCAAAGAAAGACTGAGGTTGACCCCAAAAGAAAGAGTTTTCCTTCAAGATAGCCACATAAAATCCCAGCTTGAGTTTCTAGCCTGTTCATCTTTGGTATGTGGACTAAGATTGCCACATCAACCCCTGCCAGAACTCCAGACTGTGAGCCTGCCCTACAGAGTTCAGATTTGCCAGTCCCCAAAAATCACATGAGAAAATTTCTTGAAATAAATTTATCTCTTTTTCTCTTTAAATATAAAAGAACTTAAAGCAGAAGATCTCACTAAGTTATGCCTGTATTTCTGATCCACGAAAATAATAAAACAATATTTATGGGCTATTTTGCCTCTATATTTGTGGTAATTTGTTATACTGCAGCTGTCCAATGAGAGATTTTAAACAACTTGGTTCACATTACATATCCCTTGACTGTTGGGAAGTTCCATGCCCTGTCTAAGCTTTCTGTAACTTCTTGGTGGTGACATATTTACATTCGGCTACTTACTATTATTTGCTCCGAGTTCTGGCCTTTAACAAACTACTCTGATTTTCATCTTGGCTCCTTTTGATTTGTGACATTCTGTCTGTTTCAAACTAAATATAAAACACACCCCCTTCCCTGGGCATAATCTCAGAGTCATTCGTACTGGTTATTAGTGTGTCTTTATGGTGCTCTGCCATCTGATTTCCCATTGGTCACTTCTGTCTGTGGACTCCAACTTTCCATAAGGTTATTTAGGACTTCTGTCTCCCTTTCTGCTCCCTTCAACACAAATTTCCCTCTCACTTCTCTTGCAGAGTTTTATCTGTTTTGAGTCACCCAGCTAAGGTGGTCTATCAAGGCATTTTTCTAGACAAAGAGTTTCATTCCTAAAGGAGGCTTTCATGTAAATAGTTAAAATATTTTCTTTACTTTTCTACCTATGTAAAACTCCCAGAAGATTGCTGGAAAGAGAGCAAATACTTGACAGGTACAGAGTTCCCTTCTTTTTCCTCCTCTCTCACATTTAATCTGCTATCTCCCGGAGAATTATGTTTATAAGGCCAGACCAATGAGGTTAGGAGAGTGGTATCACACAAGGTTTTAGTTTTTTCAACATGAAAAATATTTTCTCAAGTAGAGTTTTCCAAACTGTTTGTGATGAAGGACCAGATTTGCTTTTCCTTTAAAAAAATTTCAATACATCTCAGATGAACACTTCAGTAAAACATAATAAAAATGAATGCCAGACTAAGGATCTCAAGCTTTGTTTTCTCTGAATTTTGAAGCACTATTGAAAAGTTTTTGCTATAAAAGACATATGGTTAGACCTGTGGTTTAGAGGAATCATTCTAGTACCAGAGTGGGGGATATACTATGTATCCTGAGGTCCCTATAGGCATTAGATGATAGTCCAGGATGATGAGAGAAAAGAAGGTATATTGGGGGAATTTTAGAAGGTAAAATTGGCAGGATTTTATTCTCATTGAAGAAAGGAAGAAAGACAGACAGATGAAAAGAAAGAAAACCACTGAACATAAAAATAAATTAAAAGACATGCCTGGACTTTCCAAATGACTGAACATTCCCATTAATCTCTCTCTGCTGTTTCTTGAAACCCCACTTAAAAGAACAGTGAAGAGATTTCTCTAAAAGGCATACATTCATGAAGTCAAAAAGAGAAGAAACAAACAATTTCAACAATATTTTGCAAAGAGTTCTTGAAAACTAAACGTATAATGGTCAAATGAAAAAATGAATAGGAGATTTGGAAGATAAATTGAAAGAAAACTCCCCCCAAAACAGTACAAAGAAATGGAAGATAATACAGACATTTTAGAAGATAATCCAGAAAGTAGAATAAAGACAAATAGGGAAAAATTGAAGAGTAAGATTTTTTAAAAAAACTAAAACATCAATATGAGAGGTAAAGGCCTGAATTCTAAGAGTTTCAGAAAATGAAAAATCAAGGCAGTTATGATTGCCTTCACTGCTGTCAGACTTGACTTCACACGATTAACAATTAGAAAATGGAACAAAATTTATAAGAGCTGTTTTTATAGATTGTACAATAGGTAACACAGGACTGTAATCTTTGAATAAAGAGAAACAAATAAGATAAACCCTATGATACTCCAGGCTTTCCATCTAGCATTGCATTCCAGGCTGCCTACAAGAAGGCTGTGTTGGTTTGCCAGGGCTATTGTAACAAAATACCACAGACTGGGTGGCTTAAATAACAAAAAGCTATTTTTTCACAGTTCTGGAGTTTGGAAGTCCAAGATCAGGTTTGGTTTCTTCTGAGGCTTCTCTGCTTGGCTTGTAGATGCCTGCTCTCTCGCTGTATTCTCATCTGGTCTTTTTTTCTTGCATGTGCATTCCTGGAATCTCCTGTATGTCCAAACTTCCTCTTATAAGGACACCAGTCCAATTGGATAAGGTCCAATTGGTCTTTGAGGACTATTGGCCTCATTTTAACTTAATTACCTTTTTTTTTTTTTTGAGAAGGAGCTTCACTCTTGTCACCCAAGCTGGAGTACAGTGGCGTGATCTTGGCTTATTGCGACCTCTGCCTCCCAGATTCAAGTGATTCTCCTGCCTCAGCCATCTGAGTAGCTGTGATTACAGTCACCTGCCACCACACCTGGCTAATTTTGTTTTTTTGTTGTTGTTGTTGTTGTTGTTGTTGTTTTAGTAGAGATGGGGTTTCACTATGTTGGCCAGGCTGGTCTCAAACTCCTGACCTCACATAATCTGCCCACTTTGGCCTTTCAAAGTGCTGAGATTACAGGCATGAGCCACCATCCCTGACTTTTAATAATTACCTATTAAAGGCCCTACATTCAAATCCAGTTAGATTCTGAGGTATGGGGATTAGAGCTTTAATAGATAAATTTACAGGGAACACAATTCATTCCATAAAAAAGACCAAATCTAATACAAGCTCAACAATCTTACTAAGTTAAAGAGGCAAAGATAAAAGTTCAAGACATTGAGTCCTGCAGATTTTGTGGGACAGAGTACCCAGAAAGAGGATATACATAAAGCAAAAGATATCCTTAAATCTGCCTAGGTATCCCCTTCCTGCCCAGGTGTGAAGTAAGAGTCTAGTCTAAAAGTCTAGCCAAAAATCAGTTACTCAAAGAAGAAAATAACTACTAAAAAGCTGTAAAATAAACAATTACCAGAGCTGACAAAGGTTAAAAAGTGTTGGACTTCTAAACAGGACCATCAGTAGGGACCTCAAAAAGGCCATATCATAGTAGTAGTACAAAACTAATTCTATAGTAAAGGAAACACTAGAGCCACCTAGAGAAAATTTAAAAACAAGCTTCAAAATGGCCAAGACTATGTGCAAAGAACAAACATATTTGACAAAACGAAACTCAACATTTGTTAAAAATAGTCAACAAAATCATACACTACACAATGTAACATTCAATGTGTTAAGCATCTAGTCTAAAATTACTAGACATGCAAAGAAGCAGTAAAATGTAATTCATTATCAGGAGAACAATTAATAAAAACAAACTCAGAAATGACAGCACTGTTGGAATTAGCAAGCAAATAAGAGCTTTATAACTTTATGTTCAATAATTTCAAGGAAAGCATGCACAAGATGATGAATGAAATGGAAGCCATAAAAAAGAACCCAACAGAACATCTAAAAATAAAAATGAAATTTTGGAAATTAAAAAGAATATATATTTGATAGACTTAGCAAATTAAACACTACAGGATGAAGTAAAAGTGAACTCATTGGCATAACAATTAGATAGTATCCAGAGAGGGAGGAGCCAAGATGGCCAAATAGGAACAGCTCCGGTCTACAGCTCCCAGCCTGAGCGACGCAGAAGACGGGTGATTTCTGCATTTCCATCTGAGGTACCGGGTTCATCTCACTAGGGAGTGCCGGACAGTGGGCGCAGGTCAGTGGGTGCGCGCACCGTGTGCGAGCCGAAGCAGGGCGAGGCATTGCCTCACTCCGGAAGCGCAAGGGGTCAGGGAGTTCCCTTTCCTAATCAAAGAAAGGGGTGACGGACGGCACCTGGAAAATCGGGAAAATCGGGTCACTCCCACCAGAATACTGCGCTTTTCCGACGGGCTTAAAAAACAGCGCACCACGAGATTATATCCCCCACCTGGCTCGGAGAGTCCTACGCCACGGAGTCTCGCTGATTGCTAGCACAGCAGTCTGAGATCAAACTGCAAGGCGGCAGTGAGGCTGGGGGAGGGGCGCCCACTATTGCCCAGGCTTGCTTAGGTAAACAAAGCATCCGGGAAGCTCGAACTGGGTGGAGCCCACCGCAGCTCAAGGAGGCCTGCCGGCCTCTGTAGGCTCCACCTCTGGGGGCAGGGCACAGACAAACAAAAAGACAGCAGTAACCTCTGCAGACTTAAATGTCCCTGTCTGACAGCTTTGAAGAGAGCAGTGGTTCTCCCAGTACGCAGCTGGAGATCTGAGAACGGGCAGACTGCCTCCTCAAGTGGGTCCCTGACCCCTGACTCCTGAGCAGCCTAACTGGGAGGCACCCTCCAGCAGGGGCACACTGACACCTCACACTGCAGGGTACTCCAACAGACCTGCAGCTGAGGGTCCTATTAGAAGGAAAATTAACAAACAGAAAGGACATCCACACCAAAAACCCATCTGTACATCACCATCATCAAAGACCAAAAGTAGATAAAACCACAAAGATGGGGAAAAAACAGAGCAGAAAAACTGGAAACTCTAAAAATCAGAACGCCTCTCCTCCTCCAAAGGAATGCAATTCCTCACCAGCAACAAAACAAAGCTGGACCGAAAATGACTTTGAGGAGCTGAGAGAAGAAGGCTTCAGACGATCAAATTACTCTGAGCTATGGGAGGACATTCAAACCAAAGGCAAAGAAGTTGAAAACTTTGAAAAAAATTTAGAAGAATGTATAACTAGAATAACCAATACAGAGAAGTGCTTAAAGGAGCTGATGGAGCTGAAAGCCAAGGCTCCAGAACTACGTGAAGAATGCAGAAGACTCAGGAGCCGATGCGATCAACTGGAAGAAAGGGTATCAGCGATGGAAGATGAAATGAATGAAATGAAGCGAGAAGGGAAGTTTAGAGAAAAAAGAATAAAAAGAAATGAGCAAAGCCTCCAAGAAATATGGGACTATGTGAAAAGACCAAATCTACGTCTGATTGGTGTACCTGAAAGTGATGGGGAGAATGGAACCAAGTTGGAAAACACTCTGCAGGATATTATCCAGGAGAATTTCCCCAATCTAGCAAGGCAGGCCAATGTTCAGATTCAGGAAATACAGAGAACGCCACAAAGATCCTCCTCGAGAAGAGCAACTCCAAGACACATAATTGTCAGATTCACCAAAGTTGAAATGAAGGAAAAAATGTTAAGGGCAGCCAGAGAGAAAGGTCGGGTTACCCTCAAAGGGAAGCCCATCAGACTAACAGCGGATCTCTTGGCAGAAACTCTACAAGCCAGAAGAGAGTGGGGGCCAATATTCAACATTCTTAAAGAAAAGAATTTTCAACCCAGAATTTCATATCCAGCCAAACTAAGCTTCATAAGCAAAGGAGAAATAAAATACTTTACAGGCAAGCAAATGCTGAGAGATTTTGTCACCATCAGGCCTGCCCTAAAAGAGCTCCTGAAGGAAGTGCTAAACATGGAAAGGAACAACCGGTACCAGCCACTGCAAAATCATGCCCAAATGTAAAGACCATCAAGACTAGGAAGAAACTGCATCAACTAACGAGCAAAATAACCAGCTAACTTCATCATGACAGGATCAAATTCACACATATCACTATTAACTTTAAATGTAAATGGACTAAATGCTCCAATTAAAAGACACAGACTGGCAAACTGGATAAAGAGTCAAGACCCATCAGTGTGCTGTATTCAGGAAACCCATCTCACGTGCAGAGACACACATAGGCTCAAAATAAAAGGATGGAGGAAGATCTACCAAGAAAATGGAAAACAAAAAAAGGCAGGGGTTGCAATCCCAGTCTCTGATAAAACAGACTTTAAACCAACAAAGATCAAAAGAGACAAAGAAGGCCATTACATAATGGTAAAGGGATCAATTCAACAAGAAGAACTAACTATCCTAAATATATATGCACCCAATACAGGAGCACCCAGATTCATAAAGCAAGTCCTGAGTGACTTACAAAGAGACTTAGACTCCCACACATTAATAATGGGAGACTTTAACACCCCACTGTCAACATTAGAGACAGATCAACGAGACAGAACGTCATCAAGGATACCCAGGAACTGAACTCAGCTCTGCACCAAGCGGACCTAATAGACATCTACAGAACTCTCCACCCCAAATCAACAGAATATACATTCTTTTCAGCACCACACCACACCTATTCCAAAATTGACCACATAATTGGAAGTAAAGCTCTCCTCAGCAAATGTAAAAGAACAGAAATTATAACAAACTGTCTCTCAGACCACAGTGCAATCAAACTAGAACTCAGGATTAAGAATCTCACTCAAAACCGCTCAACTACATGGAAACTGAACAACCTGCTCCTGAATGACTACTAGGTACATAACGAAATGAAGGCAGAAATAAAGATGTTCTTTGAAACCAACGAGAACAAAGACACAACATACCAGAATCTCTGGGACGCATTCAAATCAGTGTGCAGAGGGAAATTTATAGCACTAAATGCCCACAAGAGAAAGCAGGAAAGATCGAAAATTGACACCCTAACATCACAATTAAAAGAACTAGAAAAGCAAGAGCAAACACATTCAAAAGCTAGCAGAAGGCAAGAAATAACTAAGATCAGAGCAGAACTGAAGGAAATAGAGACACAAAAAACCCTTCAAACAATTAATGAATCCAGGAGCTGGTTTTTTGAAAGGATCAACAAAATTGATAGACCGCTAGCAAGACTAATAAAGAAAAAGAGAAGAATCAAATAGATGCAATAAAAAATGATAAAGGGGATATCACCACCGATCCCACAAAAATACAAACTACCATCAGAGAATACTACAAACACCTCTACGCAAATAAACTAGAAAATCTAGAAGAAATGGATAAATTCCTCGACACATACACTCTCCCAAGACTAAACCAGGAAGAAGTTGAATCTCTGAATAGACCAATAACAGGAGCTGAAATTGTGGCAATAATCAATAGCTTACCAACCAAAAAGAGTCCAGGACCAGATGGATTCACAGCCGAATTCTACCAGAGGTACAAGGAGGAACTGGTACCATTCCTTCTGAAACTATTCCAATCCATAGAAAAAGAGGGAATCCTCCCTAACTCATTTTATGAGGTCAGCATCATCCTGATACCAAAGCCGGGCAGAGACACAACCAAAAAAGAGAATTTTAGACCAATATCCTTGATGAACATTGATGCAAAAATCCTCAATAAAATACTGGCAAACCGAATCCAGCAGCACATCAAAAAGCTTATCCACCATGATCAAGTGGGCTTCATCCCTGGGAGGCAAGGCTGGTTCAATATATGCAAATCAATAAATGTAATCCAGCATATAAACAGAGCCAAAGACAAAAACCACATGATTATCTCAATAGATGGAGGAAAGGCCTTTGACAAAATTCAACAACCTTTCATGATAAAAACTCTCAACAAATTAGGTATAGATGGGACATATTTCAAAATAATAAGAGCTATCTATGACAGACTCACAGCCAATATCATACTGAATGGGCAAAAACTGGAAGCATTCCCTTTGAAAACTGGCAAAAGACAGGGATGCCCTCTCTCACCACTCCTATTCAACATAGTGTTGGAAGTTCTGGTCAGGGCAATTAGGCAGGAGAAGGAAATAAAGGGTATTCAATTAGGAAAAGAGGAAGTCAAATTGTCCCTGTTTACAGATGACATGATTGTATATCTAGAAAACCCCATTGTCTCAGCCCAAAATCTCCTTAAGCTGATAAGCAACTTCAGCAAAGTCTCAGGATACAAAATCAATGTGCAAAAATCACAAGCATTCCTATACACCAACAACAGACAAACAGAGAGCCAAATCATGAGTGAACTCCCATTCACAATTGCTTCAAAGAGAATAAAATACCTAGGAATCCAACTTACAAGGGATGTGAAGGACCTCTTCAAGGAGAACTACAAACCACTGCTGAAGGAAATAAAAGGATACAAACAAATGGAAGAACATTCTATGCTCATGGGTAGGAAGAATCAATATCGTGAAAATGGCCATACAGCCCAAGGTAATTTACAGATTCAATGCCATCCCCATCAAGCTACCAATGACTTTCTTCACAGAATTGGAAAAAACTCTTTAAAGTTCATATGGAACCAAAAAAGAGCCCGCATCGCCAAGTCAATCCTAAGCCAAAAGAACAAAGCTGGAGGCATCACACTACCTGACTTCAAACTATACTACAAGGCTACAGTAACCAAAACATCATGGTACTGGTACCAAAACAGAGATATAGATCAATGGAACAGAACAGAGCCCTCAGAAATAATGCCGCATATCTACAACTATCTGATCTTTGACAAACTTGAGAAAAACAAGCAATGGGGAAAGGACTCCCTATTTAATAAATGGTGCTGGGAAAACTGGCTAGCCATATGTAGAAAGCTGAAACTGGATCCCTTCCTTACACCTTATACAAAAATCAATTCAAGATGGATTAAAGACTTAAACGTTAGACCTAAAACCATAAAAACCCTAGAAGAAAACCTAGGCATTACCATTCAGGACATAGGCACGAGCAAGGACTTCATGTCTAAAACACCAAAAGCAATGGCAACAAAGACAAAATTGACAAATGGGATCTAATTAAACTAAAGAGCTTCTTCACAGCAAAAGAAACTACCATCAGAGTGAACAGGCAACCTACAAAATGGGAGAAAATTTTCACAACCTACTCATCTGACAAAGGGCTAATATCCAGAATCTACAATGAACTCAAACAAATTTACAAGAAAAAAACAAACAACCCCATCAAGAAGTGGGCAAAGGACATGAACAGACACTTCTCAAAAGAAGACATTTATGCAGCCAAAAAACATATGAAAAAATGCTCACCATCACTGGCCATCAGAGAAATGCAAATCAAAACCACAATGAGATACCATCTCACACCAGTTAGAATGGCAATCATTAAAAAGTCAGGCAACAACAGGTGCTGAAGAGGATGTGGAGAAATAGGAACACTTTTACATTGTTGGTGGGACTGTAAACTAGTTCAACCATTGTGGAAGTGAGTGTGGCGATTCCTCAGGGATCTAGAACTAGAAATACCATTTGACCCAGCCATCCCATTACTGGGTATATACCCAAAGGACTATAAATCATGCTGCTATAAAGACACATGCACACGTATGTTTATTGCGGCATTATCCACAATAGCAAAGACTTGGAACCAACCCAAATGTCCAACATTGATAGACTGGATTAAGAAAATGTGGCACATATACACCATGGAATACTATGCAGCCATAAAAAATGATGAGTTCACGTCCTTTGTAGGGACATGGATGAAATTGGAAACCATCATTCTCAGTAAACTATCGCAAGAACAAAAAACCAAACACCGCATATTCTCACTCATAGGTGGGAATTGAACAATGAGATCACATGGACACAGGAAGGGGAATATCACACTCTGGGGACTGTTGTGGGGTGGGGGGAGGGGGGAGGGATAGCATTGGGAGATATACCTAATGCTAGATGAAGAGTTAGTGGGTGCAGCACACCAGCATGGCACATGTATACGTATGTAACTAACCTGCACAATGTGCACATGTACCCTAAAACTTAAAGTATAATAATAAAAAAAATTAAAAAAAACAAAACAAAACAAAAAACAATTAGATAGTATCCAAAATGAAGCATAGAGAAAAAAAATAGTTTAAAAAAACAACTTCAGGAATCTGTAACACAATATTATGCTGTCTAACATACATGTAATTGGAGTATCAAAGAGAAAAAGAAGAGAAGTTGCAGGAAGAGTGTTTAAAAATATACTGGCCCAAACTTAAAAAAAAACAATGAAGCGTATAAACACATAGATCAAAGAAACTCTGCATTCACCAAGAAGGATAATTGAAAGAAAACAAAACCAAAGTCTCTCATTATCAAATTGCTAAAGACAGAAATCATGAAAATCTTAAAGTAGCCAGAGTAAAAACCATACATTGTGTATGAGATAAAGTCAAGACTAATCGCTGAATTCTCATCAGAATAAATCCAAGCCAGAAGACAACAGAATCACATTAATGTTTGAAAAAACAATAAAATATCATCAAGATACTATTTCATTTTATGTGAAAATATTCTTCATAAGTAAAAATTAAAACATGACATTTTTCAGGCAAACAAAAAACAGAAAATTTATCATCAGTAAAACTGCACTACCAAAAAATATTAAAGAAATTATTCAAGTTGAAGGGATATAATACCACATGTAAGTCTGGATCTACTCAAAGAAATGAAGGATACTAGAAATAGCAAACATGAGGATAAAGATTTTTTGAAATGGTTTTTTATAATGTTTTATATTATAGTTGTAAAAATGTATAACAATAGCACAAACTGTATGATGGAGAAATGGAAATGTATTGTGTAACATTCTTGTATTTCTTGAAATGGCAAATAGACTTTGAAGATAGTAAAGATTGATTATAACAAGTTAGAGATACATATTGTAAAGCCCAGAGCAGCCACTAAAACTTAAAGAGAGATATAGCTAGTAAATCAATAGAGGACACGGAATGAAATATTAAATATTAGTCAACACAAATAAGGCAGCAAAAGAGAAAAATGAGAAAAACTACAGATAAAACAAATATAAAGTAAACACTAATATAACAGCTTTAAATCCAACCATATTGATAAATATATTATATGCCAATGATCTAAAGAAAGACTCCAACTAAATGCAAAGGCACAACCCAATCATATTCTGTCAACAAGAAACACTCTTGAAATACAAAAACATAGATAAGTTAAAAATGATGAAAAACATATTCAATGCAAGCACTAGTCATAAGGAATACTAAATGGCTGTATTATTATCTTATAAATTAGACTTTAGATCAAATAATATTGCTTGTAATTCATTTAGATAATGGCATTTTATAACGATAAAATAGTTTATCAAGGCACATTCTTAAGTATGTGTGCACTTAGAACAATGGTTCAACATTTTTAAAGCAAAAACTGACCAAACTGAAAAAAGACACATCCAAAATGGTGGTTACACACCTGAACTCTTTTCTTGACAGGGATAAAAAAGTAGAAAGAAAATAAGGACAGATGTAGAACATGTGGGCAATGTTATTAACCAACCTGACATAACTGATATTTTTAGAGCTCTTCAAGTGTCCACTAACATTCACCAACATTCACCAAGATAAGTCATGTGCTGGGTCATAAAACTGGAATGAATTAATTTAAAGAGGTCAAAAATATACAGAGTATTACTTCTAGCCACAACAGTATAAAATTAGAAATATGAGAAAAATACATAAACATTTTTAGAAGACCCCAAATATTTGGAAATTCTAAAAAAATCTAAATAATTCTAAATTAGTTCATAACACTAAATGTTTTTGGTAGAAAACAAAGACAGATTTAAAGTCAATAATCTAAGCTTTCACATTAAGAAGCTATAAAAAAGGAAATTCAACCCCAAATAAGTAGAAGGTAAATAATAATTACAAAAATCAATGAAATACAAAATGTTAAACAATAGAGAATAGAAATAAAACAAAAATCTGTCTTTTTAAAAAGATTGGCAGTTGATATTTTTCTTAGGAAACTAAAAAGAGAGAGAGGGAGAGGACAAATAGCAATATTCAGAGTGAAATGCAGATGTAACTACAGATACTATGAATATTAAATTGTACCTGATGAATATTATGAACAATTCTATGTCAATAAATCTAACAATACAGATAAAATGCACATATTCCCTAAATGATATAAGTTATCAAAATGGATATAGGAAGAATAGAAAATATTAATATATCTATTTTTAAAATACAATTTGTGAACATGAGCCTTTCCACAAAGAAAATTTCAGTCCTGAGTATTTTCATTTGTCAATTTTATTAAACACTTTAAAAAGAAATTATATCCATCTTACACAATCTCAGATAACAGGGAAGGAGGAGACATATTTTAGTGGAATTTTTAGGCCAACATTACCCTAACACTTAAACTGAAAATAAATATTATATAAGAAAAGATAACTATAAACTAATACTTTTCATGAAGATAAAAAAGAAAATCCTTCACAAGGTATTAACAAATTAAATCTAACAAAATATAATACATCATGACCAACTGGGTTTTATTTTAGAAATACCAAGTTAATACGACATTTAAAAGTCAAGCAGTGTAATTCACCATACTAACAGAATAAAAGATAAAAATCATATGATTATTTCAAGAAATGAAAAAAAAACTATGAAAAAATTCCCAGCAAAATGCATCTAAAAAACCCTACAGCTATCATTATATATTACGGTTTGTGATTTAATGTTTTCTCTAGAAGAAGAGAAATAAGAAAATGTCCACTATCACTACTTCTATTCAACAACAAATTAGAGGTCCTGGCCATTGTAGTAGTGCGTGTAAGACGAAATAAAAGTTATATAGATTGGAAATAAATAAATAAAATTATCCTTCTTATGGACAACATCACATACATAAAAAGTTTTGTGAATTAAGTAAGGTTATACAACACAATGTCATTATACAAACATCATTTGCCTATTTACATACTAGTAACAAATTTTAGAAAAATGAAATTTAAAATTAAATTTTATAAAAGTTTAATAAAACATAAAATACTTAGGGACAAGTTTGACAAAATATAAATAATACCTGCACACTGAAAGCTATAAAACAGTATTGGGAGAACAAAAAGGAAGATATAAATAAATGAAGAAATATATCTTGCTCATGAATTGGAATACTTTATATTGTCAAGATGTCAATTTCTTCCAGGTTGATATACAGATTCAATGTGACCCCAATCCAAACCCTGATAGACTATCTTTAAATAAGAATTGGCATGCTGAGGGTGGAGCAAGATGGCTGAATAGAAGCCTCCACCAATTATTCCCTCTGTAGGAACACCAAATTTTAACACTATCTGCACACTAAAAAGCACCTTCATAAAAGCGCAAATCAAGTGAGCACTCATAGTACCTGGTTTTAATTTCATGTCACTGAAAGAGGAACTACAGAGGCTAGGCAAGAAAATCTTATATCATCAATGCCACTTCTCCCCACTCCCCAGGCAGTGACTATATGGCATAGGGAAAGAATCTGTGCACTTGAGAGAAGGAGAGCATATGAACTGGGGAACTTTGCATTGAACTCAGTGCTGCCCTGTCACAGCAGAAAACAAAATGACACTGACTCAGTTGGCACCTTTCCACAGAGGAAGCATTTGGACCCGACCTAGACAGAGGGGAAGTGCCCAACCCAGTGGTCGGTACCTGAGTTTCTCAACAAGCCTTGCCACTAGGAGTTAAGTGCTCTGGGGTTCTAAGTGAACTTGAAAGGCAGGCTAAGACACAAGGATTCCAATTCTTGAGAAGTTCTGATGCTGTGCTGGGCTTAGAGCCAGTGGACTGGGGCAGTGCCTGACCTACTGAGACATCAGACAGAGGGACTGAGGAAGTGCTATGCAACCCACCCAAAACCCTGTGCAATGCAGCTCACAGCAATGACAGTGACTGCTTCTTTCCACTCTAGGAGAGAAAAGCGTAAAGAGGATTTTGTCTTGTATCTTAGATACCAGCTCAGCCACAGGAGGACAGGGCACTAGACAGAGTCATGGGGCCCCCATCCCAGGCTCTAGCTCCTGGACATTTCCAGACACACTTTGGGCCAGAAAGGAACCCACAGCCTTGAAGGGAGAGACCCAGTCCTGGCCGTATTCAGCACCTTCTGACTAAGGAATCCTTGGGCGCTGAATAACCAACAGTATACCATGAACCTTTCGTAAGACTTACTTAGAGATGTGCTGGTTTCAGGTACCAGCTCAGCCAAAGTAGGTTAGAGCACCAAGCAGCCTCTTGGGGTCCCTCGATCCTGACCTAGGCTGTTGGAAAACATTTCTGGACCTTCCCCAGGCCAGAGAGGATCCAACTTCCTGGAAGAGGGAGTTGAGGCCTAGCAGCATTAACCATGAGCTGACTGAAGAGCCCATGGAGGCTAAGTGAACACAAGTGGTAACCTTCCAGAACTCTCAGTGTGCCAGTGGTTGTGACAGCCATGGGGAGAGGCAGCACTACCTGTGGAAAGGAGAGAGAAGAGTGGAAGAACTTTGCCTTGTGGTTTGAGTGCCAGCTTAGCTGTAGTAGAATAGAATAGCAGGTAGATTTCTAAGGTTTTTGACTTCAACTCCTGCCTCCCAGACAAAAACCCTGAACCCACCTAGAGCATAGGGGAATTTGTTGCCCTGAAAGGAAGGATATAAACTTGGCTTGCTTTACCACCTGCTGACTGTAGAGCTCTAGGGCTTTGAGTGAACACAGATGGTAGCCAGGTAGTGGTTACATTAGGCCTTGGGCAGGACCCAGTTCCATGCTGGCTTCAGGCCTGACCCATGGTGGTTCCATTGGTGGTAACCACAGTGGTGCTTGTGTCACCCAACCATCAGCTCCAGATGGCTCAGCAAAGACACAGAGGAGACTCAGTTATTTTGGGAGAAGGTAAGGGAAGAGAACAAGAATCTCTGGTAATCCAGAGAATTCTTTCCAATCTTATCCGAGACCACAAGGTGGTACCTCTATGAGCCTGCAAAAACCACAACATTACTGGGTTCAGGGTGCAAGTCCCTTTGAATACCTGGAAAGTCTTCACAAGAAGAGCAGGCACAAACAAGCCAGACTGTGATGACTACAATAAATAACTAACTCTTAAATGCCCAGACACTGACAAATATCTACAAGCATCAAGATCAGCCATGAAAACATGACCTCATCAAACAAACTAAATAAGGCACCAGGAGCCAATCTTGGAGAAACAGGAATTATGTGAACTTTCAGATAAAGAATTTAAAATAGCTGTTTTGAAGAAACTCAAAGAAATTCAAGATAACACAGTGAAAGAATTCAGAATTCTATCAGACACATTTAACAGGAGTTAAAATAATTGAAAAGAGTCAAGCAGAAATTCTAGAGTTGAAAAATGCAATTGACATACTGAAGAATGCCATCAGTCTCTAAATAGCAGAATTGATCAAACAGAAGAAAGAATTGCTGAGCTTGAAGAAATAATATTTGAAAATACATAGGCAGAGGAGACAAGAGAAAAAAATGCAAAACAGTAAAGCACACCTACAAAATCTAGAAAATTATGTCAAAAGAGCAAATCAAAGATATTGGCCTTAAAGAGGAGGTAGAGAAAAAGATAAGAGGAGAAAGTTTATTCAAATAGATAATATTAGAGAACTTCCCAAACTTAGAGAAAGATATCAATATTGAAGTACAAGGTTATAGAAGACCAAGCAGATTAAACCCAAAGAAGACTATATCAAGGCATTTAATAATCAAATTCTCAAAGGTCAAGGATAAAGAAAGAATCCCAAGAGCAATAAGAGAAAACAAACAAATAACATACAATGGAACTACAAAACGTCTGGCAGCAGGCTTTCAGTGGAAACCTTGCAGGCAAGAGAGAGTGGAATGACATATTTCAAGTGTTAAAGAAAACAAACATTTACCCTAGAATAGAATACCTGGTGAAAATGTTCTTCAAACGTAAAGGATAAATAAAAGCTTTCCCAGACAAACAAAAGCTGAGGGATTTCAACAATATCAGATCTGTCCAACAATACATGCTAAAGGGAGTTCTTCAATCAGAAAGGAAAGGATGTGAGTGTGCAATAAGGAATCATCTGAAGGTATGAAACTCACTGGTAATAGTAAGTATGCATGAAAACAAAAATTATTATAATATCGTAATTATGGTGTGTAAATTACTCTTATATTAAGTAGAAAGACTAAATTATGAACCAATCAAAAATAACAACGATAAGTTTTCAAAACATAGACACTACAAATAAAACGTAAAGAGGAACAACAGAGAGTTAAAAAGCAGGGAGACAAAATTAAAGTTGAGAGTTTTTATTAGTTTTCTTTTGCTTGTTTGTTTATGCAATCCATTTTTGTCATCAGTTTAAAATAACAAGTTATGGCAGGGCACGGTGGCTCATGCCTGTAATCCCAGCACTTTGGGAGGCCAAGGCTGGTGGATCACCTGAGGTCAGGAGTTCGAGACAAGCCTGGCCAACACGGTGAAACCCAGTCTCTCCTAAAAATACAAAAACTAGCAAGGCATGATGCCTGTAATCCCAACTACTCAGGAGGCTGAGGCAGGAAAATCACTTGAGCCTGGGAAGTAGAGGTTGCAGTGAGCCGAGATCGTGCCATTGCACTCCAGCCTGGGTGACAAGAGTGAAGCTGTCTCAAAATAAATAAATAAAAATAATAAGTTATAAGATAGTATTTGCAAGTCTTATGGTAATCTGAAATCAAAAAATATACAAGGTATACACAAAAAATCGAAAGCAAAAAATTAAAACATACTATCAGAGAAAATTATCTTTACTAAAAGAAAGACAAGAAGGAAAGAAAAAGAAAGAGAAGTCCAGAAAACAATAACAAAATAAGAGAAGTAAGTCCTTATCTATTAATAATAACATTGAATATTCATTACCTAAACTCTCCAATAAAAAGACATAGAGTGGATAAATAAATAAAAATAAACAAGACACAGTGACCTGTTGCCTACAAGAAACATATTTCACCTACAAAGATACACATAGACTGAAAATAAAGGGATGGAAAATGATATTTCATGCAAATGAAAGCCCCAAAAAAGTAGGAGAAGGTATGCTTATATCAGACAAAATAGACTTCAAGAAAAAACTGAAAGGAGAGAAAAAGAAAGTCATTAAATAATAATAAAGGGGTTAATTATTCAACAGATATGACGATTGTAAATATATGTGCACCCAACACTGAAGCACCCAGATTTATAAAGCAAATATTATTAGAGCTGAAGAGAGAAATAGACCTCAATACAGTAACAGCTGGAGACTTCAACATCCTGCTTTCAGAATTGGACAGATCTTCCAGACAGAAAATCAACAAGAAAACGTTGGACTTAATCTGCACTATAGAACAAAAGGACCTAATAGAGATTTACAAAACATTTCCTGCAGAATACACATTCTTTTCCTTAACACATAAATTATTCTCAAAAATAAACCACATGTTACGTCCCAAAGCAAGTCTTAAAAGATTCCAAAAAAATTGAATAATCTCAAACATCTTCTCTGACAACAATGAAATAAAACTAGTGATCAATAACAACAGGAAACTTGGAAACTATATAATCACATGGTGAATAAACAATATGTCCCTGAATGACCAGTGGGTCAATGAAGAAATTTTAGAAGAAAACTGAAAAATTTATCGAAACAAATGATAATGGAAACACAACATAACAAAACCTATGGGATATAGCAAAAGCAGTAATAAGAGGGAAATATGTAAGTGCCTACATCAAAAAAGAAAAACAAACTTTAAGTAACCTATTGATGCATCTTAAAGAACTAAAAAAAAAAGAGCAAACCAAACCCAAAATTAGTAGAAGTAAAGAAATAATAAAGATCAGAGAACAAATAAATAAAACTGAAATGAAGAAAACAAAACAAATGATTGATGCAACCATTTGTTTTTTGAAAAGACAAAGTTGACATATAATTAGCCAGAATAACTTAGATGAAAAGAAAGAAAACCCAAATAAATAAAATAAGAGATGAAAAAGGAGACATTACAACTGATAACACAGAATTTTAAAGGAGTATTTGTGGCTACTGTAGGCAACTATATACCAATAAATTGGAAAATCTAGAGGAAATGGATACATTTCTAGACACAACCTACCAAGATTGAGCCATGAAGAAATTCAATACCTGAACAGACTAATAACAAGTAATGGGTTTGGGCCGGGCACGGTGGCTCACACCTGTAATGCCAGCACGTTGGGGGGCCGAGGCAGGTGGATCACGAGGTCAGGAGATCGAGACCATACTGGCTAATACAGTGAAACCCCATCTCTACTAAAAGTACAAAAAAAAAAAAAATTAGCCAGGTGTGGTTGCGGGCACCTGTAGTCCCAGCTACTCGGGAGACGGAGGCAGGAGAATGGCATGATCCCGGGAAGCAGAGCTTGCAGTGAGCTGAGACTGTGCCACTGCGCTCCAGCCTGAGCGACTGAGCAAGACTCTGTCTCAGAAAAAAAAAAACAACAAAAAAAAACCAAACAAGTAATGGGTTTGAAAGCTGGAATAAAAAGTCTCCCAGTAAAGAAAACCCTGGGACCCAACAGCCTCACTGCTGAATTCTATCAAACATTTAAAGAAGAACTGATACCAATCCTACTCAAACTCTTCTGAAAAATAGAGGTGGAAGTACTTTCAAACTCATTCCTTTAGGCCAATATTACCCTGATACCAAAACCAGACAAAGACATATAAAAAATAATAATAAGAGAAAACTACAGGCTAATATCCCTGATGCATACTGATGCAAAAATTAACAACAAATATTAGCAAACCAAATTCAACAATATAGTAAAAATACAATTTATCATGATCAAGTGGGATTTATCTCAGGAATGCAAGGATGGTTCAGCATATGCAAATGAATCAATATGGTACATAGTTCAGCAGAATGAAAGACAAAAACCGTCTGATCATTTCAATTGATGCTGAAAAAGCATTTGATAAACTTCAACATTTTTTATGAAAAAAACCCTCAAAAAACTGGGTGCAGAAGAAACATACCTCAATATAATAAAAGCCATATACAACAGACCCATAGCTAGTATCATACTGAATAGGGAAAATAGAAAGCCTTTCCTTTAAGGTTTGAAACAATACAAGGATTCCCACTCTACCACTGTTATTTAACCTAGTACTAGAAGTCTTAGAGGATTCAGACAAGAGAGAGAAATAAAGGTCGAGGGGCAGCCAAGATGGCCGAATAGGAACAGCTCCGGTCTACAGCTCCCAGCGTGAGTGACACAGAAGACGGGTGATTTCTGCATTTCCATCTGAGGTACCGGGTTCATCTCACTAGGGAGTGCCAGACAGTGGGCGCAGGACAGTGGGTGCAGTGCACCGTGCGCGAGCTGAAGCAGGGCGAGGCATTGCCTCACTCGGGAAGCACAAGGGGTCAGGGAGTTTCCTTTCCTAGTCAAAGAAAGGGGTGACAGACAGCACCTGGAAAGTCAGGTCACTCCCACCCTAATACTGCACTTTTCCAACGGGCTTAAAAAATGGGGCACCAGGAGAGTATATCCCGCACCTGGCTCGGAGGGTCCTACGCCAACGGAGTCTGGCTGATTGCTAGCACAGCAGTCTGAGATCAAACTGCAAGGCAGCAGTGAGGCTGGGGGAGGGGCGTCCGCCATTGCCCAGGCTTGCTTAGGTAAACAAAGCAGCCGGGAAGCTTGAACTGCGTGGAGCCCACCGCAGCTCAAGGAGGCCCGCCTGCCTCTGTAGGCTCCACCTCTAGGGGCAGGGCACAGACAAACAAAAAGACAGCAGTAACCTCTGCAGACTTAAATGTCCCTGTCTGACAGTTTGAAGAGAGAAGTGGTTCTCCCAGCAAGCAGCTGGAGATCTGAGAACAGGCAGACTGCCTCCTCAAGTGGGTCCCTGACCCCTGACTCCCGAGCAGCCTAACTGGGAGGCACCCCCCAGTGGGGGCAGACTGACACCTCACACGGCCGGGTACTCCTCTGAGGAAAAACTTCCAGAGGAATGATCAGACAGCAGTATTTGTGGTTCACGAAAATCTGCTGTTCTGCAGCCACCGCTGCTGGTACCCAGGCAAACAGGGTCTGGAGTGGACCTCTAGCAAACTCCAACAGACCTGCAGCTGAGGGTCCTGTCTGTTAGAAGGAAAACTAACAAACAGAAAGGACATCCACACCAAAAACCCATCTGTACATCACCATCATCAAAGACCAAAAGCAGATAAAACCACAAAGATGGGGAAAAAACAGAACAGAAAAACTGGAAACTCTAAAAAGCAGAGTGCCTCTCCTCCTCCAAAGGAATGCAGTTCCTCACCAGCAACAAAACAAAGCTGGACAGAGAATGACTGTGACGAGTTGAGAGAAGAAGGCTTCAGACAATCAAACTACTCCGAGCTACAGGAGGAAATTCAAACTAAAGGAAAAGAAGTTAAAAACTTTGAAAAAATTTAGACGAATGTATAACTAGAATAACCAATACAGAGAAGTGCTTAAAGGAGCTGATGGAGCTGAAAGCCAAGGCTCGAGAACTACATGAAGAATGCAGAAGCCTCAGGAGCCGACGCGATCAACTGGAAAAAAGGGTATCATCAGCGATGGAAGATGAAGTGAATGAAATGAAGCGAGAAGGGAAGTTTAGAGAAAAAAGAATAAAAAGAAATGAACAAAGCCTCCAAGAAATATGGGACTATGTGAAAAGGCCAAATCTACGTCTGATTGGTGTACCTGAAAGTGACGGGGAGAATGGAACCAAGTTGGAAAACACTCTGCAGGATATTATCCAGGAGAACTTCCCCAATCTAGCAAGGCAGGCCAACGTTCAGATTCAGGAAATACAGAGAACGCCACAAAGATACTCCTCGAGAAGAATAACTCCAAGACACATAATTGTTATATGCACCAAAGTTGAAATGAAGGAAAAAATGTTAAGGGCAGCCAGAGAGAAAGGTCGGGTTACCCACAAAGGGAAGCCCACCAGGCTAACAGCTGATCTCTCGGCAGAAACTCTACAAGCCAGAAGAGAGTGGGGGCCAATATTCAACATTCTTAAAGAAAAGAATTTTCAACCCCGAATTTCATATCCAGCCAAATGAAGCTTCATAAGTGAAGGAGAAATAAAATACTTTACAGACAAGCAAAGGCTGAGAGATTTTGTCACCACCAGGCCTGCCCTAAAAGACCTCCTGAAGGAAGTGCTAAACATGGAAAGGAACAACCGGTACCAGTCACTGCAAAAGCATGCCAAATTGTAAAGACCATCAAGGCTAGGAAGAAACTGCATCAACTAACAAGCAAAATAACCAGATAACATCATAATGACAGGATCAAATTCACACATAACAATACTAACCTTAAATGTAAATGGGCTAAATGCTCCAATTAAAAGGCACAGACTGGCAAATTGGATAAACAGTCAAGACCCATCAGTGTGCTGTATTCAGAAAACCCATCTCACGTGCAGAGACACACATAGGCTCAAAATAAAGGGATGGAGGAAGATCTACCAAGCAAATGGAAAACAAAAAAAGGCAGAGGTTGCAATCCTAGTCTCGGATAAAACAGACTTTAAACCAACAAAGATCAAAAGAGACAAAGAAGGCCATTACATAATGGTAAAGGGATCAATTCAACAAGAAGAGCTAACTATCCTAAATATATATGCACCCAATACAGGAGCACCCAGATTCATAAAGCAAGTCCTGAGTGACTTACAAAGAGACTTAGACTCCCACACAATAATAATGGGAGACTTTAACACCCCACTGTCAACATTATATAGATCAACGAGACAGAAAGTTAACAAGGATATCCAGGAATTGAACTCAGCTCTGCACCAAGCAGACCTAATAGACATCTACAGAACCCTCCACCCCAAATCAACAGAATATACATTCTTTTCAGCACCACATCACACTTATTCCAAAATTGACCACATACTTGGAAGTAAAGCACTCCTCAGCAAATGTAAAAGAGCAGAAATTATAACAAACTGTCTCTCAGACCACAGTGCAATCAAACTAGAACTCAGGATTAAGAAACTCACTCAAAACCGCTCAACTACATGGAAACTGAACAACCTGCTCCTGAATGACTACTGGGTACATAACAAAATGAAGGCAGAAATAAAGATGTTCTTTGAAACCAGCGAGAACAAAGACACAACATACCAGAATCTCTGGGACGCATTCAAAGCAGTGTGTAGAGGGAAATTTATAGCACTAAATGCCCACAAGAGAAAGCAGGAAAGATCCAAAATTGACACCCTAACATCACAACTAAAAGAACTAGAGAAGCAAGAGCAAACACATTCAAAAGCTAGCAGAAGGCAAGAAATAACTAAAATCAGAGCAGAACTGAAGGAGATAGAGACACAAAAAACCCTTCAAAAAATCAGTGAATCCAGGAGCTGTTTTTTTTGAAAAGATCAACAAAATTGATAGATTGCTAGCAAGACTAATAAAGAAGAAAAGAGAGAAAAATCAAGTAGACACAATAAAAAATTATAAAGGGGATATCACCACCGATCCCACAGACATACAAACTACCATCAGAGAATACTATAAACACCTCTATGCAAATAAACTAGAAAATCTAGAAGAAATGGATAAATTCCTGGACACAAACACCCTCCCAAGACTAAACCAGGAAGGAGTTGAATCCCTGAATAGACCAATAACAGGATCTGAAATTGAGGCAATAATTAATAGCCTACCAACCAAAAAAAGTCCAGGAAAAGATGGATTCACAGCCAAATTCTACCGGAGGTACAAGGAGGAGCTAGTACCATTCCTTTTGAAACTATTCCAATCAATAGAAAAAGAGGGATCCTCCCTAACTCATTTTATGAGGCCAGCATCATCCTGATACCAAAGCCTGACAGAGACACAACAAAAAAAGAGAATTTTAGACCAATATCCCTGATGAACATTGATGCAAAAATCCTCAATAAAATACTGGCAAACCAAATCCAGCAGCATATCAAAAAGCTTATCCACCATGATCAAGTGGGCTTCATCCCTGGGATGCAAGGCTGGTTCAATATACGCAAATCAATAAACATAATCCAGCATATAAACAGAACCAAAGACAAAAACCCCATGATTATCTCAATAGATGCAGAAAAGGCCTTTGACAAAATTCAACAGCGCTTCATGCTAAAAACTCTCAATAAATTAGGTATTGATGGGACATATCTCAAAATAATAAGAGCTATTTATGACAAACCTACAGCCAATATGATACTCCATGGGCAAAAACTGGAAGCATTCCCTTTGAGAACTGGCAAAAGACAGGGATGCCCTCTCTCACCACTCCTATTCAACATAGTGTTGGAAGTTCTGGCCAGGGCAATTAGGCAGGAGAAGGAAATAAAGGGTATTCAATTAGGAAAAGAGGAAGTCAAATTGTCCCTGTATGCAGATGACATGGTTGTGTATCAGAAAACCCCATCGTCTCAGCCCAAAATCTCCTTAAGCTGATAAGCAACTTCAGCAAAGTCTCAGGATACAAAATCAATGTGCAAAAATCACAAGCATTCTTATACACCAATAACAGACAGACAGCCAAATCATGAGTGAATTCCCATTCACAATTGCTTCAAAGGGAATAAAATACCTAGGATTCGAACTTACAAGGGATGTGAAGGACCTCTTCAAGGAGAACTACAAACCACTGCTCAATGAAATAAAAGAGGACACAAACAAATGGAAGAACATTCCATGCTCATGGATAGGAAGAATCAATATTGTGAAAATGGCCATACTGCCCAATGTAATTTATAGATTCAATGCCATCCCCATCAAGCTACCAATGACTTTCTTCACAGAATTGGAAAAAACTACTTTAAAGTTCATATGGAACCGAAAAAGAGCCCGCACCACCAAGTCAATCCTAAGCCAAAAGAACAAAGCTGGAGGCATCACACTACCTGACTTCAAACTATACTACGAGGCTATAGTAACCAAAACAGCATGGTACTGACACCAAAACAGAGCTATAGACCAATGGAACAGAACAGAGCCCTCAGAAATAATACCACACGTCTACAACCATCTGATCTTTGACAAACCTGACAAAAACAAGAAATGGGGAAAAGCTTCCCTATTTAATAAATGGTGCTGGGAAAACTGGCTAGCCACATGTAGAAAGCTGAAACTGGATCCCTTCCTTACACCTTGTACAAAAATTAATTCAAGATGGATTAAAGACTTACATGTTAGACCTAAAACCATAAAAACCCTAGAAGAAAACCTAGGCAATACCATTGGCATGGGCAAGGACTTCATGTCTAACACACCAAAAGCAATGGCAACAAAAGCCAAAATTGACAAATGGGATCTAATTAAACTAAAGAGTTTCTGCACAGCAAAAGAAACCACCATCAGAGTGAACAGGCAACCTAAAGAATGGGAGAAAATTTTTGCAATCTACTCATCTGACAAAGGGCTAATATCCGGAATCTAGACAGAAATCAAACAAATTTACAAGAAGAAAACAAACAACCCCATCAAAAAGTAGGCAAAGGATATGAACAGACACTTCTCAAAAGAAGACATTTATGCAGCTGACAGACACATGAAAAAATGCTCATCATCACTGGCCATCAAAGAAATGCAAATCAAAACCACAATGAGATACCATCTCACACCAGTTAGAATGGTGATCATTAAAAAGTCAGGAAACAACAGATGCTGGAGAGGATGTGGAGAAATAGGAACACTTTTACACAGTTGGTGGGACTGTAAACTAGTTCAACCATTGTGGAAGACAGTGTCGCAATTCCTCGAGGATCTAGAATTAGAAATACCATTTGACCCAGCCATCCCATTACTGGGTATATACCCAAAGGATTATAAAACATGCTGCTATAAAGACACATGCACACGTATGTTTATTGTGGCACTATTCACAATAGCAAAGACTTGGAACCAACCCAAATGTCCAACAATGATAGACTGGATTAAGAAAATTTGGCACATACACACCATAGAATACTATCCAGCCATGAAAAAGGATGAGTTCATGTCCTTTGTATGGACTTGGATGAAGCTGGAAACCATCATCCTTAGCAAACTATCACAAGGACAAACAACCAAATATCACATGTTCTCACTCATAGGTGGGAATTGAACAATGAGAACACATGGACACAGGAAGGGGAACATCACACACCAGGGTCTGTTGTGCGTTGGGGGGAGGGGGGAGGGATAGCATTAGGGGATATACCTAATGTAAATGACGAGTTAATGTGTGCAGCACAACAACATGGCACATGTATACGTATGTAACCAACCTGCACGTTGTGCACATGTACTCTATAACTTAAAGTACAAAAAAAAAAAAAAAAGCCCTGCACAACAAAGGAAACAATCAACAAAATGAAGATGGAACCTACAGTCATAAAAGAAATGAGATTCCATTATTTGCAACAACATGGATGAAAATGGAATTCGTTAGGTAAAATCAGTCAGGAACAGAAAGACAAACTTCACATATTCTCACTTATTTGTGGGAGCTAAAAATTAAAACAAGCTCATTTTTTGAGGAAGATGATGGTGTATAGGAGACAGGGTTAATGTTCAATTTCCATCTGGATGGACAGAACAGTGTGTGGAGGCTCACACTATGAACATTTGCTCCAAGAACCACCACAAGAATGCACGAGGAAAACTGAAGGAATTCACAGACCCTTTGAAAGAAGTGTCATGCTGTTGCAAATTCCATGAGACAGGAGAAAAACTGAATTCCCAAAGTGCGAGTGGGGAAAACCTGCCTCAGAACATGCATCCTTACTGGGGAATCTGAAAATCCAGATCACAGGAGAAGGATTTAACCTTACCCAGAGCTGAAATGAATTTAGGGAGCTGCGCAAAATATGAAAGTGGAAGCAGCAGCAGGAAAAGCCTTGTAGGCATTCTAGGTCCCCAGCTCAAGCCCAGGGAAGCCATCCCTGACTATATTCCACTGGGGCCCTTGGAGAAGGCAGCCACCAAAATTAAAGAGGGGTCACAGGGTGAAAGAAGCTTCCAATTGAAATTTGGGATAATTTCGACTGGGCATGAATTTTCTTAAGCAGAATCCAGAAGCAAATAGGAACTGCTGGAGACATGAGTGCAAGAGTCCACTGCCAATATTGTGGGCAGATGGGGAGGGAGAGGCCTAAAAGCTGTGCTTGCTTTCTTAGCAGGGAAGCTTACTGTCTGGGGGAAGGTCTGAGCGGGGCACTGTGGAGCAAGGCTTCTTGCCAACCATGTAGGAACTGGGTAAGGCCTTTCATTAGTAACTATCCCCCAATTCCCTGGCAAACTATGACACTGCAGAGGCAGCCATAATCCCCTATGGAACTTAACTGTATTGGTCTGAGAGCCACCCCCTCCTACCTCCACAGTGGCAATAGCAAGCCCCACCCAAGGAGAGTCTGAGCCCAGATCTGCCTAAATCTGCTCCCACCTGATAGTATTTCTCTACCCACCCTGGTACCTGAACACAAAACAAATAAACTCTTCAGGGTCTTATGACCCATCACTTGAGAAACCAGAATACTCAACCTGGCCAACTTAGGGCAAGCTTAAGCTTAGATAGATCCCCCTACTACTACGGCAGCTGGTGCTCTCTTGAAAGAGTCACCTCCTTGCTGGAGGCCAACCAACTTAGGCCATTACAGCAACTCATGACAGAATAACCCTGCTCCCAGGAAGGAGAAAACAACAGCTAATTCTACTGCCTGCAACATCCTGGTTAACCAGAGGTCCTGAGCCTGTCTGTGTGACAACTTCACTGCTAGCATAGCCAACATTCAAGGAAGCCAGTGGACTAAACATATCTACAACCAAGGACTCTCACAGAGTCTATTTCACTCCACTGCCACCTCCACCAGAGCAGGTGCTGGTATCCATGGCTGGGACACCTGAAGACAGATCATATCAGAGGACTATTTTCAGACATTCCCCAGCACCAGCCCAGAGCCTGGTAGTCCTGCTGAATGGCTAGACCCAGAAGAGAAATAATAATCACTGAAGTCTGGCTCTCCGGAAGACCCATCCCTAGGGGAAGGGGAAGGGTACCACATCAAGGGATCATCCCATGGGACAAAAGAATCTAAAGAGCAGGCCTTGAGTTCCAGGCCTTTCCACTTAAATAGTCTACCCAAATGAGAAGGAACTAGAAAAGTACTCCAGTAATATGACAAAACAGGGATTTGTAAGACCCCCTAAAAGATAAAGATTACATTAGCTCCCCAGTAATGGATCCAAACCAAGGAGAAATCTCTGAATTGTCAGATAAAGAATTCAGAAGGTTGATTATTAAGCTACTCAAGGAGATACCAGAGAAAAATGAAAATCAACTTAAACAAATTTTTTAAAATGCAGAATATGGTTGAAAAATTCTGCAGAGAAATAGATATAAAGAAAACAACAATCAGAACTTCAGGAAATAAAAGACACACTTAGAGAAATACAAAATGCACTGAAAAGTTTCAACAATAGACTTACAACAAGTAGAACTTCAGAGCTTAAAGACAAGGCCTTCACATTAATCCAGTCAGACAAAGACAAAGTAAAAAGGGTTTTAAAAAATGAACAAACCCTCCAAGAAACTTGGGATTATGTTAAATGGTCAAACATAAGAATAATTGGTGTTCCTGAGGAGAAATCTAACAGTTTGGAAAGCTTATTTGAGGGAATAATTGAGGAAAACTTCCCTTGCCTTGCTAGAGATCTAGACATCCAAGTACAAGACTCTCAAAGAACATTGCGGAAATTCATCACATAAAGATAATCACTTAGGCACATAAATCATCAGGTTATCTTAAGTCAAGATGAAGGAAAGAATCATAAGAGATGTGAGACAAAAGCATCAGGTAACCTATAAAGGAAAACCTATCAGATTAACAGCAGGTTTCTCAGCAGGAATCTTACAAGCCAGCCAAGAATTTTGTATTCGTCAATCTAAGTTTCATAAATGAAGGAGAGATAAAGTCTTTTTTAGATGAACAAATGCTGAGAGAATTCACCAATACCAAGCCAGCAATACAAGAAATGCCAGAAGAATTTCTAAATCTTGAAATAAAACCTTGAAATATACCGAAATAGAACCTCCTTAAAGCATAAACCTTACAGGACCTATGAAACAATAACACAGTGAAAAAAACAAGGCATTGAATCACAACTAGCATGATGAATAGAACGGTACTTTACATTTCAATACTAATGTTGAATGTAAATGGCCTAAAGGCTCCACCCAAAACAAGCTCGTCTAACTTGCAGCCTGCAGGCTGCATGCAGCTCAGGATAGCTTTGAATACAGCCCAACACAAATCCATAAACTTTCTTAAAACATTATGACTTTTTTTGTGATTTTTTTCTTTTTTTAGCTCATCAGCTATTGTTAGTGTATTTTATGTGTGGCCCAAGACAATTCTTCTTCTTCCAACATGACCCAGGGAAGTCAAAGATTAGACACCCTGAATTAAAAGATACAGACTGGCAGAATGAATAAAAATCCACTGGGCAAATATTTGCCTTCCTCAAGAGACTCACCTAATACATAAAGATTCACATAAACTTAAGGTAAAGAGATTGAAAAAGATATTTCACACAAATGAAAACTAACAGCAAGTAGAAGCAGCTATTCGTAAATCAGACAAATCAGACTTTAAAGAAACAGTTAAAAAAAAAGACAGAGGGACATTATGTAATGATACAGGGATTGGTCCAACAGGAAAATATCACAATCCTAAATATTTATGCACCTAACACTGGAGCTTCCAAATTCGTAAGACGAATATTCCCAGACCTAAGAAATGAGATAGAGGGCAATGCAATAACAGTAGGGTACTTTAATACTCCACTAGCAGCACTAGACAGGCCATCAAGACAAAGTTAACAAAGAAATAACGGACATAAACTATACCCTGGAACAAATGGACTTAGCAGATATTTACAGAACATTCTACCTAACAGCTGCAGAATATACATTCTTTTCATCAGCACATGAAACATTCTCCAAGATAGACCATATGAAAGGTCATAAAACAAGTCTTGATAAATTTAAGAAAATCAAAATTATATCAAGTATCTTCTTAGACCACAAATGGAATAAAACTGGAAATTAACTCCAAAAGGAACCCTCAAAACTATACAGATACATGGAAATCAATCTGCTGTTGAATAATCTTTGGGTTGACAATAAAATTAAGATGGAAATTTAAAAATTCTTTGAACTGAGTGATAATAGTGACACAACTTATCAAAATCTCTGGGATACAGCAAAAGCGGTACTAAGAGGAAATTTCATAGCATTAAATGCCTACATCAGAAAGCCTGAAAGAGTACAAATAGACAATTTAAGGTCACCCCTCAAGGAACTAGAGAAACAAGAACAAACCAATCCCAAACACAGCAGAATAAAAGAAATAACAAAGATCAGAGCAGAACTAAATGAAATTGAAACGAAAACAATACAAACAATATATGAAACAAAAAGATGCATTTTTTTAAAAGATAAACAAAATTGATAGACCATTAGTGAGATTAACAGAGAAAAGAAGAGAGAAGACAGTCTGTAGTGTTCTTTTAGTGTTAAGTCCTTTCCTGGTTTTGGTATTAGGGTAATACTGGCTTCATAGAACGATTTAGGGAGGATTCCCTCTTTCTCTATCTTTTGGAATACTTTCAGTAATATTGTGGCAATTCTTCTTTGAATACCTGGTAGAATTCAGCTGTGAATCCATTTGGTCCTGGCCTTTTTTTGTTGTTGGCGAATTTTTTATTACTGTTTCAATTGCACTACTTTTTATTGGACTGTTCAGAGTTTGTTGAGGATTTTTGCATCTATGTACATCAGGAATATGAGTCTGTTGTTTTCTTTTCTTGTTATGTTCTTCAGCATATCAAAAAGATAATACACCATAATCAAGTGAGTTTCATACCAGGGAGGCAGGGATGGTTAAATATATGCAAGTCAGTAAATATAATACAAGACATAAGCAGAATTAAAAACAAAGATCATATGATCATCTCAATAGATGCAGAAAAAGCATTTGACAAAATCCAGCATCACATTGTTATTAACAGCCTCAGCAAATTGGCATAGAAGGGACATACCTCAAGGTAATAAAAGCCATCTATGACAAACCCACAGCCAACGTTATACTGAATGGGGAAAACTTGAAAGCATTCTCCCTGAGAACTGGAACAAAACAAGGCTGCAACTTTTACCACTTATATTCAACATAGTACTGGAAGTTCTATCCAGAGCAATCATGAAAAGAGAAGAAATAAAGGGTATTCCAGATCAGTAAAGAGGAAGTCAACCCGTAGTTGTTTGCTGATGATATGATTATATACCTAGAAAACCTAAAGACTCATCCAAAAAGCTCCTAGATGGGATAAATACATTCAGTAAGGTTTCAGGATACAAAATCAATGTGCACAAATCAGTAGCACTGCTATACATCAACAACAACCAAGCAGAGAATCAAGTCAAGAGCTTAAGCCTTTTTATAACAGATGCAAAGATAAAATAAAATACTTAACAATATACCTAACCAAAGAAGTGAAAGAGCTCTGCAAGGAAATTTAAAATTTCCCATACTCATTGATGGGTGGAAACAATACTGTGAAAATGATTATACTGCCAATAGCTACCTATAGATTCAATGCAATTTCCATCAAAATGCCATCATCATTCTACAAAGAACTAGAAAAAATAATTCTAAAATTCATATGGAACCAAAAATGACCCCATATAGCCAAAGCAAGTCTAAGCAAAAAGAACACATCAGGAGGCATCACATTACCCAACTTCAAACTGTACTACAAGGCTGAAGTTACCAAAACAGCATGATACTGGTATAAAAATAGACACATAGACCACTGGAACAGAATAGCAAACCCTGAAATAAAGCCAAATACTTACAACCAACTGATCTTAGACAAAGCAAACAAAAATATAAAGTGAGGAAAGTACCTCCTATACAATAAATGGTGCTGGGATAATTGGCAAGCCACATGTAGAAGAATGAAACTAGATTTTCATCTCTCACCTTATACAAAAATCAATTCAGGATGGGTCAAAGACTTAAATCTAAAACCTGAAACCATAAAAATTCTGAAAGACATCAGAAAAACTCTTCCAGACATTGGCTTAGGCAAAAAGCCCATGAACCAAGAACCTAAAAGCAAATGCAATGAAAGCAAAAATAAATAGATGGGACCTAATTAAATTATAAAGCTTCTGCACAGCAAAAGAAATAATCAGTAGGGTAAACAGGCAACCCACAGAGTGGGATAAAATATTTGCAAACTATGCATCCAACAAATGACTAATATCCAGAATCTTCAAGAAACTCAAGCAAATCACCAAGAAAAAAACAAATATTCCCATCAAAAAGTGGGCAAAGGACATGAACAGACATTTCTCAAAAGAAGATATACAAATGTCCAACAAACATATTAAAAAAAAAAAGCTCAATATCACGAATTATCAGGGAAATGCAAGTTAAAACCTCAACGAGATACCACCTTACTTTTGCAAGAATGGTCATAATTAATAAATAAAAAATAAAAAATGTTGGCATAGATATGGTGAAGAGGGAACACTTTTACACTGTTGGTGGGAATGTAAACTAGTACAATCACTATGGAAAACAGTGTGGAGATTCCTTAAAGCACTAAAAGTAGAACTACCATTTGTTCTAGCAATCCCACTGCTGGATATCTACCCAGAGGAAAAGAAGTCATTATGTGAAAAAGACACTGGCACATGCACCTCCACGTTTATAGAGGCACAATTTGCAACTGCAAAAATATAGAACCAGCCTAAATGCCCATCACCAATGAGTGGACAAAGAAAATATGATATATATCACATGTATGTGTGTGTGTGTTTGTGTGTGTGTTATATACACACACCATGGAATACTACTCAGCCATAAAAAGGAATAAAATAATGGCATTTGCAGCAACCTGGATGGAATAGGAGACCATTATTCTAAGTGAAATAACTCAGGAATGGAAAACCAAATATCATATGTTCTCACTTATAAGTGGGAGCTAGATATATATTAATATAAAAATATCTAAAATGCCCTTAGCACAGTGCATGGTATATAGAAGATGCTTAATAATTGTGTACAGAAGAAATGCCTAGATGTGTCTATTAGTCCCTAATGTCCACTGATTCTCATTTATCCTGAGTGTGTAGATGCTTACATTGAGAAAAGGACATTCATAAAGAGCTTCTTTAAAGTTGCAATCTACCTTTTCTCCAATAAGACACTTCTCTTGGTCTGAAGCGAAGGCTGGGTAGGGGGACCCACTGGAAACTAATGCAGTTGCTGAAGCAGCAAATTAACCTACTATACAAGGAGAGGGGCCTCAGGGCTCGAAGCAGGGACTTAATAAGGTGAAATGTGATTAATAGATTGGGACTCAAGAACAAGAGCCTTCTTAATGCAAAGAAATGTCCTGAATGTAAGCTCAGAGTGAAATGGCCCAAAAGCTGCCAGTGATCTGAAGCACAGAGAGGAAAGAGGCTTTGGCTGGACCAGTGTAGAGCTCAGTCTTCCCAGGTCAATGGCCCTGCATGAGCAGAGCTGTGCTGCCAGAGCCAGAAGGGGCTTTCTGAAACTCCCTGATCAACTTCTGTTTAACAGGTATGAAAATGAAGACCTAAAGGAAGAGACTTACCCATTGGTGTGTAGGTATGTGGAATCAGAATTGTTTCCAGAGTACATAATTTGATCCTTGAACCATGCAGAGTTTAGGGGTGCTGACACCCTGCACAGTCAAAAATTCACATATAAATTTAACTCACCAGAAACTTAACTACTGATAGCCTACTGTTGATTGGTAGTCCTATCAATAACTTATACAGTTGATTAACATGTTTGGTGTGTTATATGCATTATTTACTGTAGTCTTACAAGAAAGTAAGCTAGAAAAAAAGAAAATGTTATTAAGAAAATCATAAGGAAAAGACAATATATTTACTATTCATTAAGTGCAATTAGATCATAAAGTTCTCTATCCTCATCTTCACATTAAGGAGGCTGGGGAAGAGAAGGTGTTGGTCTTGTTGTCTCAGGAGTGGCAGAGGCAGAAGAAAAGCTGTGCATGAGTGTAACCCTACAGTTCAAACTTCTGTTGTTCAAAGGTCAACTGTGTTTGCTTGTTTAGTACAAATGAAAATCAAACCACTTCAGAACTAGATGCATAGGCTCTGAAAATAAGCTCAATTTATCATGGGAGACCTGTTCTTTTCACTTTTCTCTGCTGTGAACTGAATTGTGGCTCCCTTTGAAGAATGAGGGCAAGAGCTCCTGGTGCTAAATAAGAAAATAAACTATTGATATCGTGTCTGAGGGGATTTTAACCAGCCTTTCCAGAATTGTTGCAGTGACATTTTGCCCATCAAAGGTCATGTATCCTGGTGCTCAAGACCCGTTGGCCTGAGCTAACTTGAAGGTGACACAAGCTGAAGTTGTGGTTTTTAGAATGTCAGTCTACTCCAAATATAAGACTGCATTGTTCTTTGTGGTCATAGGTGTCATCTGGCTGTTTGTCGCTGTAATTAAAACCTAATTCTTGTATTTTGTTATAAACATCACACATTTATGTATAGACTTCAATGTACACACTCAGCTGCTCATGCACTTTATCACATCTAATGGGTACTATATATGGCTGAAGCCCTACTCAGCTCTTGCCAGACACCTGTTTATTTTAGAAAATGGTAGCCTTGGTATGGTTACAAAAATGCTTTGTTACATCTTGAGGACAGTAATTGCATCCTTTCCCTAAATTTCATTAAGAGGATTAAATGAAATTACTTAAGATTACTTGCTCTAGAAACATTATTAAAATTGTTAAAATACAGTCCATATCATAATTTTTAAAAATATTTCTCAAATTCTCTTATGTATATTAGCAGGAAGTTGTGTGTCTCCTCAAATTCCTGATCATTCTTTCATCTTGTCTTTAATCCTGTGGTATTTGCTCAGTTGACCAGACAGCTCATTTCGACTTCAATGGCACATGGAAGGGAATACAAAGCCTGTTCAGTTTCCATCCTTTTCCATCCTTCACTGTATGGGTTCCTGCGGCCAAGTGGTATCAACATTGTAGACTGTCCATGGACACTCTAATATGCCTTGGTCTTCACTGCTGTCATCTGGATTCTTGCCAGCATTTTAAGGGAGCTCAGCTGTGGTTCCCCAAAATACAAAACAACTACTGAGAAGGCTGGGTAGGAGGGTAGTTTCTTGTATCAGCCACTGGTTCTGCTGGAACTCTCTTTCATGTTTTTTTGCCTCTAAGTTGACCACGGATCATCAGTGAAGCTTTTTGAGGTTAATTTTATTCCAGAAGCCTGGCTGTTTAGTAGATCCTGTATCTTTATTAGAACCTCTCTTGACCTCTCTTATAGACACCTCCTTCCCCTTTACACTTTGTAAACTCAAAATCTAAGAGAGAAAAATAAGGATTGTCATTTATTTCCTTTCTGAAAACAGCTCTGATTTCCCAGGCTAAATTGATCTACTTCCTGGCCAGTGTCCAGCTTTGTATAACATAGATTTTAGAAAACGGTAGCCTTGATATGGTTACAAAAATGCTGTGTTACATCTTGAGGACAGTAATTGCATCCTTTTCCTAAATTTCATTAAGAGGATTATCCAAGTGATCTTTTGTAGGATTAAGAACTTCGGGTTTTTTTTTTTAAATATAAAGCTGGATATTGTTGCAATAGATGATAGCATAAGGCGCCATGGTAAACTAAAAATACCCATGGATTAAGAATCAGGAGATGTTTAAGGAGGGTTGACATAGGTGATCCCTAGGGTGTCAGCAGGGGAAGAAAATCAAAACACCCATTGTTTACTAAGTGCTTGTTATGTATTCAACACCTGTTATATGCAGTTATAAACTTTAAGCAACCTGAAGATAGGTGACATCTATTTTATTTACTTTTTATGTCAGTGCTCATCACAGTACCTGACACAGTTTAGAAGTTCAACAACAACTTCTAGAATAATTTTCAGGATAAGTGAATGAACAAGAGGAGGTAATATTTTTAATTTATTTTTTAAAGTGGGAAATTAGGCTTAAAGACGTTAGGTAACTTGCTCAAATTTACACAACTGTTGTGTAGAAAAGCTTAGGATTTAATAATGAATGATCTCTTTGATTCTACAATATATTATCTTCCCTATGCCATGGGCTTTTATTCAACAGATAGATAATTATTTAGATATCTTTTAGTTTAGGGGAAGTTCGGTAGAATTGAAATGCAATGTAGGGAGCCACATTAATCTTAGTTATGTATTAAGTAGGTAACCCAAGCAGCTGTTTGGAGAACTAAAACGCAGCAAGCGTGAAAACAGATTCCATTTGGTAGGCTACAGCAGCTGTCTAGGCAGTATGTAATAATGGATAGGACTACAGTGACTACATTGGACATGGAGGAAAATAACCAGGTTTGAGATGTGTTATGAGATGAATTGAGGTGACTTGCTGATGGGCAAGAAAGAAAGAGAAGAATTAAGGAAAAGCCGGGCATAGTGGCTTGCACCTGCAATCCCAGCACTTTGGAAGGCTGAGGCGTGTGGATCACCTGAGGTCAGGAGTTCGCGACCAGCCTGGCCAACATGGTGAAACCCCGTCTCTACTAAAAGTACAAAAAATTAGCAGAGCGTGGTGGCATACACCTGTAATCCCAGCTACTCTGGAGGCTGAGGCAGGAGAATTGCGTGAACCCGGGAGGCGGAGGTTGCAGTGAGCCAAGGTTGCGCCGTTGCACTCCAGCCTGGGTAACAAGAATGAAAGTCCATCTCAAAAATAAATAAATAAATAAATAAATAAATAAATAAATAAATAAATAAATAAATAAGGTTTTTTTAAAAGACTTTTGGCTTAAATACTGAATGGATGGTAATACCATTCCCTAAGTTATAAAAGTCTATGGGAGGCATAATTTTGCAGTATGGGGAACCAAGAGTTTTCTTTTGAACATATATTCTTTGATATGTATGTTAGGTAAGCAGGTAGCTATGTGAAGTAGGCTTCTGGATACATGATCCTGGACTTCTGGAAAGGGATGAGTGTGGGAGACATGTACATGGGAGTCTCTGGCTTGCATAGAGTACTTAAAGCCCTGGGCCCCTAACTGTAAAGGTCTCTTCAGCAAAGTAGCTCAGGGTAGCCAGAAAACCACAGCATACTTGGCAGGAACACTCATTATGTCCTCACAGTGGCTTGAGTTGCTGGTTGCTCCCTAGGTTTGGCAGAAAGGTTGAAAGCAAAAACAGTCTTCACTGAGAATTCCCTGTAGCACAATATCAGATTTAAAAACTAGCAGGGTACACTCTGCTGTAGACATAGACTAAGCACAGACTCAACCACTACAAGTCCTAAAGAAATTAAAATGAGCTTTTGGATTTGTCAAAACACATTAACAATATCAAACGTTTAGATATGAGCAAGTAGGATCTGATGACTATTTTCTCCTATCCTAGAAAAGAAAACACACATCAACAGGCCACACCCTGGAGATTTGATGCACTGAAGCTTTCAGAAGTCTTGCATGCTGTTTCCACTGGAGAACTGATTGTGTCACATTGCCATGATTCATCCAGTGTCTGCCTTCCCTTATACTCTGGGCAGAGATGAACCCTTCTTTGCCATCTCTCCAGCCGCATAAAGTCACTGAAGCATTATATTGGCTCAGTCATTGTGGGTTGATGAATCCAGTGAGCACTTGAGAAGGTCCATTTTCAAAATATCTCACAGGACAACTTGATGGAAAATAAAAATAATTCTTTTGTGAAATTTCATTTCTATAAGCAGCAATGAGTCTTCATATTTGTTGAGTACTTATTTTCCTGTCACCAACATTTGCTGCAATTCCCTTTCTATAAGATCAAAGGACCATATATATATAATAAATGATCATAGGGTGTTTGTTTGTTTTGAGTTGGAGTCTTGCTCTGTTGCCCAAGCTGGAGTGCAGTGGCATGATCTCGGCTCACTGCAACCTCCGCCTCCTGGGTTCAAGTGATTCTCCTGCCTCAGCTGCCCAGGTAGATGTGATTACAGGTGCCCGCCACTACACTCGGCTAATTTTTGTATTTTTAGGAGAGACAGGGTTTCACCATGTTGGCCAGGCTGGTCTCAAACTCCTGACCTCAAGTGATCCCCCCTCCTCAACCTCCCAAACTGCTGGGATTACCGGTGTAAGCTTGGCCTGATCATACTGTTTAATTTTTTAAAGCCTAATTGTATAAAGCCCTGCTTTCATTCTAGCCACTTGGATCAAGTCAACTACTATTTGTGACTAAATCCAGTGATGCTTTTTGACTTCCATTTTACTGCCTGATACAGTTTGGCTATGTCCAAAGGGGGCAATAGCAGAAAAAAAGAAGCAAACACTTCTAAGACTTCAAATTGTGAAGCATTACGTTTGATCCTGCAACCTACATTAGCTCATGATATTACTACAAGAAATCCCTAGGGTAAGTATTTTTATTCCCATTTTGCAGATAATGCCCAGAAAACTTTACTTTTTTGTCTCAGGTCATGTAGTTTGCCGGAATTTGAAGGGCTGCCACGTGAAAAGGTAATAAACTTGTGGTGTTTTGTTCCAGAGGAAACTCCTAAAACAAATGAGTTCAAATTTCAGGTAGGAAGCTTAGGTATGATATCAGAGAGCAATATCTAACAATTAGAGCTATATTACAATGGTTTGGGGTTTTCAGAGAAATCAGGCAATAAGGTTAAAAAACCATTTATCAGAATTGCTGAAACTTCCTTCTGGGGTGGAAGAAGGAATTAACCTCTGAATCCAGCTACAATATCTCAATAGTCATACACCAGTTTCTTTACATATTTACTATATGTAAGACAACTTGAGAGAAACTTTCCACAAATTACCTTATTTAAACCTGCTGAAAACTCCACAAGGTAGATTATTTTCATTTTACATATGGGAAAACTAAGGCATAGGTAGGCAAGAACAATTTTCCAAAGCCACGCAGCTATTATGTGTTGGAGCCAGAATTTTAACTGAGTTTGCCTTACAAGAAGAGTTTCTCAGCTTCAACACTATTAAAGTTTCGGTTCAGATAACTCTCTATTGTGGCGACTGTCTAGTGTATTGTTGGATATTTAGCAGTATCCCTGACTTTTACTCACTAGATGCCAGTAGTGCCCCTTCCCCAGCTTGTGACAACCAAAAATACTCTAGACATTGCCCAATGTCCCTTAGGGGTAAAATGGTCCCAGTTCAGAACCACTGCCTTACCAGAAAGTATCCTACTCTGCCTGAGTCCAATGGTGTCATTTCTGCTCTTTGCACCCAACATTAAACACTTGTAAAGTCTATACTCATCATGAAGAATTTCCTTCTTTTCACTAAACATTTCCTTCAGCAATATAAAAAGCCTGCACTAGTTCTATAATTTTTTATTATTTTAACTAATTCTTCAAGAAAGTTTAGGAAGCCCTTCACATTATGGAAAAGTGAGTTCAAAAAGGATGATGTTCCATAGTTTACTGCTGTTATTATTGTTGTTCAGATCATTATTGATCATCTCTCCTATTGTCATTTTTGTTTTAATGTAAAAATAACCAGACATGACTTAATTTTACAGTAACAGCATCACTTCCCATCTGATTTGAGTTCAATAGGGATCACCGTAGATCTGCACTTGGCTGTGCATTTGTCATACTGTGCCAGGAATAAGCTTCTTTCCTTGTCTGTCCACATTTGGCTGCAGAATCTTTGCTCCATTATCAGTCTGTGTCTACCTTTGTCTGGATAGCTATCTATAATAATATACGAACTGTTTTAACCTCATAAGTTAGTAAAGAGAGACAGAATATTAGCTGAGAATGATAGGGTCACACTATGAAATAAAAAATATAATTTGTTAAACAGTCAATGAAGACAACCTTACTTATGCAACTATCTAAAATATAAAATAATGGACACTTGGTGTTAATTTTTGCTTTTCCTGACCAAGCAACTTGAAAAATATTTGATCAAGAAAGGTGTCTTAGTCCATTTTCCATTGCTATAACAGAATACCACAGACTGGGTAATTTATAAATAATAGAGGTTTATTTAGCTCATGGTTCTAGAGTCTGGGAAGCCTGAAAACATGGCAGTGGCATCTGGTGAGGACCTTGTGCTATGTCAAGATATTGTGGAAGGCATTCCCTGATGAGACAGGACAAGCATGCTAGCTCAGGTCTCTCTTTTACTCTTTATACAGCCACGAATACCATCATGGGGGCCACACCCTGATGACCTCATTTTATCTTAATTACCTCCCAAAAGCCCCGTCTCCAGATTCCATCATCATATTAATCTGGGGATTAAGTTTTCAATACAAAATTTGGGAGACACATTCAAACCGTAGCAGAAGTCTCAGAAGAATGCCTCTGGTCTTTTCTTAAATGTGCTTTAAAAAACAAACAAATAATAATAAAAAAAAAACCTGAATTCCAAGACAACCACTGATGGTCTTTTGGGACACAATTTATATACATCTTTTTCATGATGAAGATCTTAAGTATAGTAAGATCTAGGAAAAATTAAATTGGGGAAATCAGACCACATAACATCAAACATACATTTCTGACAATTTTATACACTGGACTGTCTCCTTCTCAATAGAAAGTCTCATATATTTTTTTTGCTCAGAGTGGTAACCATCATGTCCTGAGAGGTGAGTCCCAACATTCATGCACTGGTGATCACAAGTTACTCTCCGCTGGCTATGACAAGTCCTACTAAACTCTGTCTCAAAGCTGTGGCAGTGCCAGTCAGTTCTTACCTCAAATAGCCTCATGATTTCAGTTTACTAGTCCAACATTCACTGAGCATTTTTGTAGAAGCTGAGAAGACATAGACTGATATAATATGGTCTCTGACCTCAAAGAGCATTCAGTCTGATCAAAACTGAAATAAAAACAGATAATTAAAAGTGTTTAGCCAATGTGATGGTGGAAGAAAGGATGGAATGCTGAGGGGTCCAGAGGAAGACATTCTCTTACAAGCCCTGAGAAGAAATTTGAGGAAGTTTTGAGGATTCTGAGGAGAGTCTAGAAGGACAAATGAGAGTTGGAAAAGGAAGGGGAGACAGAGATCCCAAAGGCAGTAACAAGTAAAGGTCAAGAGTATAATGAAAGCATAGTGCTGTGAGAGCCACAAGTAAGATAGAGAAAAGAATGGTGGTAGTGGGAGAGTGACTGCCTCAGAGGAAGCTAGGTTTTAACTGTGCTGTTTATGACTTCATCCCTGGTTCTTAGCATTTAGAAAAATGGTTTTCAACCTTGGCTGAATATTGAAATCATCTGTGAAACTTTAAAATATAACTGATGCCTATACCTCTACCCACAATTTTTTTAGTTGATCTGGAGCAAAGCATGAATATTCCAGAAAATAAATTCACATGACATGTTCCAAAATGGCGGAGTACTTAGAGTACTAGTTGTCTGAGATGTAAGAAGTAAAAAGTTTCTCTTTCTCTCTCTTCCTTTCTCTTTCCCTCTCCCTCTCACTTTCCATCTCCCTCTTCCTCCACCCTCTTTTTCTTATTCTCTTTCTCACTATCAGAAAGCACTTTAGCTCTAAGAACTCTATTGCTGAAAATCACTATAGGTTTCAGAACATTATTTAAATTTGTAAAAGGACAGAAGTGAAGAGCTATACTATGTATAGATTTAAAAGTTCAACAAAATATATTTATTTAGTCAATTCAATCAATAACTAAAGAGAACTTTCTGTGGTTCTAGTTACTCCTCTAGGCTCTCAGAATACAGGGATAAACCAAAAAGCCAAAAGTTTTCCTCTCTGATAGCTTTGATTTTAGTGGGAGATTCAGAAAACAAATAAACTAACAAATATATACTATATTGGATATTTTAGAAAAAGGTCTTGAAGAAAAATAAATCAGGAGTGAGGGAAAAGATAGTGACTGCAAATGTATTTCAGACTGGAATATCAGAAATATCCTCTAAGGAGAAGACATTTAGATAAAGTCTTAGATGGAGTGAAGGACAAGTCTATGACAGTATATGAGAGAAGATAATTCCTGGAGTAAGAACACTGAAAACAAATTCCCTAAAGTTAAAATTTGTTTGGCACATTTAAAGACTAATGAAGCCAGAGTGACTGGATACAGTGAACAAGGGAACAAGTAGGAGGAAGTGAGGTTGGCCATAACACGAAGGAACTTATAGGTCATGGTAAGATATGGATTCTATCTAAGCACGCAGGAAAGCTAATAAAAGATTTTGAGCAGAAAAGTGACACGAACAGATAAAATTTTAATGGATTACTTGGTTTTTTTATAATAAAAAATGGAATGAACTTTACCAGATAAGAGTAGAAAAGAGAGACTAGATAAAAAACTATTGCTTTGGTCTAGCAAACAATGACTGGTTGTGGAGTAGGCTAGGGAGATATTAAAGGAGATGGTGAGAAAAGGTTAGTCTTGGGTTATAGTTAAAAGTTAGAGCCAATGGGTATAGCTATTTGATGATGAATTTGAAAATAATATAGGAGGAGAGCACCTTTCAGTGTGGGGCATGAAGAGGTTAGTTTCGGATAAAGTAATAAGTAATCCTTGATAGGCATCCAAGTAAAGATGCCCAGTCACAAGTTAAATATCTGAATGCAAACTCCTAGAGAGATCAGAGCTGGAAGAGTAAATTTTGGAGTTATCAATTTGATAGATAGTGTTAAAAATCATGGACTTATATGAGGAGGAGGTCTGAAAACTGAATCTTGGAGTCTTTCAGTGTTTAGAAATTGAGAAAGTGAGAAGAAGAAATTGAGTGTAGAAGACTGGCAATGAAGCAGAAAGAAAACTGGGGGATGTAGAATCCTGGAACCCCACTGTCAATTGTTACAAAAAGGATGAAGAAGATGCAGACTAAGAATTAACCAATAGATCTTGGGATATAGAAGTCATTGCCTACCTTGATAAGAGTGAATTAAATGGAGTCAGAGTAATGAAAACCTAATAGGAATGAGTGTAAGAGATAATAGGAGAAGTGAAAACCAAAAGTATACACAAGTATTTTGTGAAAAGGAGCAGTATCTTGAGTAAGACTTGTCTAAAGGGAGCTTTTTGTCATTGCTGTTTATTTTATTTGGGAAGATATAATAGCATATTTGTATCCTAATGGGAAAAATTCATTTAAGAAGGAAAAAAATAAAGATACAAGGAAAGGAGATAAAGTGAAACTACAAAGACCTGTGTAGGCAAAAAGCATAAAATCTAGTTCACAAGTCTAGGAGTTGGTCTCAATTGGAGCAAGGGCTGTTCATCTATTTTAACAGTAGAGAAACAGAGTGCTTAGATGCTACTAAGGTGGTAAATATGTTAGTGAAAGGACTGGGAAATTCTCTTCTAATTGGTTCAATTTTCTCAGCCACAAAAAGAGAATAAAGTAGTTGAGTGCAGATGAGAATGGCGAGTGAATGAAAAGGTGGCATTTAAATGAGTTAATTTAGAATTGCAGAGGAACACCTGAGGTTCTCATGAGGTGAATGTCATGTTCTGTCATGTTCAGCTCCTGGAGTATGGGGCCAGAGTATGAGCAAGATTTTAATTTCACCAATGTGAGGTCTTGCCATTTGAATATTGTGGTAGGCAGAATAATGGCCCCATTAGGATGTCCATGTCCTATCTTCAGGAATCTGTGATTCTATTAGGTTATGTAACAAGGCAGAATTAAGGTTGCCGATGAAACTGACTTGTCAATCAGCTGGCCAGAAATGGAGGAGATTATTCTCTGTTATCTGACTTGGGCCAACGTAATCACAAAGATAACAAAGATGCTTATAAGTGAAAGAGAGAGGCAGAACAGTGTTGGTGTCAGAGTTATGTGATGTGAGAAAGACTTGATCACTCATCGCTAACTTTGAAGATGGAAGGAATGCATCAGTGCAGGCAGTCTCTAGAAACTGGAAAAGTCAAGGAAATGGATTCTCCCATAGAACCTCCAAAAAGGAACATAGCCCTGCCGACACCTTGATTTTAGCTTGTGAAACCCATGTATTTTAAAATTTCTGACCTACAAAATCATTAGGTCATGAACTTGTATTAAGCCACTAAATTTGTAGCAATTTATTATGCCAGCAATAGGAAACTAACACAAGTACCCTGGCAAGAGAAAAGCAAGCATGTGATTATAATGCCAGAATATTGGTCTAATATCAGATTGCCACCTGCACCATGCATTAGAGTTCCCAGTGAGGTGCAGGCATTTTAGAAAGGGAGTGCTAGAGAGTCAGAGCTGAAAAGACAGGAGGTGTCCATCAGACAAAGGAGATAATAGAAGCTGAGACTGTTTTCTTTTGTAAGGGAATAATTATAAGTAATAGTCAGATCTAAATCATGACCATAGGTTTGGATAAGTGTAGGTGGCAAGGAGAATAAGATCAGGAAAAGAAGATGGGCTACTGGATAGATCCATGTGCAAGAATATGAAAATCACCAATGAAGATGACAGCAGTAGTAATGGAGAGAAAATTTATGAGATATACTTCTCCTAGCAGGTATCAAGACTTACTTTAAAGCCACATTAATTAAAACTGTTAATTATAACATCAGTAGAACTCAATACATTGCCCAGAGATATACCCCTGCACATAAAGAAGTTATTGAGGTGACATTACAAATTAATAGGTGTAACAGGCTTTTCAAAAATAAAACAGGGACAGTGAACACTCGATTTTTAAAAAAATAAATCTCAAACTCATGCCATATTAAAATATGTATTCCAGATGATTTGAAAATTGAAGCTCCAAATGATAGAACACTTTAAAAGAATTTGAAAAAATACTTATGTACAGTGTGTGTAAGTGTGGGGGGTAGTGTATGTGTGTGTATGTGCACTTATGCATATTTTATTATTGGAAAAGATTCTTGGATGAGATAGAATATCTTACCTTTCAATAAGTTGGCCCTATTCAGTTGAAAAATAACATTCTTTTCTGGTGGACCAAAACTCTGAGTCTATGATGAAAAAAAATAGCTATATACATGAGGGGGATGTGACAAAGCATTTTCTCACCTCTTTTTTTAACCAGTGGACCTATCTCATTTCAAAGAGCAGTGTGAACACAACAGCCATAAATGGTGATTCTTTGTTGAATTGCTGAAGTTTTGCAGTGTATTAGTTTGTTCCCACACTGCTGTACATAAATACCTGAGACTGGGTAATTTATAAAGAAAAGAGGTTTAATTGGATCATGGTTCCACAGGCTGTACAGGAAGAATGGCTGGGGAGGCCTCAAGAAACTTACAATCATGGTGGAAGTTGAAGGGAAGCCAGCATGTCCTACATGGCTGGAGCAGGAGGAAGAGAATGAAGTGGGAGGTGCTACACACTTTTAAACAGCCAGATCTTGTGAGAACTCTATCATGAGACAGCACTAGGGGGATGGTGCTAAACCATTAGAAACCATCTTCATGATTCAATCACCTCCCACCAGGCCCCACCTCCAACATCAGAGATTACAATTCAACATGAGATTTGGGTGGAGAAACAGAGCCGAAGCATATCATGCAGCAAGTGAAATTTCCTTCAATTTCTGGCAAGAGTTTGAGAGTCCTGTATTAGGGGCTTTTCAATGAGTTTTTGTCTCTATATATCATCAGAATTACTTTGAGAGAAGACAGAAGAGAGTATGTCAAGGTCTCATATCATAGTATTATTTTAGAGCAGAAATACTCTGAAATGAATCTTGGAATAACCAGGGGTTACCCAGGTGAAGACAGGGATGTTGGGTGAAACAAAGGCATCTGTGAATTATCGGCCTGGATAAAAAGGAGGAAATGATGGTGGATGGGCTGATCCTTAGACAAGACCTATTGCCTCTTTTAGCCTTGGTTAATTAAATGGCAACATTTCTGGCCTCACCTAACCTACAAGGTTGTTTTGCGGGAGTCAAAATCGCTTTGGAAAATCACTGGTAAAACATGCTCACTGTTTGCAAAACAAGCACCTGGCACTGTGGTAGAAACCAAGATGAACAACACCTACCACTACCCTCAGCAGACATCCATTAGAGAAGTCGGACCTGGACAACTTTGCCAGGTAGCATTAGGTAAAGTACGAAATGAAAAGAATGTCATTAAGATAATGAATATGAAAGCTCTTTTTAAACCAAAACTCTTTCAAATTAAGGAACCATGATAAGTGATCATGATACTGTTATTTGTGCCAGCTGGCTGGAACATGGATATAATCTATAACATCTTTCTGTACTCTAAAATATCAAAAGACAGTCTCTTGAAAAGTTAGAAAATATAAGTCAGTTGCGTTTGGGAGTCAGGCCCAATAATGCACCTCACTAAGACCCCATGAAGGGAAGAATGCTGAGATGCCCTCATCTAGGTCAACCATACCAATTTCCCCTTTTGAAATATTGCCCTGCAAGAAACAAAGATCAACTTGACTGAAAACAGATCTGTAAATTTGCAAGGCCAAAATAATAATTTTATGAAAAGCCTTAGTCATCCTATTCAAACCACTAAAGTTTAAATAAAAATATCATATCAGTGCATCAGACATGTTTCTTACTCAGCAGTTAGCCCCTCACCCCCCTTTCACTTGGGCCAAAGGGACAATCTGTTCCCAACAGCCTGAGAAGTCTTTTTGTCATTTTGCAAATTTGCAAAAAAGACACCAAGTTCTTGGCTTTGTGAGAGAAGAGATTGTGGTGAAAATTTTCACACATTTTCCTCTCCTTGCATAAATTTTCAGTGTTGCACTATTCCAGGGTGGCAGGGAGTGAGGATTTGAGTAGAAATGCTCTGATTCTATATTGGCTCAGTAGTTCAAGCCAGATTACCTACTTTCATTTTACTTCAGTTTAGTAGATTCACAATGGGTCTACATAACAGTTTCAAGGACTGCGGCTGAAATAGTTCCTTGACTAAAAATCACATCTTCCCAATAGGATTGTTAACCTTCTTAGGGACAATCCTATAGCTTATGCTTATTTTAGTTCCTTTCCCTTTGCTTGCCAAGGTCTCTGTGTACGTATCGCTAGGGTTTAATGATGCCATTTGGCCGATAAACAGTGGTTGCCATTTGTATGATGTTCAAAGCACTAGGGAGTATCACCTAATTACTTACTCAGGCTGACTCCCTCTAAGATTAACCTGATAACTCCCCAGGGTAGGTAAGAAAACTGAGGACTGAGATGCCCAGAATCTTGTCCCATGACCAGTTGTCTAGTTTGAGCAGAGAATCTAATTCTTTGCCTGTTTCTCTCTTTTCTCTTTTTTTAACCTCTCCAGATCCTATACTTTATCAAAAACAAACATATCTTCAATTAGTTCACAGTTCCCTTGCTTTTTCTTTCAATTTCTTTGATTTTTTGAAAGACATTTTTTGTGCAAGTCACACAGCAACAAATCACATTCTGCCTTTGACACTTTTTCAGTTATTGACTTGTTATGTAATAACTTTTTAAATGTTCAATATTTGGCTTTCTCCTGAAGATAGAAATCACGTCTTTTTTGTTTATTCTATATAACTTTGCAAAGTACTTGACAAATAATAAATATTCAAAAGTATTTATTGTTTGATAATATAGTCTTCTTTATTAACCCATGTTGAAGGACCTTCGAGCTGGTAACAGAAGAGAAAACTGAGTCCTACTGGCTTTCCACAATTCCCTTAGCCATGTAAGAAATATAGACATGGACTGGAATCTCCATCTTCTTACTTTCAACCCAATGCTTCTTTTATTAATTCCAATTGCTTCTGCAGTGAGTTAACCTGGTAAGGTTAGATATTTGCGGTTCTCTGGACTAATTCTCTGTACCTTCTGCTTCGTTAGATAAATACAAGGGAGATTTTTGGATTTGTCCTCGGGAATCTAGTTCTGATAATACCCATCATTAGGCTAAAGAAAGCTGTCTGCATCCAAAGACAGCTCCCAGGGTCAGGACACTGATACCCTTGGTTGTCTGAATACTGAGAGATCACTGGTGGACTCAGCTAGGGGCTCGTCAGACTCACTAAGCTGACTAGCAAGGCCCTCATTGTCTTTTTCAGCAACTTTGGCCCACAGCACTCTGATAACCAAGACAGGCAAGGAGAGATGGACGAGTCAGAGCTGGGGAATCCACAGCCAGGGGCCATATGGAAACGTTTGGGGATTAGAATCTGTGCCACATGTTCTCAGCTCATTCTGAGTGAGACATGTATACCCCTGCAGTGAAGAGGAAATGGTCTACAGTGACTCACTTCGTAGGAAGCAAGCATGGCTTGAGTCAAACCAGCCTCATCTGCATTACTTTCCGGAAATGGGCAGCTGTAACAACTCATCACAAATTAACCAAGGAACATGTATCCAGTACCATTTGTCCTAATAAAGCTTATTTTGATGGACTGGAGAAAAGAGAAGCTACCTTAAGTAAAGAGTGAACAAAGTATCCTCCCATCATAATGGGTCACTATTATAAGCTAGGTAGTTTGCATACTTATTTTCTTTAAAACATCCCTATAAAGTGGGCATTATCTCCATGTTACACATAAGAAGTCCTAGGACCATCAAGATAAAGAATCTATATAGAAGGTTAAAAATAAGGAGTGACAAGAGTGGGATTTGAACCCAGGTCCATTTCTCTGGCTCAAAGTGTGTGAACTTTCCATTTTCTTGAAGATGTGCCAGTGTCCAATCAGAAATGCAAAATTGTAAGTAATATAAATACATATATAATAAGGGATTCATTACAGGGATTTGACCTGGCACAATTGTGGGGCTGGTGAAGGAGTTTCTATAAGGTTCTTGTCTTTTCATCCAATGCTGCACCCTGAAGCCCATCAGGGAGAGAAGATGGATTAAAGTAGGAGAAACAAGGGCAAGCTGGAACCCACAAGGATGGGCCGAAAATTGTGTCAGTTCTTGCTACCTCTGTCCTTGAGGGTGTGGGTGTCTTATAGGAGATGTTGGCACTTTCATCACAGGGCTAACCATACACCTCTGGTCCAGGAGAGAGAGAAGTTGAAAAAGAAACCAGAGGAAGCTGGAGCAGCTTCCAGTCCAACTATTGCCCCATGCTGACAAAGTGAGCAAACAGGTAAGTGACATCCTTTGTCATCTACAAAATGGTGTTGGTACCATTAAAATATTGCTCAAGAATCTCTGCTGTGGCCCACGCTGTCCAGAAACGTGCTAGAAAAGGAATTCTGGGAAATGTAGTTCAGCTGAGCCAAGCTGACACATTGTAAAGCCACCATGATGTATTTGTGATAACAGGGGTGTGGTTTGGTCCTAAATATCTTAACCAGACCACATTGGAATCCCATAAACTTGATGTCCTGGTAGCTCTTCCTGAATCCTGAATTAAGTCCTGAATACTTTTACTTTGTGTTGTAAATGGTTTCTTTTGTTTTTCAGCCCTGTTTCCAATGTCCCTGGCTCCTGTCTGCTGCCTAGAACATTGCACATAAACTGTTCTATTTCTCTTCTGGTGTTCATCTCATTTTTCCTGTTAAGTTCCCATTTGCTCTGGGAGATAGTGGTTTGGGACTATTATTATTACTGTTGTTATTGTTATTGTTAGAGGGGTTGGTTCCTGAGAGACGTTTATAACCAACTCTGTATGATGCTGTTTGCTTTCTCTTCCCATTCCATGAAATAGAGAAATCCAGCAAGGAGAGAATGCAGTGTCGCTCCAGGGGACCAGTTTATACAGAGGAGTACAAATCCCACTTGTACTTCACAGAGGAACAAGTTTAAGATACGGCTTTTGTAAACAGACCCTTGGATCTCAGTAAGGGGATTTGAAAAGTCAAACATGCTGGGGCCATGACTATAAAAGTAAAATTACAAGGCTCAGGACCCTTTCCAGAGACAGGCTTATTTCAAACATTGCTATCTTGTAGGTGTTATTCTTAGCAGAACACGGGTTCGTGTCAGCTTTCCTTTTAACATCCAGCTGGGATGGGAGTCATGCAATAGCTTCATTAGGCTGCTGAGGAGTTCATTACCACAAAGTCCTGATTTTTCCTCAAGTCTTAGCATGACCTCTGAACCCACCCCTTTCTCTCATACATTTCTTTGTGGATTTGTTTATGTAGTCAGTAAAAATGAATCAGGTGCTTTACTGTGCCAGGCATTGTGCTGGTCCAGAGAATGCAAAGATGGATAAGACAGAGCCATCATCTTCAAGGACTTACAAATAAGATAGACAGAAGGTAATCCAACACACTTACTGTGCTACAGAGGCTACAACAGAAGTCTGGATGAGGGAACCATGGGAACACACAACAGGGAAAGAATAATTCCCCAGAGATGAAGAAGGGTGTAGTTCAGCCTTCATCGAGGAGGTGGACTATAGGCAAACACCTAATGATTGGACAACCTTATTGAATCAGACAGATCTCATACTCTGAAGCCTTCTGATTAGGAGTTTGGGGTTCTGTCCTTGTGCTCTCAAATCTATGGCGATGCGATATACCTATGTTTTCACAACTGCCTTTTCTCATTACCCTCTACTACTCTTCTGCCTGAACTTAGTAACGTTATAGGAAGGGCAGCTCAGCAAAGTGCCTGTGTTCAAATCCTAACCCTACCATTTACTACCAAGTTACCCTGAAAATGTATTTTAACTTCTTTGTGCTTTGATTTCTTCAGATGAAAAAATCAACCGGGCGTAGTGGCTCATGCCTGTAATCCCAGCACTTTGGGAGGCCAAGGCGGGTGGATCACGTGAGGCAAGGAGTTTGAGACCAGCCTGGCCAATGTGGTAAAACCTGGTCTCTACTAAAAATATAAAAATTAGCCAGGCGTGGTGGCATGCATCTGTAATCCCAGCTACTCAGGAGGCTGAGGCACAAGAATCTCTTTAATCAGGGCAGCAGAGGTTGCAGTGAGCCGAGATCATGCCGCTGCACTCCAGCCTGGGAAGTAGAGTGAGACTCTGTCTCAAAAACAATAAAGAAAGAAAATAAAAGACGGTGCCTACCTTATAAGGTTGTTGAGAGGATGCATGAAAGGTAAATGCAAGCACTTAGAATATCAATGGCATCAAGCAAGCACTGTAGAAATGTTTATTATTCATAACACATTTTCCTCTTAAATTTCATGTAGAAACAAAAGCCATATTTTAGAATTAAACTTTCTACTATTCTCTTACTTCCAAAATTGGAAAATTTCTAAGAAGTATTCTGATTTGGGGCAAGTCACATGGTATCTTAGGGCTCAGTTTACCCACCTGTATAAATTATTAACTCAAAGAGTACCTGCTATGTGTCAGGTATTCTTTAAACTCTTCATAAACACCATCTCATTTTATTCTCACAACCTCCCTCAATGAAGTGAATTCTGTGTTTACCCATGTTTATTTTTTATTTAGTTATTTATTTTGCAAATGAAAAAAATGCGATATAGGTTTCTATCTCCAGAGACGATGAATTTAACCACTCCACTACCCTCTTTCTGGGAGAGCTAGACTCTGTCTTTTTTTTTTTTTTTAAATCCTACTTAAGGGGTTCTGTATGTAATGATTTATATCTAATTTACACCATAATGGCTTACATTATTCAATCATCAGAACATCATCCCCCTTACACACAAATGTTGGTATTTTTGTCCTGTTTTATAGATCTGTAAACTAAGACAGGTTAAGCTGGCTCTCTGTAACAAAGTTAATGACTGAGAGATACCATGTTTGCACCTCGGCTTGTCTCAGTGCAACACTAGCATCTTCATCCACTGACTTGTACTATTTATCTGCAGGTAGGGGACAGTGTAGGGGGAGTGATCATATGCACACACATCTCCAAACAATTCTGCCAATAATCTCAGGAGACTTACAAGTCCTCCAAAGGCCATTTGTAGTACCAGTTATGCTATCATGGAGTCCCCTATAATGTGCTTTAATTTCAACTGTTATATAACTTTAGCCAAAGAACTTTTGTTAAGCTTTACTCTACTGATTTTGCTAGGAAAGCAAAAGGCATATTGGTGATGATATCTTCAAAGTTAGCCCAGCTTTCTTTAAGAGATAAGCCCCAAAGCTCATCATTCCCAGTCCTTCCCTAATATTGCTGATCTCTAGTCAATCTGTTTAGGTTTACAGCCCTTGGACTAGATGAAATCTAAAGGTGTTTTAGACCATAAATTTTTGTTTCTCGAACTATAGGATTCCTCCATGTCTAGTGCATTAATCCTCCACCTTAGCTGTACCATGTTTACATCCAAAGAAGACCTCCTTCCTATATTTTTAACTTTAGATCAGGGGTGTCAGTCTACAGCCCACAGGCTAAATCTGATCTGCTGCTGTTACATTTTTGCTTTTTCTTTTTTAAATAAAGGATTATCATATTGAAAAACAGTCACTCTCATTTGTTTATGTATTGTCTATTGGTGTTTTCATGCTACAATGGCAGATTATTTGTGAAATAGACCGCATGGCCAAAAAACCTAAAATATTTACTAACTAGCCTTTTACAGAAAAAGTTTGCTAACCCACCCCTTACCTTAGATTATGAGTTTTGCATGGCTGTATTAGTCACGGTTCTCCAGAGGGACAGAACTACTAGGATAGAGGTATATATGAAGGGGAGTTTATTAAGGAGATTGACTCACACAATCACAAGGTAAAGTCCCACAATAGGCCATGTGCAAGCTGAGGAGCAAGGAAGCCAGTCCAAAACCCGAAACCTCAAAAGTAGGGAAGCCAATAGTGCAGCCTTCAGTCTGTGGCCAAAGGCCCGAGAGGCCCTGGCAAATCACTGGTGTAAGTCCAAGAGTTCTAAAGCTGAAGAACTTGGAGTTTGATGTTCAAGGGCAGGAATCATCCAGCATGGGAGAAAGAAAGAGCCCAGAAGACTCAGCAAGTCTAGTCATTCCATGTTCTTCTGACTGCTTTATTTTAGCCATGCTGGCAGCTGATTAAATGGTGCCCACTCAGATTAGGGGTGGTTCTGCCTCTCCCAATCCACTGACTCAAATGTTAATCTCCTTTGGCAACACCCCTCACAGACACAACTCAGGAACAATACTTTGCATCCTTCAATCCAATCAAGCTGATAATCAATATTAACCAAAACAATGGCCCAGAAATGAATGAAATTTGGGAGACATTGCTGTCAAATTGTTAAGATTCAAATATCTAGAATCAGACTTCTTTTAATTGAAACAACAAAACAACGCTTTGCTGGTACTACCAGCTATGAAATTACAGTAACATCTCAGAGTCAATTTTCTTATCTGTAAAGTGGGACTTAAAGATAGAGACCATGTGGGAATAATGATGATGACAGTGACGAGGTTGACGTGTGAGCTAAAGATGGACATGCATAGAGAACAATCATTATGGAGACATAGAAGGCCTCTCATCATATTAGCTATTAGTATGGTAATACTGAGTCATTGCTGACACAGGTCTTGAACTTGCTTCCTCTTCATTATTACCACTGTTACCCTTTTTCAGGCCTTTCATGTCCCTACCCCCTTTGTCTTTTGCCTTGGTCCAATCCATTCTGGAAAACACAGTGAGTTTAAATCTTAAAGCATAACCAGTTGCTTCACTCCAGGCTTAAGAAACTTTACTAGCTCCACACTGCCTAGAGAACAGAATGCAAATTTCTCAATGCATATTCCTCTAATACATGAAAAACTGCAGCCTGCTTTCCCTGACTACACCTCTACTCTACTCTCTTCCATACACAAGCTCCCAAACTCAAGCTATGCAAAGCATTCATGATTCCCCACTTCAATCCTGTTTGTATCCCTAGGTTAACCTACTTTCTCTGCCTGAAATGTCCTTCTCACTTCCCTTGGTCTGCCTTTTGAAATCTTCCCTGATCTAGATAGTCCCAGTATTGATTACACGTGGAGGATGGAGGAAACTGATGCTTGAAATGCCATAAAAACTAAGTGTATCTACAGTTGGCGTTTAACAAATGCTTTCTGGATAAAATTTAAGATGAAATAAGGTATTCTAACAATCAGGACCCGGAATCTCTGGGTTATTTTCTCCTAATTAAGGACCATCACCCACTCTATATTTTCCACAATATTTTCACAATAATTTCACTGTAGGCGATACCTTCCTGTCTTTCCAGAAATTCTTTCCTCTGCCTAGGACCCTTTTTCTATGGTTTGAATGTGTTCCCCATGTTTCATGTGTTGGAAACAATCTTCAAATTTATATGTTGGTGATATTTGGAGATGGAGTCTTTGGGAGCTAATTAGGATTAGATAAGGTCATTAAGGTGGCTCCCTGTGATGGGACTGGTGGCTTTATACAAAAAAAGAACTGAACAAGTATACACACTCTTGCCCTCTTGCCACGTGGTGCCCTCCACCATATCATGACACAGCAAGAAGTTTGTCCCCTGATGGGGCCCCTTGACCTTGGACTTCCCAGCCTCCAGAATTATAAGAAAAAAATTTTTTTTAAAATAAATTACCCAGTCTCTGGTATTCTGCTATTGTAACACAAACAGACTGACACATTTCCTTTGCTGAAGCCCTGCTCTGCAGTGTGGAAGACACTGTGTTTTGCCTCTGGATGCTAGGGGCAGGCAGCATGTTTTTTGCTGCAAAGACACAGAATAAATTATTTATTGCCTTTCTTCAGAAAAATTCATGAGATGGGCCTATGTGTTTAGCAGATGGGCATCTGGACAAATGAAGGAAGATAGTCACCTTTTGTTAGTAAATTAAAATAGGGAAAATGGAGCAAAAGGTGTAGAGAATCCTCCTTCCTTGTTTCCTAAGTCTAGAAATCCCCCACCCCAACCCCCCCATTTATTTTACTTATCTGAGAAAGATTTGTACTTTGGAGCTAGTGGATCTGCTTGGCAGGTAATGGGCTGCCCATCCACCAGCTGCTGCCTTGGCAAAAGGCACATCACTATTGCCATGGCAACCCACAGGCAGGCAAAGGGCGCACAGCCCTGGCTGGAGGCCAAGGTAATCCAGTGGCACTGGGCTTTGTTAATAGAAAGAGAAAAGCAGGCCAGAGCCGCTTCCTTCTGCCTTTGCCAGTAGAGGCTGGACAGGAGCAGAGTGCAGAGCTAATTAACCGGCCAGACCAGCTGTTGGCTGCCGCTTGCCAAATCCGACAAGTGGCCCAGGGTTCCTCTATTCCTAACCCTTGTCATCTTCCAGGGAGGCTGCGCCCGGGGGAAACAAGAGCCTTTTCTCGGTGATGTCATCTGAGTATTTGTAGAATTTCCTTTTTGTGGGAAAATTATCTGGCAAAGTATAAAGGGATTTGATTTCTCTCAGAAGACCCCTTGGCCTTGGCCTTTTGAATTTTAAAGAAAGATTTTTCTAGATGAGAAACAAATCTTTGAGTTACAGGAGGAGGTGGGTGGTGAGGGGGATGGGTTATCCATGTTTTAGGTCATGTATTAAGAGCCTAATCTAAGGCAGCTTTCACTCACGGAGGAACATTAACATTATAAAATCCCACACCAGATAAAACAAGGCAAGGCATTATCTTCAATTAGTAAAAATGGATATCTTGGAAAGGCTATGTTGCTGGGGAAAGAGAGCTAACATATTGAGTCCCCAGTATATGATAGATAGCTCATGTATACAAAATCCTTGCAAGGTGTGTTGCAGTATAACAATTGTGCAGATGAAGAAACTTAAGTCTGCAAGGCCAAGGAGCTTGCCAAGTTTGCATAGCTGAACTGAGCTACTATGAGGCCCAGATGAGATTGAAGCCTAGCTTGGTCTACATTGCACATGTGTTCCATTGGCCTACACTGAAGTGACCACAACTACACTCAGTATTATTGACATCCTGAAAATTTTCTGGTTTAGGAGGAATAAATAATCTGACAAAGGATTTTTAAATTTACCAATATATGCATAGTGAAATCTTTACAAAGATAAATAACAATTTAGCTTTGCACAACCTTTAAGACAATAATAATTCTAAATTGAGTCTTGTGTGTAAGGCATTTTATATACATTATCATTATGCTCCAGAACAGGACTTCTAACCTCATTTTATGCACGAAGTAACTAAGGCTTAGAGAACTTTATGGGAGCCAGTGGGTAAAAACTACATGATAATATGATTGATCAAACTAGAATATCTGGGACACACGGTGGCTGTATGTCTATATATTCTTGAAGTCTTAACAAGCAGGTACTTGGAATGAAGATGGGAGAGAAGGGCAGGGTTCCTGTGATTTAGCAATGGAATGAGGACAGGAGGGAGGAAGTATAGGGTATAAAACAGGCTGACTTTTTGCCCCAGAAGTCCAACGCACATTCAGAAAACTTGAAGGACTTATCTCTGAAGCTGCCTAACATTTTCCCAAATAGAAATATTAATTCCATTGAGAAAGAGGTCACGGAAGAATGGAGAAGGGGTCATAACAGAGAGAGAGATGTTCTAGTACTTTCCATGGCCTCTACTTGAAGCACTTACAGCTAGAACCATGGAGTGCTATAGCTAAGGAATGCAAGAGCAGGATTAGTATTTATCGGGGCACCTAATTAATGTCAACTGTTCTATCTTCCACGTCGTAGTTAATGCATATGGTGTCTCCATAAGATAGAAATTATAATACCCATGTCACATGTGATGAATTGAGATGCAGAAAATGATAAAGTGAGTTACTTTAAGGAGGAATTGGAGAAAGAAGACAAATCTTCTTGCCCTTAGTCATTGTTCTTTCTGGCTTTCCAGAATACCACATACAGATCCTGATACACAGGCACGTGTCACTTAACCATGGGCACAGGCATGTACCATTTAACCATGGGGATACATTCTGAGAAATGCATCATTAGGCCATTTTGCCATTGTGTGAACATCATGGAGTGTACTTACATAAACCTAGAAGGTATGGCCTACCACACACCTAGGCTATATGGTATAGTCTATTGCTCCCAGGCTACAAACCTCTACAGCATGTTATTATGCTGAATACTGTAGCCAATTATAACACAATGGTAAGTATTTGCATATCTAAACACAGAAAAGGTACAGTATTATAATCTTATGAGATCACCAGGACATATATATGTCCTATTATTGACCAAAATGCCATTATGTAGCATGTAACTTTAGTTCCAAGCTCAGAAATGAGGCACAGTGATACTAGGCATGAGTTAAACTGGGCACAGGACACGGGAAGCCTAGAATGAATAGGAGTCCAGGAAAACATGCTAAGCAGTCAAGTGGAAAAGTCAATTCCCTCTTTGGTTCAAAGGTCAAGAATGAGTTTAGGAATTGAAGCCATCACTGAGTCAGGGATAAAATAAATTTAGGGATGCAGCAAGAAACAAGAAACAAAATCATAACTGAGGTGTAAAGTAGATTTTAAAGACAATATTCGTATGGACTGGCATGGTGCATGAGAGCCTGCTGCCAGGGCAAAGGGCTTGGGCAGCAGACAGACTCAGGTTTGAATATCAGCTTTGCTATTTTCAAACTTAGGCAGCATTTGCCCAATGTCAGGCTATATATATATATATTTGTATATATATTCACACAGAATCCTCTAAGTAACCCTATGAAATAATCACGATGATCTACTTCTACAGTAGGAGTAAAAAAACTGAGGCAGGCAGAAATTAAAGAAATTGCTCACATTCCCTATATTGGTTACCTGATGTTGCATAAAGAATCATCCCAAAATTTAGAAGTTTAAAACAATAAATATTTATTATCTCACATTTTCTGTGAGGTAGGAATCAAAACATGGCTCACCTGGATCTTCTGCTTCAACGTTTCTCATAAGGTTGCGTCTTTGTCTATTTTGTGTTGCTGTAACAGAATATCTGAGGCTTGGTCATTAATAAAGAAAAGAGGTTTATTTAGCTTATGTTTCTATAGGCAGAAAGTTCAAGGACATAGCCCTGGCTTCTGGTGAGGGCTTTCATGCTGTCTCATAACATGGCAAAGAAGGTCAGTGAGGAAGCAGATATGTGCAAAGAGACAAAACCCAAAGAGTGTCTTGACTTTATAACAACTAACTCTCAAGAGAGTGTGAACTTGCTATCGTGAGAAGGGCAGCAAGCTATTCATGAAGCATCTGTCCCCATGACCCAAATACCTCCCCGCTAGACCACCTCCCAACACTGCCACATATGGGAACAAATTTCAACATGAGTTTTCATGAGCGCAAATTCAAACCTTAGAAAGGTGTAATTAAGGCGTCCTCTGAAACAGGTTACATTTGAAGGCTTTACTGGGAAAGAATCTGTTTTCAGGTTAACTCACATAGCTGCTGGAAGAATTCAATTCCTCATGGGCATTGGACTGAAGGCCCTCATTCTTCACTGGCTGTTGGTGTGAGGTACCCTCAGTTTTTTGCCACAAAGACTTCTCTCACATGACAACTTGTTTAATCAAAGCCAGCAGCAGAGAGAGTCCACTAGTAAGAAACCACAATCTTTTGTAACTTACTCAACAAAATGACAGCCCCACTATGTTGCCATATTCTGTTGGTTACAGGTAGGTTATTCAAGAGGAAAAGATTAGAAGAAGTCCATGAATAACAGGAAATGGGGATCAACTGGGGCCATCTTAGATGCTGTCTATTTTCCCCCACTAGCAAGCAGCAAAGCTATGACTTGAACACAGGTATTCTGTTTCCAGAGTCCATGCTCTTAACCATTAAACTCTACAGCTACTGTGCCATGGGACCATGTGACCTGGGACTAAATAATTTACTTTGAGTCTCTGTTGTGTTTTTCTGTAGAAGATTCATTGATAATATCTGCATTTCAAGATTGTTGCTGGGATCAAATATAATGCATTCAAAATACCTAATACATTCACAGCTCCTAATGTATTGAAATGCACTCAAATGAACTGAAGTGTTGGTTAATATGGATATTGCTGTTTAATCAGAGTATCCCAGCATACCTGGGAGGATGAAGAGGGACTAGAAAACTCCTATTTTACAACATAGGAGCTATACTGACCTGTGCTGAGTCATCTCTGGCACTTTGGATTTTCCTTTTGCTTAGAAACTCCACTTAATTCCCAGTGTTTTCACTCTTCCCAGAAAGTGGGGCTGAATCTCTCTTTATAATAGGATTTCCTCTGTGACTAAAATGGATCAAAGCCTGCATGCATGGCCTATCGATGGAACATGGTTAGGAAATCAAGACAGACTCGGAATATTTCAGAACACTCTTTTAAATTCACCCTGTCACCCTTCATTTTTCCTACCTTTATTCCTTCCCTCCTATTGCCTCACAAAGTTGGGGGAAAATAATGTACAACCCTGCCTACCTTCTGACCAACTTAAAAGCTGTTTCTCTACAGCATGCTGAGGTACATGTCCTGTTCTGCAAAAACGTACTGAATAAAGTTGCTTCATCTTGTGGAAGCTTCCACTGCTCACCATTCTGCTGTAGAGACTGTCTTACTGTTCCTCTAGAAGAAAACAATGTAATGCACTAGTTTGTGTTGAATATTTCTCTGTCACCCCATCTCTCCTCACACTTTTGTTAAAGAGTAAAAAGAAGACAATCTCCAGGTGGCAGGGAACAACGTCCTATGAAGACCTTGCAAATCTAGAACTAGTTGATCTTACCTTTACTGCTTTCACTCTTTATAGACCCCATAGAACTCCCTCCATGATGATTCCTGAGAAGCCCATATTCTCTGCATTGTTCCCTGTACCCACCCTTCACAAACACATGAGAATACAGGTGACCAAACCTGAGAAATACAATTTTTGGTCACTGCATTGGAATCAGAGTTAAAATGAAAACGTATGACTTTACAGATCCATAGAGTATGTTTTAGCTGAATTTCTATTTTATGGATAAGAGCAACAAGAGACCTGCGTTCTAGTCCTGGTTGTTAAGCCATCAGTAGTTCATTACACAGCTTTAAGTAAAACCTTTTCCCTTACCAGAAATTAATACCCTCATCTATCAAATGGAAAGCTTTAATCGGACCCTATAAGCATCCTGGAGTTGGATTCTGAGACCATTTCTTTCTTTGCATTTGTCCTTGAGTTTCTGTGTAAAATGTAACTTGAGGAAAACTCCTTGAATCTGTACTCTAATCTATCCTAAATATGGCAAAGCAAAGCCATTTCCTGTTAAGTTTCCTTGGAAGCATAAAAAACAGAGATTGTGACTTCTCAGCTAAGTACATTTTTTCCTCCAGACCTACTTGAGGGAGGATGCGATGGGAACACTGTGTCAGACAAAATCAAAACGTACCACACAAGTGGAGCCCTCAGCTAATCCAAACAAAATGACGGGGGTGGATGGTCAAAGTCTGAACAATTTTAATGCAGGCATGAAGATAGGCCACACAGTTAGATCAGAATTTAAATAACCTCACTTCACATGTTGCATTTTAGAGCTCCCTTCTTGAGCCCTCAAAAAACTTCCAAATGTTTCATTTTGGGAAGCAGATGCCCCTGGAAATGAAGACCATTCCTCCATTGTCTTCTCCTTTCTCCCTTCCCCAGGGTTAACTGCTTGCTGTCCAGGACTGAGAATCCTGGCAGATGATACTTTCTCTGTAAAGACAGAAAGAGGGGCTCAATGTTTTGGCATGGCTTTCTTAGGAAGAGTGACATGGGTTTGATAAGTAACATGCTCATGGGAGAGGCTGAGGCAGAGGGTCCCAAGTATAGACCAGGCCATGCAGATGTTTGTCAGCAACCACCCATGGCACCACCCAATCAGCCAGACACATTAAGCCCTTCCTTGACCCCAGACACCATCCTACACACCAGGGATAAAAATGGTGAGAAAAACTGTAGTTTCACCTGGCAAAGTGGTGCCAATTCACTTATTCAAAGTAAGAGGCGAGACCAGAAGTGGACAAGGAGTTACAAAATTAGAAGTGAGCAGCTTGTTGTGAGATGGAATGCCATATAGCAGAGCAAGCTGTTCAGAACCAAGACAGAGAATAATGTGCGGATGTTGGAGGCTCACTTCTTGCAGAATGGACTGAGTGATAAAAACAAGATTGCTTTATTTTAAAGGACTCTGTTGGATAGAATAACGGACAGCTGACAAAGACTTGCTTTGTCTTTTGTTCTGCCAAACAGTATTCTTGAATATTTTTCAATATTCTTGAATCTTAAAATTGTGTATTTTTAGATTGCTTCTTTTGATATCTTTATATTGATCCCCCTTCTTTCCTCTCTTTACTCTTTGGTACTCATCTTCATATATACAGTTCAAATCAATGCCAGAATATTTGTTTAGTACCTAAAATCTGCTCCAGGTGTCTTTGTGATGACATTTTCATGGGTAGTTTAACATCAGGTACCATTTTTATAAAGGGTTTTGGTAAAAAAAAAAAAAAAAAAAATACAACCAAAGGAAAGGAAATAAGACAAAAGATGACTTGAAAATGGTCATCACCTCAAAAACTTTGAAAAAGTGTCAAAGATGGTGCATGAGGAAAAGAAAATTTTAGAGATTTGGAGGCGATACTGAAGCACGGCAGCTTCTTTTGAATAAAAAATGGGATGGAAAATGAGTTAGGGGTTAGTCATATGAAGATGATGAGTGAGGAATCGGAAGGAGGAAACTATGGACTCAACCTGACATAAAAGGTACATACAAAAACAGATGCATGGGTGGAGGGGGTGGGGGTGGAGCCAAGATGGTCGAATAAGAACAGCTCCAGTCTGCAACTCCCAGCGTGAGCGACACAGAAGATGGGTGATTTCTGCATTTCCAACTGAGGTACAGGGTTCACCTCACAGGGGAGTGCCGGACAGTGGGTGCAGGACAGTGGATGCAGCGCACCGTGTGTGAGACAAAGCAGGGTGAGGCATCGCATCACCTGGGAAGCGCAAGGGGTCAGGGAATTCCCTTTCCTAGTCAAAGAAAGGGGTGACAGACGGCACCTGGAAAATCGGGTCACTCCCACCCTAATACTGTGCTTTTCCAACAGGCTTCACAAACGGCACACCAGGGGATTATATCCCACACATGGCTCAGAGGGTCCTATGCCCACAGAGCCTCGCTTATTGCTAGCACAGCAGTCTGAGATCAAACTGCAAGGCGGCAGCGAGGCTGGGGGAGGGGTGCCCGCCATTGCTCAGGCTTGAGTAGGTAAACAAAGCCAAAGGGAAACTCGAATGGGGTGGAGCCCAACGTAGCTCAAGGAGGCCTGTCTGCCTCTGTAGACTCCACCTCTGGGGGCAGGGCACAGACAAACAAAAGACAGCAATAACCTCTGTAGACTTAAATGTCCCTGTCTGACAGCTTTGAAGAGAGTAGTGGTTCTCCCAGCACGCAGCTTGAGATCTGAGAATGGGCAGACTGCCTCCTCAAGTGGGTCCCTGACCCCCGAGTAGCCTAACTGGGAGGCACCCCCAAGTAGGGGCAGACTGACACCTCACACGGCCAGGTACTCTTCTGAGACAAAATTTTCACAGGGACGATCAGGCAGCAGCATTTGTGGTTCACCAATATCTGCTGTGCTGCAGCCTCAGCTGCTGATACCCAGGCAAACAGGGTCTGGAGTGGACCTCCAGTAAACTCCAACAGACCTGCAGCTGAGGGTCCTGACTGTTAGAAGGAAAACTAACAGAAAGGACATACACACCAAAAACCCATCTGTACGTCACCATCATCAAAGACCAAAGGTAGATAAAACCACAAAGATAGGGAAAAAAGAGAGCAGAAAAACCGGAAATTCTAAAAATCAGAGCGCCTCTCCTCCTCCAAAGGAATGCAGCTCTTCAGCAACGGAACAAAGCTGGATGGAGAATGACTTTGACAAGTTGAGAGAGGAAGGCTTCAGAAGATCAAACTACTCCGAGCTAAAGGAGGAAGTTCAAACCAATGGCAAAGAAGTTAAAAATTTTGAAAAAAAATTAGACGAATGGATAACTAGAATAATCAAGGCAGAGAAGTCCTTAAAGGACCTGATGGAGCTGAAAACCACTGCATGAGAACTACGTGACAAATGCACAAGCCTCAGTAACTGATGCGATCAACTGGAAGAAAGGGTATCAGTGATGGAAGACAAAATGAATGAAATGAAGCGAGAAGAGAAGTTTAGAGAAAAAAGAATAAAAAGAAACGAACAAAGCCTCCAAGAAATATGGGACTATGTGAAAAGACCAAATCTATGTCTGATTGGTGTACCTGAAAGTGACGGGGAGAATGGAACCAAGTTGGAAAACACTCTGCAGGATATTATCCAGGAGAACTTCCCCAATCTAGCAAGGCAGGCCGACATTCAAATTCAGGAAATACAGAGAACACCACAAAGATACTCCTCGAGAAGAGCAACTCCAAGACACATAATTGTCAGAGTCACCAAAGTTGAAATGAAGGAAGAAATGTTAAGGGCAGCCAGAGAGAAAGGTCGGGTTACCCTCAAAAGGAAGCTCAACAGAATAATAGCAGATCTCTCGGCAGAAACGCTACAAGCCAGAAGAGAGTGGGGGCCAATATTCAACATTCTTAAAGAAAAGAATTTTCAACCCAGAATTTCATATCCAGCCTAACTAAACTTCATAAGTGAAGGAGAAATAAAATCCTTTATGGGCAAGCAAATGCTGAGAGATTTTGTCACCACCAGGCCTGCCCTAAAAGAGCTCCTGAAGGAAGCGCTAAACATGGAAAGGAACAACCGATACCACCTGCTGCAAAATCATGCCAAATTGTAAAGACCATCAAGGCTAAGAAGAAACTGCATCAACTAATGAGCAAAATAACCAGCTAACATCATAATGACAAGATCAAATTCACACATAACAATACTAACCTTAAATATAAATGGGCTAAATGCTCCAATCAAAAGGCACAGACTGGCAAATTGGATAAAGACTCAAGACCCATCGGTGTGCTGTATTCAGGAAACCCATCTCATGTGCAGAGACACACCTAGGCTCAAAATAAAGGGATGGAGGAAGATCTACCAAGCAAATGGAAAACAAAAAAAAGGCAGGGGTTGCAATCCTAGTCTCGGATAAAATAGACTTTAAACCAACAAAGATCAAAAGAGACAAAGAAGGCCATTACATAATGGTAAAGGGATCAATTCAACAAGAAGAACTAACTATCCTAAATATATATGCACCCAATACAGGAGCACCCAGATTCATAAAGCAATTCCTGAGTGACCTACAAAGAGACTTAGACTCCCACACAATAATAATGGGAGACTTTAACACCCCACTGTCAACATTACATAGATCAACGAGACAGAAAGTTAACAAGGATATCCAGGAACTGAACTCAGCTCTGCACCAAGTGGACCTAATAGACATCTACAGAACTCTCTACCCCAAATCAACAGAATATACATTCTTTTCAGCGCCACACCACACCTATTCCAAAATTGACCACATACTTGGAAGTAAAGCTCTCCTCAGCAAATGTAAAAGAACAGAGATTATAACAAACTATCTCTCAGACCACAGTGCAATCAAACTAGAATTCAGGATTAAGAAACTCACTCAAAACCGCTCAACTACATGGAAACTGAACAATCTGCTCCTGAATGACTACTGGGTACATAATGAAATGAAGGCAGAAATAAAGTTGTTCTTTGAAACCAACGAGAACAAAGACACAACATACCAGAATCTCTGGGACGCATTCAAAGCAGTGTGTAGAGGGAAATTTATAGCACTAAATGCCACAAGAGAAAGCAGGACAGATCTAAAATTGACACCCTAACATCACAATTAAAAGAACTAGAGAAGCAAGAACAAACACATTCAAAAGCTAGCAGAAGGCAAGAAATAACTAAAATCAGAGCGGAACTAAAGGAAATAGAGACACAAAAAACCCTTCAAAAAAATCAATGAATCCAGGAGCTGTTTTTTTGAAAAGATCAACAAAATTGATAGACCGCTAGCAAGACTAATAAAGAAGAAAAGAGAAAAGAATCAAATAGACGTGATAAAAAATGACAAAGGGGATATCACTACTGATCCCACAGAAATACAAACTACCATCAGAGAATACTATAAACACCTCTATGCAAATAAACTAGAAAGTCTAGAAGAAATGGATAAATTCCTCAACACATACACCTTTCCAAGACTAAACCACGTAGAAGTTGAATCTCTGAATAGACCAATAACAGGCTCTGAAATTGAGGCAATAATTAATAGCTTACCAACAAAAAAAAGTCCAGGACCAGATGGATTCACAGCCGAATTCTACCAGAGGTACAAGGAGGAGCAGGTACCATTCATTCTGAAACTATTCCAATCAATAGAAAAAGAGGGAATCCTCCCTAACTCATTTTATGAGGCCAGCATCATCCTGATACCAAAGCCGGGCAGAGACACAACCAAAAAAGAGAATTTTAGACCAATATCTTTGATGAATATTGACGCAAAAATCCTCAATAAAATACTGGCAAACCGAATCCAGGAACACATCAAAAAGCTTATCCACCATGATCAAGTGGGCTTCATCCCTGGGATGCAAAGCTGGTTCAACATACAAAAATCAATAAATGTAATCCAGCATATAAACAGAACCAAAGACAAAAACCGCATGATTATCTCAATAGATGCAGAAAAGGCCTTTGACAAAATTCAACAACCCTTCATGCTAAAAACTCTCAATAAATTAGGTATTGATGGGACGTATCTCAAAATAGTAAGAGCTATCTATGACAAACCCACAGCCAATATCATACTGAATGGGCAAAAACTGGAAGCATTCCCTTTGAAAACTGGCACAAGACAGGGATGCCCTCTCTCACCACTCCTATTCAACATAGTGTTGGAAGTTCTGGCCAGGGCAATTAGGCAGGAGAAGGAAATAAAGGGTATTCAATTAGGAAAAGAGGAAGTCAAATTGTCCCTGTTTGCAGATGACATGACTCTGTATCTAGAAAACCCCATTGTCTCAGCCCAAAATCTCCTTAAGCTGATAAGCAACTTCAGCAACATCTCAGGATACAAAATTAATGTACAAAAATCACAAGCATTCTTATACACCAACAACAGACAAACAGAGAGACAAATCATGAGTGAATTCCCATTCACAATTGCTTCAAAGGGAATAAAATACCTAGGAATCCAACTTACAAGGTATGTGAAGGACCTCTTCAAGAAGAACTACAAACCACTGCTCAATGAAATAAAAGAGGATACAAACAAATGGAGTAACATTCCATGCTCATGGGTAGGAAGAATCAATATTGTGAAAATGGCCATACTGCCCAAGGTAATTTACAGATTCAATGCCATCCCCATCAAGCTACCAATGACTTTCTTCACAGAATTGGAAAAAACTACTTTAAAGTTCATATGGAACCAAAAAAGAGCCCGCATCACCAAGTCAATCCTAAGCCAAAAGAACAAAGCTGGAGGCATCACACTACCTGACTTCAAACTATACTACAAGGCTACAGTAACCAAAACAGCATGGTACTGGTACCAAAACAGAGATATAGATCAATGGAACAGAACAGAGACCTCAGAAATAATGCCACGTATCTACAACTATCTGATCTTTGACAAACCTGAGAAAAACAAGCCATGGGGAAAGGATTCCCTATTTAATAAATGGTGCTGGGAAAACTGGCTAGCCATATGTAGAAAGCTGAAACTGGATCCCTTTCTTACACGTTATACAAAAATTAATTCAAGATGGATTAAACACTTACATGTTAGACCTAAAACCATAAAAACCCTAGAAGAAAACCTAGGCATTACCATTCAGGGCATAGGCATGGGCAAGGACTTCATGTCTAAAACACCAAAAGCAATGGAAACAAAAGCCAAAATTGACAAATGGGATCTAATTAAACTAAAGAGCTTCTGCACAGCAAAAGAAACTACCATCAGAGTGAACAGGCAACCTACAAAATGGGAGAAAATTTTTGCAAGCTACTCATCTGACAAAGGGCTAATATCCAGAATCTACAATGAACTGAGACAAATTTACAAGAAAAAATCAAACAACCCCATCAAAAAGTGGGTGAAGGATATGAACAGACACTTCTCAAAAGAAGACATTTATGCAGCTAAAAAACACATGAAAAAATGCTCATCATCACTGGCCATCAGAGAAATGCAAATCAAAACCACAATGAGATACCATCTCACACCAGTTAGAATGGCGATCATTAAAAAGTCAGGAAACGACAGGTGCTGTAGAGGATGTGGAGAAATAGGAACACTTTTACACTGTTGGTGGGACTGTAAACTAGTTCAACCATTGTGGAAGTCGGTGTGGCGATTCCTCAGGGATCTAGAACTAGAAATACCATTTGACCCAGCCATTCCATTACTGGGTATATACCCAAAGGATTATAAATCATGCTGCTATAGAGACACATGCACACGTATGTTTATTGCGGCACTATTCACAATAGCAAAGACTTGGAACCAACCCAAATGTCCAACAATGATAGACTGGTTTAAGAAAATATGGCACATATACACCATGGAATACTATGCAGCCATAAAAAATGATGAGTTCTTGTCCTTTGTAGGGACATGGATGAAGTTGAAAACCATCATTCTCAGCAAACTATCGCAAGGACAAAAAACCAAACACCGCATGTTCTCACTCATAGGTGGGATTTGAACAATGAGAACACATGGACACAGGAATGGGAACATCACACACGGGGGACTGTTGTGGGGTGGGAGGAGGGGGGAGGGACAGCATTAGGAGATATACCTAATGTAAATGACGAGTTAATGGGTGCAGCACACCAACATGGCACATGTATACATATGTAACAAACATGTACGTTGTGCACATGTACCCAAAAACTTAACGTATAATAATAAAAATAAAAATAAATAATAATAATAATAAATAAATAAAAATAAAAAAACAGATGCGCAATGCTGTCATAAGTTGACTTGGGAAGTAGGATGCTTCCACATAAACACAGCTTGAGAAATAATGTGACATGTGACCCCTGTGCTGCACATTGGATTGGCCACCCACATCTGCCTTTAGGGAAGTACCTGTAGCCCCAGCAATAAGCCCTTTTATGAACTGCCTCAGTTCATGATTATATTCACCTCACTCAAGGTCGTACTCCTTCTTAGGATAGCCTAGATTTAATGACTGAACAATGTGGGACTATAAAGGCCTCACTCAACCTTAAAGAACTCTGGATGTCTATTCTAGTGCCTTCATATTTTATCTGGTCAGCTTAGGCTTTTGAGACTCTATTGCAGCTTGACTTTTTCCTCTGCCATTCTATATTTTTTTCTTTCTCATCAACAAGTATTGATTCCAAGGACATGACTTAAAATACTCTGTATGCCTACTCTAACTCTGACAACCTACTTCCCAGGAAATCCAATTTGCGGCATCATCAAATGCACTGGATTGAATGTTCATTTTCCCCAAAAACTCTCATTTTAAAATCCTAATCCCTAAGGTGATGGTAAGAGGAGGTGGGACCTTTGGCAGGTGATTAGGTTATAAGAGAATGAGATTACCAACCTTATGAAAGAGACCACGGAGTAATCTCTTACCTTCCACCATATGAGGTAACAGTGAGAAGAAGGTAGCCGTCTATGAGAAAGCCGGACATCATCAGACACCAAATGTGTCAGTGCTTTGAAGTTGGACTTCCCAGGTTCCAGACACAGGTTCCAGAAATGTGAGAAAAAAAAGCTCTGCTGTAAATAAGCCACCAAGTCTATGGTATTTTGTTATACAGCCTGAACAAACCAACACATCCACTATATCAAAAATAAAAGACATTTTCTTTGTCGGTTACTGCTATTATTTGAACATGATTGAGAAATCAAGGACTATTTTTTTCTGACATTCTTTAAAGGCTATGTCCCGTCCTCCTTCCCTTTATTCTCTCTTTTCTTCTCCCTTTCCCGTTGTCTCTCCTAACACTCCCCTTTTCCCACTTGGTTCAAGATTACTGAAACAAGATTGAACAGGAGCCACCTTTATCCCAGGACTACTAGAACAAAACATATTATAGCAAAAGCAACTTTCAGGACCTTGGGCAGCAGCACACATAAGACCCCTCCCCCAGCCACAACATTTTATTCTCTCAATAGCTGTGCCAAGCAGGATCTAGAATATTCTTTGTCAGTGAAGTAGAAGCTGTTGAAGTAACTTCTGCAATAGGACAGGTAGATTAGAACTCTGAGTTGGTATCCAACTTTAACAGTTTTTTATTATTTTGTGCTTGTATTTTTCTTGCATCCTCTAGCCCTGACAATGTCACTACTTTTCCTTAGCAGCATATTTTAAGCTTGCTCAGGTATTATATTTATGTATTGATAAAATTGGTCATGTGAATGTCTCTGTTGAACAAGCTGTATTGAATCACTGCAAACCATTCATGATCCTCTATGTACTTTGCTCCCTGGCTTATCTAACAAGAAAATACAGCTAAAAGGTAAACAGATACCTTTATATATTCTATATAAAGCAGTTACATTTCTCACCCTGACTAATTTTAAAATGTAATATTTGCCATATTCAAAAATTACCTATGGAATATATTTGGAACTTTCTTTTCCTAGTGCACCTTTCAAACAAACATTGGCTTTTTAATTTAAAATTTCAATCTAGGAACTGTTTATAAAACTTCTCCCATAGTTTTTGCTTAAATTTAAGTGAAATGCACCCCAGAGAAAGAGAGAAAGCACCCTTAAAATTACTAGTGTATAAGCTCAATGAGGGCAGAGGTCTTATTCTTCTTGTTCACCACTGTATCCCTAGAACTTCCAGGAAATTGAATGTTTAGAAAAACAAAACAAAACAAAAAACCCTTAAGTCAAGTAGAAAAGAGGCTCTAATTGTAGGAAATAAAGCAAGAAAACTCCTTCCAAGAGAAGTTCCTTCCCACTCAGAGGGAGGAAATTGAATTTCTCTGCCAATGATGTTAACACAGAGTTTTCATAGAGTGCAAACTCAGAGTAAAGAACAAAATAACTCTGTCCTCCACAAGTAGCATTTGTGCTTCCCCTGACAAAGTGCTGCCTCAGACTTCAGAGAAGATATTACTTCTGCCCAGGGGATTGGAAACTGTCCTGGAGGGCAATGAAAGTTAACTTGAGGCACTGTTCTTATTGATTCTCTTTCCAAATGCATTAAGAAATGTTTGGAATGACTTGCCTTGAGTAAAGGCACAAAAAAAGAATGTCTTTTGGGAGTTTCCCCCTGCCCCTATGCCTTGGGTTATAAAGACAATAAATATAGTAAAGTCAAGTTAAATAGACTCTGCTTCAATACAAATAATAATAATAATCATAATAATCATGGCAAAACAATGGCAAGAGGAAAATAAGAATTATAATAACGGCTTTCCTATTTCTTTCTTTTGGAATGGGAATGTCTATCCTACGCCTGTCTCACCATTGTATTGTGGAAGTAGATAACCTTTCTGATTTCACAGGTTCAGAGGTGCAGGGAAATTTCCCTCAGGTTGAATCATACCTTGAGTCTCATACGTCTGATTCAGATGAGACTCCGGACTTTAGACTTTCGAGTTGGTGCTGAAATGAGTTAAGACTTTTGGGGCTATTGGAATGTGATGAATATATTTTGCATGTGAAAAGGACATACATTTTGAGGTTCAGGGGTGAAATGCTAAGGTCTGAATGTGCCTCCCAAAATTATATGTTGTTATTTAATCACCAATATGATAGTATTCAGAGATAGCACCTTTAGGGGATGGTTAAGTCATGAGGTCATGACTAATCCCTCAGGAATAGGATTAGTAACTTTATAAAGGAGGTTGAAGGAAGCACCCAGTTCCTTTTTATGACCTTCTGTCCCTTCCTCCATGTAAGGACATAGTGGTTGTTCCCTCCAGAGGGCACAGCAACAAGGTTTCCAAACATCTTTGGAAACAAAGACAAGGCCTTCACCAGACACCAAACCTGCTGTCACCTTCATCTTGGACTTCCAGCTTCCAGAACCATTAGAAATAAATGTCTGTTCTTTGTACATTACCCAGGCTCAGGTATTTTAATATAGCAGCAGGAACAGACAAAGATAGCATGAGTTACCAATACTGAAACTTTACATATACTCTAAGACAAAGTGAATAAGTAAACACATTATAAATAATTAAAGCCAGGTTTCTCACTGTCAGAAAGAATTGACAATGTAGAAAGGAGGAAGGCAAGAATAAACTCTGTGGTATGAAACTCAAATCTAAGGTATTAGTGTGACTTCATAGTTTTTAATACAGATAGATGATTGATAGATAGACAGATGATAGATAGAAACAGAAAGAGATATAAACATTTGAGCAAATGAGATGCATATATATTTTTTTTCTAACTATGATCTCTGAAAGAATCTATATGCAATGACATTCCAATAGCAATTAGCACACTTAGCACTCAGATCTTGGTTTCTAAATTTTCTGGGGGGAAACCAGTACTCTACCAGCATGTCACTGTCACGTGGTGGCAGAGTATAAATGTGCTTTAAAAATTATAGTGTTACATCAAAGGAATCCACAAATCAATGTGAAGAAATTCCTAAAAGCCTAATCAAGGCCAATCTATACTATAAATACAAAAGTTTATAACTGGTTTAAACCAGTTTAATGCTTTATAACTCTAATAGATGAAAATAAACATCTGAGAATTCATACTGACATAAATTTAATAATATGAATAAAGAAATAAATAGGGGAGAAGGAAAAACTCTTCCTTACAGTAGAATTCTAATTAATAAATGTAGAAGGGATAATATAAATAGAAAATCAACATTTGGGGACACCACAGTAATAATTGTTGCAAGGAAGAACCATTAACAGATAATAAAATTAATGGATAAAAGTATGATGAGAATCGGATTATTTTCACAATCTCAAAATATCTACCCACAAAGTAATTATTAAATACAAAGGGTAAATTGTAACTTTACAGGAGAGGAACCTGTCAGACACATTCTTACACAAATGTTCTCATAAAATTGTTAGTAATAGAACATCAGCATTTTGTACCTCCTGATAAGATACACCGAGAAGGTCACAATATTGCTTTGGTGATGACTTTTTTTTTAACCAAAAATGCACACCTGAATTTAATAATGGGGAATACTATATAAATCTAAATTGAAAGGATATTTTACAAAATAACAGGCCCATACTCTAAAAATATCAAGTCATGAGTAACAAAGAGAGAGCGAGGAAGTCACACATTGAAGGAGTCTGAGAAGACATGAAATCCAAGTACAATGCAAAATCTAGACTGGATCCTGGACTAGAAAAGGGACAATTGGTGAAATTTACATAAGGTCTGTAGGTTAGAAGAAACTACTGTATCTGTATTAACTTCCTGGTTTTGACCATTTTTTAAATATGTATACAGAAGATTAACATTGAAGGAATCTGAATGAAGAATAGATGGGAAATACACAAAATTTTTATAAGTCTAAAATTATTTTAAAATTGAAAGTTAGACTTTTTTTTTTCTTTGAGACAGGGTCTCACTCTGTCACCCAGACTGGAGTGCAGTGGTGTAATATCAGCTCACTGCAACCTCCGCCTCTGAGGTTCAAGCGATTCTCCTGCCTCAGCCTCCTGAGTAGCTGGGATTACAGGTGTGTGCCACCACACCCACCTAATTCTTGTATTTTTAGTAGAGATGGGGTTTCGCCATGTTGGCCAGGCTGGTCTCAAACTCCTGACCTCAAATGATTCACTAACCTAGGCCTCTGAAAGTGCTGGGATTACAGGCTTGAGCCACCTTGCCTGGCCGTATTTGTTAATTAAATGAATATTTTTAAAAGTTATTAATAACCCTCTCCCAGATATCTTGCTTTAGAATCCCTTCGAGATAAATAACTACTACTTGGTATAAAGTATAAAATTTGGTATAAAGTATACAATTAGGTAGCTTCTAATAGGTATATATATTTTTTTACATCTTTTTTTTGTTGTTGTGTCTAAAGTCTAAGAACACAGGCGTATGTTGGTTTTATTTATTGCTAAGTCCTCAATACCTAAAAGATTCATCACTGGAACCATCTTAATACACATTCATTAAGCAAGTTAGCAGTAGATGTAAGTTTATCTGTTAGTCTTGTCTTTTGCTAACTGTGATTTTTAAAAAATTTGCTTAACTTTGCAGAGTCTTGGTTTCCTCATCAGCAAAATGGGCATATCCTTGCCTACCTCTTGGAGGTATGGTGGGGATTAAATGAGGTGGCATGTAGAAAGCATGTAGCAGAGTCCCTGGTACACAGTAAGCACTGAATTAGTGCTGATTCTCCTTTAACTCTCCATCAAAACCATTCTAGCTATTTTAAAGGGCTCGTATCTCTTGTTAATTTATCCAGATTGAGGAGCACTCCTGAATTGGAGTCTGCCAAGTTATTTTTAAAATAGTAACTTACTTGCTTCAGGTAAAGTTCTCATGACATGAAATTTATTTTAATTTTCTTTCCCTGAAGTTAAAATGCTTCAGTAACCCTTAACATGTGAATATTTGGGAATCTAACATTTACCAACAAGGTATGGCATCTTTAAATCATGAAATATGCAGACACCTTTCATCGCTGATTTTGCAAGTACTGTTTACTTTACAGACTTCATTGGTCCCCACAAAGTGTATGAAGAACATGGTGCTCCTTCACATATACATGAAGTCAGAGTTCTATGATTCTGTAGGTTCTGGCTTACAAAATACTTTCCATCCAGGACCATTTGAAGAATTGGGAGATGGAACAGAGAACCATCATTTATCAGGAACTTCCTCTGGAATGAGCCTGCTAATTTACACTTAATCTTTCAATTAATCCTATGAAATTTAAATGATGCCCATTTTATAAAATTCAGGAAACTAAATGTTAAGCAGGTTAAGTGACCTAGCAGCATTCTAAAACACTAGAAGATAAAATTGAAGAATTCATAATTAAAACATAAAAATATAAAGTAAAAGCACTTGAATAGAAAAAAATTAGTTATTAATCATAGTCTGTATTCCTCACATCAATAAAGACAGGAAATTTGTTTTTTCCCACACCTTTGCACAGACCTGTATGTCTCTTCTTTATTAACAAAAACATTTATCATGGCCCTACTGTGCCTGTGTTTGGGGGAGCACTATGCTGCTTACAAATGTCATAATGATTCCCTCCATTTGATACACTGCAGCAGAGACCCACCTAGGGCAGCTTTTGACTCAGGGCTCTACAAGTAACATAAATATTTTTAAAAGATGGTGACGATGGTGAAAAAATTTACCCCCGTCTTTCATCCTACTTTTCATTTCTCTTATTAATGAACTTCTTCTACCCCGACTCACTTCCATACTAGCCAGTAGAGATGGTTTGAGCTGAAGACCCCAGGTGAAAGATCTGTAGCCTGTAGCCTGTGGGGAGGGTGGATAGGGAGTGGCTTTTCTGTGCTGGGGCTGTTCACTCCCCCGCCCTCTGTCCTCCCTTCACACTCAGTCTCACTGATCTGAGGCTGTTTTCCCTACTGCTTGCCTTGAACATACAGCTGTTATTTATAGCCTTCTTTTATAGTTCACAAGGCCCTTTCCACATCCTAGCACATTCCATATGCACAAGCAGCCTGTGAAGTAGTTATTATGAGCTGCATTGGGTAGATGAAAACATGGAGCCCCAGAAAGCTGATAATTTTGTCCAAGATCAATGGTTCACAAATGGACAGGCGGGACTTGAACTTGAGAGTATTGCTCTTTCTAACACACCATGGCCCTCTGATTATAGCTACCTTACAATCCACCTACGGCAGGCATCACAAACTCATCTAAATGACTGGTCTGGCCCCAGAAAGCAGGTGAGTTTTCAACACAGCCCTTTGTCTCTCTCTCTTCCTCTCCCTGACAAAAGTATAAGTTTCAAGCTACAGAAAATTTGAAGCTAAGAAAGATATTTTGAAGGAGCAATTATAGCCACTATACCTCCAGTTGGCCTCTTGGTTTTGAGAGTAGTTTCAAATTGATTGTCATGGGCTTTATTCAGGTCTTATTTTTCTGTTTCTTGCAAGAGAAAAGACGAGAAAACTCGTATGCAATAGACTGAATGGTAAGTCACGCAAGGAGATAGTTACAGGCTTTGGCTCTCCAGATCTATTCTATCCTCACCAGGGAGAGGATGAAAGGAAACTGCTAGAAGTAGGAAAGGGACCAAATTGAAGAGAAACTGCTCGGCATTCAGGACCATTAAAGATACCAAGGGAAATTCTGATATCCTTGCCCTGGTAACCTTTGGGGAAAAAGAGTTTAGCTGATGAGATAATTATTCATGCTTGAGCTATTTTCCCCAGTACTAAATAATTAGTTCTAATGAGTTTTCCAAGGGAATATTTTTTTCAGCACTGAAGAAAACGAGGGATGGGTTCACAGAGAAAATCCGAGCAGAAGTTGAATAGAGGGTTATTGAAAGAACTGAAACTCAAGGAGCTTCAACTTCACATTCAGTCTGCCACTCAGAGACAGGCTGGCCTTTGGATAGGACCCCTCTGCCACCCAGCTTCATCAGGTCAAAGTGCCTCAGAGACACTGAAAGTGAAGAAAGACATACTTTATCTAACACATCCTCATTTCACCTGGCAACTTGGCCACTAATTCACTGTTTGAACAATTAGCAGGAATAGCAACTGTGATGGAACCCATGGAAAAGATATTAGTTGAAGGAACAGATTGTAATGAATAATCCAGCCTTTGTCATCGCAGCCCTAGGGAGAACTGTGCACACTGGCTCTTGCTAATCCTGGAAATAATGATTTTTTATTCAATGATCTTACTTAAGAGAAAGCAAATTTTCCACAGAGCATTTTGAGTGGGGCTGATTGGGCTCAGCATTGCCTTTTGAAGCAAAATAGCTTATGAGGTCTCTGAGTCAGATGACTGGCAGATTTTGCATAGGGCTTCTGTGTATGAAACAGAAGAGCCACTGGAAAGCCCTTTATGTGAGCCACACTGCTCAGTGGGTGAACGGCCAGGATTGTGTGTATCCCAATATTACAGCTAGCACCAGTCACTGGGAGCTGGAGAAATGAGACCAGCAGCACTTATTAGACTGTCTGACGTCTTCAATTCAGCTCTTCATTTTTTATTTCAGTCCTTAATTAGTGAAAGTGTGTCCCTGGAGAAGGTATAAATCAGCCCCACAGATGAATGCAGCACAGAGGCATGGGAACACAAAGAAAGCAGACTGTGACCGTGTTAGCATCAGAGGGAACATGGACCAGACTTACTCCCCTTGTACTTCCTTATAAGGGTATGGCTGACCTTGGTAATGACTGTGAGGTTTAGTTTAGTTCAGTTCAGCAAACATGGATTGAGCTCCATTATCTGCTGGGATCTGAGCCGGGATCTGGCAGTAATAGTATAAGAATAGATAAAGATAATAATGAGTTAGCACTTTCAACTTGCTGGACAAGACCAAGAACATTGAATGTGCTTCCTCATTTGATCCTTACAACAACCCTGGAAGAGACATCCTATTAACATCTGGGGAGACTGAAGATTACAGCCACTAAGTGCTACCCATGTTTATATATCTCATAAAAAAGAGGGACCAGGATTCTATTCCAGATCTGATTTCTTAGCATTGTATGTAGTCCTTGTGGCAGATCACTCCTTGTTCACCAAAATCCATTTTTATATCTTCCTAAGCACATAACAAAACTACATTTCCCAGCATTTTTTTTTTTTTTGCAACTACATATAGTGATATGTGCTTTCTTATGGGTGGATTATAAGTAGAAATGGGCTGTTCCACTAACCTCGAGGCTTTAAGGAAGATATATGCCTCCTCCAGGAATTTTTTCTGAGTCTATATGTTGAATACCAATGCAAAAGAGTACTAGGGGATAGTAGATGACAATATGAAAGGAACCTGGGCCCTTGAATCACTTCGTGATGGAAAAACACATATCAACCAGGAATACTCACTTTGGACTGTTATATAAACAAGAAAAAAAATGTTACTCTAATCAATACACTGCCCAATGTAAATTTAAATAAATCATAGCTTCTATCTTTTAGTCAAAGCTAGTGATCAGATGTTTTTATCTTTTGTATATTTTGACAACCAACATCTATTTTTTGGTTTTGTTCTCTTGGTTTTGTCTTGTTTTTACCTCAGAAATGGGAAATGAGATGCTTTCTCCCATCAAAGCCTTCAGTACCTGGAAGGTAAATTCAACAAATTTTATAAAAGGAATATTTGAGGAAATAGCAATACTAATATTGGATAAGACAAAATAGAAATACGGTAGAAGAGCTATTATTTTCAAATGAACGGTTACCAAATGCAAGACACTTTAGCCTTAGTCTCTGTGTTCCTAAGGAGCAAAATTGGGACCAGTGGATAGAACATTTAAGAAGTCAGGCTATAGTTTATTTTGTGAAATATATATGTTCTATTTGGCAAAGTGCACAAAGGTAAAGAGGGTACCTTCAGAAGATAGTGAGTTCCTTATCATCAACTGTCTTGAAGACATAGTAAGATTGGACACCATTTAGTACAAATACTGTGGAGCAAATGTGGGCAGTGAATGTGGACTTTCAGGGCAGCCAGGGTGTCCTTCAATCATCAGACCTTGTGATTCTAAGAACATTTGATTTTGTGAGTCTTAAAGTCATAGTCCACAATTCCATATTTCCACATCTCTAGGTATCCTTCTGATATAACTTTCGATGTGAATGCATTCCTCTGAAGACAAAGGAGAATATAATGGATAGATTCTCTTGGCTCAAGGACTGCTTTGGTTCAAATCCCAGCTCCTTTCTCTCTAGATGTGTACCTTGAACTAGTTGTTTTGTTTTTCTGTACTTCAGATTCCTCATCTGTAAATGCAGATAATAATATCTATCAGATTAGGTTTTTGTGAAGATTAAACTAGCTTTATGTTGAGCACTTTGAACCACCCATGACACATCATAAGTGCAGAATAATGTGAGCTATAATTATCATTGGTTAAGTGCCATTTATGCTAGATGTTTTCTTGTCTCAACACTGGCCAGTCCATTGTTCTATTCTCCTACTCTGCACTAGAATAATAAACACAGATGCGTCCCTGTGCCCTGGAAACATTTCCTCATTCTAATAGGTAGGTATGTAACGTCAAAGTCAATGACCCTAAGGAATGACTGTTCAAATTTCAGGTAGTCATAGCAGGCTATGAGGAACCACTGTGAATTTGAAAGAAGCATCTGAGACATTAAGATAATTAGGGATTTTAGGACTGTACATGTGTCCCTATCTCTGGTCCTCAGACTCCGCATCTATGAAATAGACCCTCTGGACTCCAGCATTTCTCAGCTTCCCTCTGACTCTCCTTAAGCCGAGGTGCAGCCCTGTTCCTGATACAGCTGACACCATTACACGGACTTTGCCAAGTGTAAGGACTGAGGAAACGCTTGGCCATGGGGGCCCATTTTGTTAAATCAGATATGTGTCCTCTTTATTTGTATTGAAATGAAAACCTAGGGAATAGCATAATTGGTCAATAAGGAGAAGCTGTCAGAATGAGAGCAGAGCTAAAGAAGTTGCATGTCTCTGAAACATCTAGTTCACATCTTCAAGAGGTGTTTACACATTTCTTGAAAGAAGTTTCCCTACCCTAAGTAGCCCATCTTCCAAGGCTTTGAAGCAATACCTGCTTTTTTTTTTTTTTTTGCTTTATTCAGGATTTATTTAATAAACACCTGAACCTATGTTATCATAAAGTTTTATTTCCTAGCAGACATTACAGTTTTATATTACATTTTCTTTTCTTTCACATTCTAGATTGCTGTTTCCCCCCTCAAATTCTCACTTCCCTCTCTTTCTCTCAGTCTTTCTTTCTCTTTCTTTCTTTCTCACTGAGTCAGAAGTCACAAGTTAGTCCTCCAGAATCCAGAAATAGACTTCAAGGCACTGTAGCTAAAATAGTCTGGAGCCACAGGATGAGTACGACAGACACTAAGAGTTAAGTTTAGGCATTAATCCCAAAGGTTCAGAGGAAGAGAATAAAATAAAATTTAAAAAAAAAACTGACAATGAGAGGCGAGGAATATTAGGGACAGAAGTAAATAGAGGCCCTAGTAATTACTCTAACAGACACAGAGTTTCTGATATTCATTTTATTGGCCTCTAGATGCTTGAGTTTTGAGTGGGTCAGCACTGGTGATAATTCAAATGTTATGGATGATGTGCTATTTATTCATTCATTCAACACATATTCAGCCAGCACCTATTAGGTCCTAAGGATATGATGGTGAGCAGAGGTATTATATCCCTGTCTCAATAGAGCTGATATTCTGGGAAGGGGATGGCAACCAATGGGGGACAATGAAATAAAGTATTTATATGGAGATCAGGTCTCTGAAGGCAATAGAGGTTAAGATGACACAGACTGACTGGATTTAGGTTGGGGGTGTTCTAGATGGGTGGATCAGATGTGGAGACTTTTAAGCTGAGACCTCAAAGATGAGAGGAAACCAAAGCAGAGGTAAAAGCACTCTAGGGAGAGAAGGGCAAGTACGGGTCTTTGAGGCAGAAATAAATACACGTGTCACTCAAGAAGAGCCAGAAATGTGAGTGGATTGGAATGTGGTGAGGGATGAGGAGCTGGCACCAGTAAGAAACAGAGGGGATAGAGCAGTGCAATGTACACAAGGCTTGGCCAACTCTGGGAAAACTTGTACTGAAGCATTCTATCTCATTTCTTTCTCTTTATATTATTTAGTTTTGCTCAAAGTGAAACTTTTGTATTTGACTTTTATTTACCTTTTATTTTCTTTCTCTCTCTCACTGCCTTTCTTTATATCTCCTTTCTTGGCAGAGGTTTGCACTAATTTCTTTCCCCCTCTATTCTACAAAATGAATAACTGTAAGTTATTCATCAGTTACAATGAGGACAATATCTGGAAGGCATTCCTCCACTTCCCCAGTGTTTGTGGATCTGACCTGTAACAGAAGCCCTGTTGCCCCTGCCTCCGACAGGGAATTCCTCTTTTCCACTAAGCCTGAAGTCTTACCTCTCCTCTAAGTCTCAGCTGAGTGATTGACTTCCCTTTACTGGGTATTGAAGTTAGTCATTCGTGACCTTTCCCATTGGGGTTCTGATTTCGCAAACATGCATTGGGCTCTTTAATGCATATTATCTCATCTATTGCTCACAATAGCCCTTTAAGGTCGGTATTATTTCCAGTTTTACAGAAGAGTAAATGCCCAGATGATTGCTCAATATTACACAGGTAGTAAGCTGCAGAAATGGGTTATAAATGCAGGTGTTGTATAATATTAGGTTGGTGCAAAAGTAATTGCTGTTTTTGTCATTACTTTTAATGGCAAAAACCACAATTACTTTTGCACAAACCTAAATACCTTTGATGTTCTCTCTAGCTCACACTTAAATCTTATATTGCATTTTAATATCTAACTTATTTATTTATTTATTTATTTTTGCCAGTCTACCCAGTTTGGCAGTCAATCTTGAGAGTGGATGCTGTGCTGTCTCTACCACTTTTCTTTCTTAGCACTGAGCCTTCCCCATGAATCCCTCTCTCCCTTTTTCTTGTATGCTTGGCTTTCCTGCAGCATTTAGTAAGGTGATGAGCTCTCTGAGATCCTTGCAACTCACCAAGAAACATTAATTTCATCTTTCTCTGTGTTCCCTACATGCCTTCTACCTCCCCTATTACATCACTATAATCATTTATTCAGCTCTCTTTCTTTTCCAATTAGTCTTTAGCCCATGTTGTTCAAGGATAGACAGTAGCTAGCCATGACTCTCAAGTAATTGTAACATGGCTGGTATGACTACACAACTGGATTTTAATTTTATTAAAATTTCTTAAGTTTTTTTGTTAAATCGTAAGTCGCATATAAATTGCAACTGTGACTTGCCTACAGATATAAGAATTTAGAAAAAAATCAACAAAACATACTGTATGAATCAATCTACTATATAACATTTACAATGAAAAGTATTATATATTTTATTACTGTTTGTAAATTCCATCTACACATTCTTTATATCAGTACAATTTGTGTGTGTATGTGTTTCTTTTTCAGAGAGCTAGATGTGAATATTAACCAGTACACCACTAGATATAGACTATAATATCATGTGACTGAAAAATCAGAAGACCAAGGTTTTAGCTTTGCCAGTAACTAGTAGCATGAATAAGGAAAAGTTGCTTACTTTTTTTTGTCCACTTTGGCAAAACTACAAGTAGTAAAGCTCTTCCAACTGAAAATTTCTATTTATTGCATAAAGCTTATCTCAGTCCCAGTTTAAAGACAGGAGGTGAGAATATTAGGTTGAACAGATATAAAAGACTATCATCATGAATTTTGCTTACCTCCCTACATTCCATGTTAAGTTAAATTTAAAAACTGAAGCAGGGTATTTTCATTAGCCACAACTTTATTATTTTTCTAAGAAAATGTTTCATTTTAACTGTTGCAAATTTAGCATTTGAATTGAAATGTACTGTAAGTATAAAATACATAGGGATTTCATAGACTTAGTAAGAAAAATAATGCAAAATATCTTAATTTGTTGTATTGATGACATGTTCAAATGTTAATATTTTGGAGATATTGAGCTAAATAAAATATATTATGAAAATTGTTTTTAATTGTTTATATTATGTTTTTTAATGTGACTACTAGAAATTTCAAAAATTATATATATGGCTCTCCAGGTACTTATATTGAATGGTACTGCTATTGACACTCCAAAGACAGGGACAATGTTTCATTTGTTTTTGTATGTCAAAACTCTATGGTGCCAGGTGCATAAGTGCTCACAATAAGTGGTATGAATGAGTGAGTCAATTATTTGAATCACCTTTTAATATTTTGCATGCTGACTTGCACATAGAAGGCAGTCAATAAGCATTAGACTTTCAGTTGATCACTGATCTAGATTTAAAAATGTTATCCAAAGGAAAGCATTCTTTTTATCCCTTTCCTTTTGACACTATTTGGGACTTCCAGGTCTTTTGTCATTTTTTAGAAGGAATATAAATAAAAACTCAGAAAAATGAAAAGAAAAATAAGAGTCAAAATCATAAGTTGCTACAGTAGAAACTCAGAATTTTCTTTGCCCTTATTATTCAAGCAAAATATGAACTTTTGAGGAACTTACCATTTACCTTTATTACATGGTTCTAACATGCATTTTTTTTTCAAATTTTAATTTGTCTGATAATTAGGCTGCCTCTTACAAATAAGGAATACATTTAATATGGTAACAGTGATCATTTTACTTACTTTTATCCAGAAAAAAGCATTTATTAAATCAAAGTAGTTTCTTATGATCATTGGCATCATAGAATCATAGAAATAAGGATAAGATCAACAGAATTCAAGATCAGTATGTTTGCATAAGCGTAGAATAATATTTTTGAGGTAGCAGATTGTTCAAGTGAGTTGTTCTTTCAGGGATACTCTAGGATTTGTGTGTGATGAGCATTATATATGCATGTATATATGCATGTATATATGTAAGCTTAGTTTAGTGTGATCTAAAGTAGATCAATGAAAGGTAGGATGAAGACTTAAAAAGAGCTGGATAAGTTTAATTGGCACAGACTTGTTAGAAGGAGTGACTTGGTTGCTTTAGAAATCCTTTTGGTGTATTTCCAATGGACAAAGTTCAAACTGGAGCAAGCATCTTTAGAATCTGATTCTTTGGGCGTGGTGGCTCACGCCTGTAATTCCAGCACTTTGGGAGGCCGAGGCGGGTAGATCACGAGGTCAGGAGTTCAAGACCAGCCTGGCCAACATAGTGAAACCCTGTCTACTAAAAATACAAAAAAAAATTAGCTGGGTGTGGTGGCAGGTGCCTGTAAATCCAGCTACTAGGGAGGCTGAGGCAGGAGAATTGCTTGAACCCAGGAGGCGGAGGTTGCAGTGAGCAGAGATCGTGCCGTTGCACTCCAGCCAGGGTGACAGTGTGAGACTCCATCTCAAAAAAAGAAAAAAAAGAAAGAAAGAATCTGATTCTTACCTGCTTCTTGATCTCTTGCCACATTCTCTACCTCAGACTCTATGTTTGAACATACCCTGTTATTTATAGTCTTCAAATGCATGTAAAGATTTCAAACTATTTTGTCTGGTCATATTCTCCCTGTCCTGGAAGAGCCTTTCCTTTGGTCAGGCTGTTAGAAAATTCTTTCTGTTGCTTGGAGAAAAAGTTCAAGCTTTGCTTCTTTTATGAAGCCTTCTCTGAGATCTTGGATTAGACTCACCTGGAACATATGTCTATTATAGGTCATCTGTAAGTCACTTTTTTCACATCTATCTTACCAAAAAACTTTGAGTTTCTTGAGAACAGGAGCTTTGCCTTTTTCAAATTGCTATCTCTAGAGCAATTGTTCCCAAACTGGCTTCACAGTAGAATCACCCAAAGATCTTAAAACAACCAATCAACAGACAAACATAAAAAAATAAAAATAAAAAATAAAACACAACAACAAAAAACTATGCCTGAAACCCACCTGAGACCAGGTAAACCAGAATTTGTAGAGGTAGGGCCGAGAAATCAATACTTTCAAGTACCCAGAGTGATTTCAATTGCAGCTGGATTAAGAAGCATTGGTCTATATGTATATTCACTGAATTCATGCATATTCATTTATTTGAATTGGATTGAAGACTAACGGGAACTATAGTAAATTATAGTGGAAATTTAGAATAAAGCAAGCCATCTACACATTACAACAAAAAGATTTCTTATTTGCACTAAGATAACTAAAATTCCAGATTTCTGAAATGCAATATTCTAAATATCACCTACATTATAAGCACTGAAATAATAGAACTGAGAATATTTTCATCTGTGAAGTTAAGGCCTAAACATTTTGGTTTCTAAAACCCTTTTCAAGTCTAAACAAATAATATCAAATTCACAAAACTTATGAGATAGAAAGGCTCTTAATGATTTTCCAGGTCTCTTATCTTACAGATGACTTCATAACTTCTTGTACAGAATGCTTCATGGTTTTCAAGGCACTTTCATGACAATCATTTTCAGAAAAACCCACTAGGTGGATTGATCACCCTGTTTAGCAGATAAGGAAACTAAGGTTTGCAAGAATTATGTGATGGACCAAAGAGCATACAGATAATTATGTCCTGTCTTCCATGTTATTTGTATGTCCAAGAGGAAAAAGAGAAAGCCAAGGAAGCTCTTGACATCTTTTAATAACAGAAATATGAGGGTGTCAATTTTTCATTTTCAGTGTGGATACAGTTGGAGAAGTGATGAGATTCATTATCAACACCTTGCCATATTTGTAACTTTCTTCTCTTCTTCAAAGTGTTCTCTTCCTTGTCCCTACTCCTCTCCCACTCCATTTATATCACCAAGATCTAATCATGACTTTCTTATTTCATTTTTCCTAGCTCTTATCAAAATACACTTATCAATACTTATACATGTACTTTGCAGGTGACACATGTACTTATTCTCCTGTGATACAACTCAGAGGAGCCATATAACAACTTTTGTAGAAGGTGTTATTATTTTTAGCACAATTTTATAGACAAGGAATCCAAGGCCTAAGGAAGTGAACTGACTTAAACACAATCAAACACTAGCTTCTCATAGAGCTGAAGCTCTAACTCATGTCCTCTGATCAGAAGTTCGAAGTTCTATCTTTTCTCTATTGTTCTATACTGTCTCAAGGAAGAGCGATAACTGAGAAGATACATACTTGGCTTTGAGAAGATATTTTGGTCAAATACAAGTAGTGGAGCCAAATTGTAGGTCTCAGAAGATTTGTAGGATTACATGGGCCATTTAGACATGCATGTAAGTAGAATTATCATTTGGCCCTATGTGATAAATTATTTTCTCATTTTCAAATATTCACTCCCCTCTCCTTGTAGAATGAAGGTATTTCCCACTCCACTGATATTGAGCCTGGCTGTTTGACTTGTTCTAGCCATTAGAATGTTAATCAACTTTTTACACGCCAGGTTTTGGTTTTAAATGTGACTATGCAGCTTTTTTTATCTTTATGCCTTTTGCCATGAGTGTGGCATGTACCAGATGTGGGCTGTTCCTTCACGTAGGACTCCAAAGTGCTAAGACATGTGGAGCATGAGCAAGCAGAATTGGAGCAGTTACTGACACGTAATCTGATCCAAAAACAGAGAAGAAAAAGTTTGTTGCCAGGGATGTTGGCTCATGCCTATAATCCCACTTACTTAGGGTGGCAGAGATGGGAGAATAGCTTGAGACTAAGCATTCAAGGCCAGCCTGGGCAACATAGCAAGACTCCTATCTCAAAAAAACAAAACAAAACAAAACAAAAACAAAAGAAACAAACAAAATGGCAAGTTTGTGGCTATAAGCCATTAAAATTTCAGGATTGTTGTTAAGCAGAAAAACTGACTTACACAGCCTACTTCTCAAGCAGATCTTCAAACTATATGATAAATGTGAACATAAGCTATTTTTTTTTTTTATTTTTTTAAATTTATTTTTTTATTGATAATTCTTGGGTGTTTCTCACAGAGGGGGATTTGGCAGGGTCATGGGACAATAGTGGAGGGAAGGTCAGCAGATAAACAAGTGAACAAAGGTCTCTGGTTTTCCTAGGCAGAGGACCCTGCGGCCTTCCGCAGTGTTTGTGTCCCTGATTACTTGAGATTAGGGATTGGTGATGACTCTTAACGAGCATGCTGCCTTCAAGCATCTGTTTACCAAAGCACATCTTGCACCGCCCTTAATCCATTTAACCCTGAGTGGACACAGCACATGTTTCAGAGAGCACAGGGTTGGGGGTAAGGTCACAGATCAACAGGATCCCAAGGCAGAGGAATTTTTCTTAGTGCAGAACAAAATGAAAAGTCTCCCATGTCTACTTCTTTCTACACAGACACGGCAACCATCCGATTTCTCAATCTTTTCCCCACCTTTCCCGCCTTTCTATTCCACAAAGCCGCCATTGTCATCCTGGCCCGTTCTCAATGAGCTGTTGGGCACACCTCCCAGACGGGGTGGTGGCCGGGCAGAGGGGCTCCTCACTTCCCAGTAGGGGCAGCCGGGCAGAGGCGCCCCTCACCTCCCGGACGGGGCGGCTGGCCGGGCAGGGGGGCTGACCCCCCCCACCTCCCTCCCGGACGGGGCGGCTGGCCGGGCGGGGGGCTGACCCCCCAACCTCCCTCCCGGACGGGGCGGCTGGCCGGGCGGGGGGCTGACCCCCCCACCTCCCTCCCGGACGGGGCGGCTGGCCGGGCAGAGGGGCTCCTCACTTCCCAGTAGGGGCGGCCGGGCAGAGGCGCCCCTCACCTCCCGGACGGGGCGGCTGGCCGGGCAGGGGGGCCGACCCCCCCACCTCCCTCCCGGACGGGGCGGCTGGCCGGGCGGGGGGCTGACCCCCCCACCTCCCTCCTGGACGGGGCGGCTGGCCGGGCGGGGGGGCCGACCCCCCCCACCTCCCTCCCGGACGGGGCGGCTGGCCGGGCAGAGGGGCTCCTCACTTCCCAGTAGGGGCGGCCGGGCAGAGGCGCCCCTCACCTCCCGGACGGGGCGGCTGGCCGGGACAGGGCCGACCCCCCCACCTCCTACCGGACGGGGCGGCTGGCCGGGCGGGGCCGACCCCCCCACCTCCTCCGGACGGGGCGGCTGGCCGGGCAGAGGGGCTCCTCACTTCCCAGTAGGGGCGGCTGGGCAGAGGCGCCCCTCACCTCCCAGACGGGGCGGCTGGCCGGGCGGAGGGCTGACCCCCCCACCTCCCTCCCGGACGGGGCGGCTGGCCAGGCGGGGGGCTGACCCCCCTACCTCCCTCCCGGACGGGGCGGCTGGCCGGGTGGGGGGGCTGACCCCCCCATCTCCTCCGGACGGGGTGGCTGGCCGGGCTGAGGGGCTCCTCACTTCCAGTAGGGGCGGCCGGCAGAGGCGCCCCTCACTCCGGACGGGGTGGCTGGCCGGGCGGGGGGCTGACCCCCCCACCTCCCTCCCAGATGGCACGGCTGGCCAGGCGGGGGGCTGACCCCCCCACCTCCCTCCCGGATGGCACGGCTGGCCGGGCGGGGGGGCTGACCCCCCACCTCCCTCCCGGATGGGGCGGCTGGCCGGGCGGGGGGCTGACCCCCCCCAACCTCCCTCCCGGACGGGGTGGCTGCCGGGCGGAGACGCTCCTCACTTCCCAGATGGGGTGGCTGCCGGGCGGAGAGGCTCCTCACTTCTCAGACGGGGCAGCTGCCGGGCGGAGGGGCTCCTCACTTCTCAGACGGGGCGGCTGGACAGAGACGCTCCTCACCTCCCAGACGGGGTCTCGGCCGGGCAGAGGCGCTCCTCACATCCCAGATGGGGCGGCGGGGCAGAGGCGCTCCCCACATCTCAGACGATGGGCGGCCGGGCAGAGACACTCCTCACTTCCTAGAAGTGATGGCGGCTGGGAAGAGGCGCTCCTCACTTCCTAGATGGGATGGCGGCCGGGCGGAGACGCTCCTCACTTTCCAGACTGGGCAGCCAGGCAGAGGGGCTCCTCACATCCCAGACAATGGGCGGCCAGGCAGAGACACTCCTCACTTCCCAGACGGGGTGGCAGCCGGGCAGAGGCTGCAATCTCGGCACTTTGGGAGGCCAAGGCAGGCGGCTGCTCCTTGCCCTCGGGCCCCGCGGGGCCCGTCCGCTCCTCCAGCCGCTGCCTCCCGGGCGGCGCTCGCCGGCACGGCGGCAAAGACTCTGTTTTTGTTTTTGAGAGGGAGAGTTTCGCTCTTGTTGCCCAAGCTGGAGTGCAATGGTGCGATCTCGGCTCACTGCAACCTCTGCCTCCCGGGTTCAAGCCTACTATTTTCTTCTAAGAGTTGTTTAGTTTTAGCTGTTACCTTTAGGTCTTTGATCCATTTTGATTTCATTTTTGTATGTAAGTTAAGGGTCCAACTGCTTTTTTTTTTTTTTTTTTTTTTGAGATGGAGTCTCGCTCTGTCGCCCAGGCTGGAGTGCAGTGGTGCGATCTCAGCTCACTGCAAGCTCCACCTCCCGGGTTCACGCCATTCTCCTGAACATAAGCTATTTTTAAACATTGACTTGGTATATGAATATAGGAAAGTGACATCACTATTCTGTAATCCCATTTGAAATGTTAACCTTTTCAGTTATGGATGAGAATTAGGAATAAAAAGTAAAGAGTGGGATGCATCTTCTAGTTCTTAACAAATGTTAATTAAGGCTTCTTGGCTGCAAAGCAAGCATTATGAAATGTGAAGCTTTCTTAGGAATGATAAGCTTGAAAAAATCACCATTATAACCAGAGCAGTTTGAGGCTGAACTTAGTAGAAGATTAAAATTTCCTTTTAAATCATCCTAAATTTTAAAACTATATCATTAGCATGGTATTATCCATATGCTTTCCTCGACTGTTTAATTACAGAGGAGGCAGTTAAGCAGATCAAGAGACTCTATTAACAGACAAACCCAAAAGCAAATATGATGAAATGTAATTACAGGGAGTAAATGATCTGGAGTCTCCCAGAGCCTCCCAGAACTCTAAGAATATTCTAAACATGATTTATGCCACCACAAAGTGAACCCATACTTACCATCCATTTTCCCCACAATCTGCTTCCTGTACTAGATAGAGAAAGCACACACATTCAGATAAAATAACTGTCAATTTGCACAATGATATAGGACTTTTAAAGCCACTTCCTGCTTCCTACTCATAGGATTTTATATTATACTTGGTAGCTCTAGAAAGGTTTTATTTCTATAACCTATAAAATGATGGCCACACGCATGACTAAGATGCCAAGACCCCTAAAATAGTGAGGGAAATGCTAGAGAATTAATGTGATTCAGGTACTTGAAGGAAACGTCCAGTCATCCAACTCATGGCATTCAAAGGTCATATAATTTGAAGGGCTAGGACTGGGCTGGTGCTGATAGTTAGGGATCTCCAGCAGTGACATATTCAGGTAGATAGACTCACAATTCCATGAAAATCTGTCTGATTTGAAAAGTAGTCTCTATAAACACAGGGTAGGCTTCAATTTATTAGATGTGGTGGTATCTTGAATACAGGGCACAACACTGAAGAAACAATTCCTCAATTCCTACATGGCTTCTAGGTATAAGGCTCTTATGCAGCAAGGCTTGGTGTGAATTAGCTCATGCTCTGGATAGGAGTTGGTCTATAGGCAGATTATGGAGTACTCAGAGTTGGGTGGAGCTGGAGATGGACAGAAAGAACTAAAGAACAGTAAAATTAAAGCTAAGTCTTCTGTTTACAAAGGGGAAAAAATCTTTGTTCTAGACTCAATCCGGTCAAATATAAACATACTGGATTTTTATTTGCTCCTCTTTCTCATACTCCACTATATTCCTATAATTCAAACAGATTCAACAAACGTGTAATAAACTCTGATTTTCAAACACATTCACATGTTACTTAACCTTTACAACTGTCTCGTGAGGCTGCTTTTATAACACCTGTTCGTGGTTCACAAAAAAAAAAAAACTGAAGCACAGAAAGATTACCCTAAATCACAGTTAAGTAACGTCAGAATCAGAATCTGTATGCACATCACTGAAATCCAAGTTCATAACCATGATATAAATGGTGACTTACATCTGCATAGCAAGTTAGAATTCTTAAACCACCTTATCAATCCATAATCTCATTGATCCTACTAGTGATTTAGTCAGGAAGAAACCAAGATATATATTAACCGTATCTGTTATTTCATTGCCTTCTGCCTAGTAGTGTGCCATGCACATAGAAGGCACTCCATAAAAGTTTCTTGACTTTCGAGTCCGAAAGTTAGAGGTTATCTAATTGAAAATTATATTTTTAAAAACTTCCTTTTGGTATAAAATGAACTTCTATGATAGTATTAATTTCGGAGTTTCCTGGCTAAGAAAAAGAGTATTTGAAATAGGGTTAGAGTCCATAAAATACCATCTTATAGTCAAAATACATTATAATTTTTAAATTTTCTTTTCAATGCACCAGATAAATATATAAGCTTCAATATAGGCCATCAGAGGATTAAGAAGAAAACCTTGGGTTTCAGAAACATCAGCTCAGTTTTGAGTCATCTTCTGATAGACTTTCTTTTTTTTTTCTGAGACAGAGTTTTGCTCTTGTTGCCCAGGCTGGAGTGCGATGGTGCACCTTGGCTCACTGCAATCTCCACCTCGCAGGTTCAAGTGATTCTCCTGCCTCACCCTCCCGAGAAGCTGGGACTACAGGCACGCACCACCATGCCCTGTTAATTTTGTATTTATAGTAGAGATGAGGTTTCTCTATGTTGGCCAGGCTGGTCTCGAACTCCTGACCCCAGGTGATCCCCCTGCCTCAGCTTCCCAAAGTGCTGGGATTACAGGCGTGAGCCACCGCACCCGGCCCTGATAGACTTTCTAACGCACATCTACATAGAACACATTTCTCTTCTGACTTGTTCATCCAATTTGCTCTGTTCCTTTATTTTAGTAGCTAATGACCAGTTGTAAGTATGTAGGTATACTCGTTAGGTCTTCCAGATAACACAGACCTAACTTATTTGTCAAATGATAAAAAGAGGAATAAATGAATAGCTTAATGGTTGGATCAATGACTAATAAACTCGTGCATATCATTTGTGTTCATTGTGAACATATACATATTCCTATACATGTATATTATATGTACATATATTTGTGCATTACATATAAGCATACACTTAAAAGTAGAATACAAAAAAAGTGTGTTAATTGTACTAATATCAATGAGCTACCTTATGCTTCCATTATTATGATTGTTATGTTTCTAAAAAGTTTAGCTTAAATTGCTTTCACACATCAGTTTTAAATGAAAAGGGTGAGGTTACAATAAACATGATAGTAAAATCATAGGATATTAAAATTGGAAGAGACCATGAGGTTTCCCTAATTCATCTACTTACTTGAGAATGTTTTGTAATGTATACTGGGAAAATGGCTGTTTGTTCACTATTTAAATAATATGTTCATCCCCATCAAAGGCAGCCTGTTCACTATAGGGCATTAGAAACTTATTGCTCACATTGAACCAAATCAGTCTGTTTGTAGCCCTCACCTGGTGGGTGTAGTTATCTATTAAGAAGGAACACAACTTCTCTATATTTTATGCAAGGATTTTTCTTAGTTTTCTATTCAACAATAAACTTTTCTATTTCCTTTACTCCTCAAATATCATTTATTATATAAATAATTTGTTTAAAAATTATTTTTATGAATTAATAATTACTTTATAACATACTTTATATGTTTGTCTATGAAACAAACTAATTACAAGTTTGCAATTACTTCAAAATATCTTCTTCATGCTAATCAATGAAATCTTTAAATCTTTAAGAGGCTACATCCTATTCTTAAATTCTCCTTATTCTTTTTAATTGTAGATTTTATTCTTTTTAAACCGCACATTCTTAGGGAACCCTTTTTATACTTTTCTCAGGGCTCAGGGTAGCAAGCAGAAACCACCACATGTGTTTTTAAGAAGAAAGATATTTAAAACAGAAATAGCTGCTTGTACACTTCCTGGAAAGACCTGAGGAATAGTCTCAACAGTGGAATGACCTGCTAAGGTAAGCATTCTAAAGTGACACAGGAAGGGAAAGGATAGCCCACTGCTACTGAGTTCAAGAACAAACTGCCGTGGCTCTGATCAAGATCAGGAAGCTGCAATCAAGAAATCAATGCCAATGCCAGCACCTCTGCATGGACACCGGAACTCAGAGTCCTTCCTCCTCTGCCACCACAGCTGATTTTCAAGATCATGAAGCTGGAGAATGGACACCGATTCCTCCACAGCCTTGCTTCCCAGCAAGAAATATTCCAAAGGCTCTAGGAATATGCCCTCTACTACAATTTTGCCTTCAAAACTTGCATAAGTGCATTGAATAAGTGAGAATTAACTTCCATGCGAACCTGAGTTTGACGAGAATGTTGGAAAGGTAGATTCCAGCCTTCTATGTTCAGCAGCATAGGCTGATACCCTTAGAAGATGGTGAGAATGAATCCAAAGTGCCAACTGTTCATATCCTGAGAAATACCTAAGCTTTCAGTATTGCTAGAAAAATGCAACTAACTTTTATTGAATATCAGATATATTTGAAGTATTATGTTAGCCACTTTGTACACACAAGTTCATTCAATCTTCAAAATCCTGTTGCTTATCATCATCATCGTTTTGTAGAAAACAATACAGGCTCAAAGAGGTTAAGTAATTCGTTCAGGTCCACATTGCTACTAAATGTTGACCCCACGGTCTCATTTGTCCCTTCTTCCTTCAAGTTCAAAAATATTTGTCTTCCATCTTTTTCTTTTGAGGAAGAACTTACTTAGAGTGTTGTAAAGCATCCTGAGCCATCACTGGGCAGTTTGAACTGTTATAAAGTTCTTTATTATTACTGTACCTAAACCTCATTTTTCTACACTCCACTCCTTCGGAACAAATTCAATGATTCTAGTGTACCTTGTACAGAGTAACACTGTGTGTGGATGTGTGCTTTATCAGTTTTACTCTTTTTCTTTCCTTTTTTGGATGTTCTTCCAGACTACTTTGAGCTAGGATTACAATTAATGCTATAAATAAACAAGCCCCACTAATGTTTTCAGCCCAAGTCCATGTTTACAAGACAACTCTTTATTATGAAGTATGGTTGTTCTTAAGTTATCCAACCAAGGCAAGGCAAACGTATAAGGGAATTCGGGGAGACAATGAGTATAAAACAAACCATTGATTTCTTTTGTAAGTTATTCAGAGAAGATGTATTGTATCTATTAGAGGTTATAGCCCATTGCACTGTAAGCTTTTCCAAGAGAGAAAGAAACAACAACAATGATTTGTTCCCTGGAGAAAAGTATGCCCACCAGTGACTGGTAGAATGAGCCACATGATCACACTCCTTTTCTCCCTGCAATTACAGTACAACAAATGCTCTAAACTAATCAGCAGACAAATGACTGTTACAATCTGCTTCAGCAGCCTACATTTCAGAGCGAATATTTAAAGCCTTGGTCTTTTCTAGGCAAATTCTTTTGAACTTCTGTCCTAAGCACAGAGCTGTTAACAGTTTCCCTAGATAAATAAGATCCTGATGTGATGGTAATACCATCACTGTGATATATTTATTGTTCAATTTTCCTAGACCATTTCAGGCAACGAGTTTATAGAGCAGTCATATTATTGCTTATGTGCAATAGGCTAGCATACGTTTTTTACATGCTTGTCACCAACAAGAAGATGCTGTTTCATTCTTTTGTACTAGAAATTGTTATTCTCTTTAAATTGGGGAAAAGTAAACAATAGAGATGAAGAGCTCTTGAGTTGGTAAAGGAGAGTTTCCCAAATCACCCTGTTCTGTTCTTTAGGTTTACAATCCATTTAAATTCTCCATTACAAGTATATATCCTTACAAGTATATAGGTATATAATACAGCTCAGTGAAATTAAGTGACTAAAACCCATGCTGCCTGATACTGAGATAGCCAGTCTTGCATAGAGAAGCTAGAGTTAAATGGCGTCCATGCGTATCACCAAAGGAAAATGTGAATATTGAGAGCTAGATCTGCATGAGTTTAAATTTCAGTGAGAGCTTCCACTATCCCAGAATTCTTGATATTTTTATTGGGTTAGGAGAAAAATAAACTTTAAAGGTGTGTGTGTGTGTGTGTGTGTGTGTAAAGTGGAAGAACAGAATTCACAGAATAAAGCTTCAGCAGAATATGGAGGTGCTAACTGACAACTCTGAGAAAAGGAAGCTCAAGGGACACTAAAAACAATCCCATCTGCCTTTGTGAAAAAGTGAATCTGAATGAAGGAGCAGTCAGGTTTCAATGCTCCATGAGCCAGAAGAACCCCATCTCTGGTGCCTGGTCTCTGAGAACACTTAGCAGTGACTAGATTCCCCCTATACATGCTCTCTCCATTACTCCAGTAACTGGAGCCAGCTTTTATGGCATGAGAAGAGCGGCATCCAGGGTAAAGCTGTGCTGGGTCCCACACTAGCTGGGGACTTGCAAATACCATTTGACATCTGTTTTTGCTCTGTATAGCATGCTCCTGTGTGTATATTTCTAGTATACGCTAGGGTTTAGTATCTGCTGTTGGGATAGGGGAGACACTTCTGGTGAAAAAAAATAAGAATGAATTATTTAGGGAATTTCAGAGGTAAGCTACATAAGCAAATGTGTATACATATATATATAATAGAGGTAAGCTACATAAGCATATACACTATATATATATATATATATATATATATATATATATATATATATATATATATATATATAATAGTTCTCTGGCTTGCTGAAACAAAATAAAAGTTAAATAATTAGCTGTAGAGAAAAAAGAGCTCCAGAATTGGTCTAGGGATCTAGTTGGAAGGATCCAATGAACAGTTATTTCAGGACACCATGGATGAGATAAATCTATGATGGGATTTCAGCATTTGTACCACTCCATTTAAGGAGAAAGCATTTTATTGATGTAGCTTGGACACCCAGCCCACCCGTTTTCTGGAAGAGGTCAGGCCAACTTGATTGTCTTTCCATGGTACTATGGTGTAGGGCAAGCTTATCCAACCCATGGTCTGTGGGCTGCGTGCAGCCCAGGATGGCTTTGAATGTGGCCCAACACAAATTTGTAAGCTTTCTTAAAACATTATGAGATTTTTCTCTTTTTTTTTCATATTTTTTTCAGCTCATCTGCTACTGTTAGTGTTAGTGTATTTTTTGTGTGTCTCAAGACAATTGTTCTTCCAATGTGGCCCAGGGTATCCAAAATTGGAAACCCTTGGTATAGGGGGAATCCCTCAAGTGACACACAATGCACTGAATAAGAAAAGGGGTAAAGGATGCTAGGTAGAAACAGAGAAGACATCATGGTCATTAGAGGAGTGGAAGATATGGTACTTAGTACAGATGAGGCAAGAAAATAAAAGCAAAACATAAAAACAAAAGGAAAAGATGAAGTATAAAGAGAAAACCAAGAAGACAAAAAGAGAAATAAAAGAAAATAGCTGGAAAAGTAGAAAAGAATAAAGAGGAAAAAGCCATTGAAAAGAGAACCATTTACTCTAATCCTTGGTCAATGACTGACATCAATATTATTACTTTCTTTAACTGAAGAAATTGAGGTTTAGTGAATATGAGTGACTTGCTAATAAGCACACAGAGTAGAGTTGGCAGAATTGGTCAAAACCAAGAGTTTTTCTATTGTAGAATTTTCCCCTTGCAATCATCTTTTTGTCCAGAGACTATGAAAGAGATCTCCACCAAGCCCAAAAATGTTTTAATAATCAAAGAGAATTACCCATTTTTTACAGTTATTGTGTACTAACTGGAAGGCAGGCCACACTGGTCAAAAGCCAACTCAATTCAATTCTGTATTAAAGGACAAGCCATGTGCTGCTGAATTACAGGGACAGGGAAGTCAGATGTCAAATTGGGAGGGGCTAGAGGGAATCAATGCAGTAGATTTTTAAGACTGAGTTCTCCAGGTGGCAGCCAGCAGACAGAAATAGCCTGTTTCTAACTTAAGGAAATTTATAGCCCTAGGGGACTGCATATCAGAGGTTAACTCACATACATGTCACAGGTTAATGCTATAAAACGGTGGTTTGGAATCAAGAACACAACTGGACATGCTCAATGTGCATATGGCAAAATGCTACAAGATGCCATTAATATATTGAATGAAATAATCAGAAACCCAATGACTTCTACATCCAAAAAAAAAAAAAAAAAGAGCCAACTATTAAAAGGAAGCATGAAGTAGGGCTCTCAGTAATGTCCTAAAATGAGATCTTCCAGTTTTGGGTCTTAGAGAAATCCAAGATCCATATGCACTCATGGTGTAATATCGCTACCACAAAACTAATTTAAACTAGGCTTTCAACTAAAGAAAACAAATGTCCACAATTAAGGAAGAAAGAGTCTACCACCCTTGCAGGAGTCCTGTTAATTAGCTACAGTTACGTCCCTTAAATGATTTGAACAATAACACCCTTCTGGTGTCATAGCACTTTATCTCCTTAAAGTGTGATTTCCAGCCAAGTACCTAGAATTGAATGAGAGTTCTCTGTTAGGAAGAGCAACACAGAAGAAGAAGCTACCATGAGCATAAATTCAACCTGGAGGAAGTCTGATTTGCTGCATTTTTTCGGGGGCTACAGTTGGTCTTCAAGCACCTGGGATGATTGAATTGGTTCTGTGACGTCTCAGCTGCCCTCCTGCTAATGTTGAGGGATAATCTACACATATTTAGAAGAAGAGACCCAGAGAAATCATGTCATCCAACTCCATGTTTTCTGAGAAAATAGAAAATCGAGGAGAAGTTGCTTCCTGACCACTGTAGAAACAGAGGCTAGAATTTTGGCTAACTTGAAATTCAGTGCTCTATTACTTCACTCTTTCAGCAACATCCTCTGCCTTGAATGTACAGCCAACTACCTGGTTATCGCTTTTTCTGAATACAACCAAACATATACGTGTGACTGGCTTCACAGATTAACCAAGCAGAAGTCAACACACCAGATTTCTTGATTATATTACAGAAATTCTTCTCCTGTTTAGCATATAAAGGCACTCTCTCTATTTCATCAGACTATACTCAATGCAGATTTTCTACAAATGTCCCAGGCTCCAAATAAACCTGATTATATCCAGTGGAATATAGGTAGTTTATCTAATGAAAAGCAGGTAGGGAAACTAATGGAAATCAGGAAGCCATTTTAAAATAAATGAATTGGTTTTGTTTCCTTTGGGTTTCGATTTCAGCAGAGGAAATATTTGGAAAGCCACCTTGATCTCTGTAAGGCTGCTTCCTGCTGTAAAGTATTAATGTGTCCCCATCTCTTATTCCACTTGCTCTCTCCCCAACCCATTTATCTGCCTAGATCTCTTTCAATATTCAAAACTTCTCTTAACTGTTACTACTCCAAGAAAGCCTCCCTGGTCCTCTTTGAGTAGGGCAGAACTTCCTTTCAGACCCTCCCATTTTCCTTCAATGGACTTGCTTCAGTTTTTGATTTTTATGTAGTAGCTATATTTAGTAATTAATGTTCCTTTTTGTTTCCCCAAGATTACAGTCCATGGGAGGAAAAAGACTGCATATCTCTAGTACAGCACTATCTCCCCAGCACCTAGCACAGTTCCAGGAGTAGAAGCAGTTTCATATAGGGCCAGGCACAGTGGTTCACGCCTGTAATCTCAGCACTTTGGAAGGTTAAGGCGGGTGGATCAGTTGAGGCGAGGAGTTTGAGACCAGCCTAGCCAACATGGTGAAACCCCATCTCTACTAAAAAGACAAAAATTATCCAGGCATGGTGGCGCATGCCTGTAACACCAGCTACTCGGGAGGCTGAGGCAGGAGAATTGCTTGAACCCAGGATGCCAAGGTTGCAGTGAGAAGAGATTATGCCACTGCACTCCAGTCTGGGGGACAGAGCAGACTGAGTGAAAGAGTAATTAAATCAATTAATATGTATGCTTAGACACATTTTCTTTCAAGCAATAGAAAATTGTGTCTCACAGCAAATTTATTGCTTTTATTTTTTAAATTAAAAAGATTAAATCACTGCAGGTAAGTAAGTAGAAAGATCAATGATAGACCCAGTCACAAAATATTTATAAAGCCACATATTTTGAAGTAATGTTTATTCTATGTATTTATCTTTAAAGATAACATTTATGTATGAGGGATATTAATAAGAGTTATTTCAAGAAGATTTATTTATTCAGCCACTCCGTCATTCAACATTTCTTTGGTAACTTATAGTGTCAGGCTTAATATTGGGCTGCTAAAAATACTGAAATTAATAGACTTGCTTCCCATATTTGGGAGCTCACAGTTTGCTTTTGCCATGGAAGAGTAAATTAATCATAATAATAGCAGTTGATGAGGGTACTATAGGTCCTATACTATAGGTACTATAAGTCCTATAGATAAGGGAGGGCAGAGATGGAACATGGACGAGGGTCCCCCTCCATCATTCAGTCTAGAGGTAGAAATGAAGGTCAGCTATTTCCATGAACAGCTGATGCTTAAGAAGGGTCTTGAAACACAAAGGAGAGTTGTTATGGTTGAGGAGGGAGGGGTGTTCTAGGCATGATGAAAGGCAAGGAGGATGAGGAAAACTTGGAAAATCCTATGATCCATAAGCTTGTTGGTATGAATTAATTCCAAGGAGATGTGTGGTGTGAAGAGAGAAGAGAATAGAAAGGGAACTAAATCTGACAGAAATCTCTGTGCCAACATGATGATGATCTTTAATGTGTGTGTGGCCATTGGTCTGGTGCTTGCTCGATTCCATCGGTTTCTTTCAGCATGCAGTAACAGAATACAGCATAACTCTATGTAGACACTAATGTCTGGTGAGCAAAAGCATAAGAACTTAGTTCCATTTAATGAGCACCTAAAATGTGGACATTCAGTCATAATCCTCACAACCACTGCAAGGTGGCTGGTATTTATCCTATTTTACCAAAATAGGAACTAAGGTTCGGGTAAGTTACACAAGATTCTTGAGGTCACACAGTGGGTTAGGGACAGGGCAAGAAAGAAATCTCAGGTTCATGGTAAATCCAAAACTCATGCTCCCTTTTCTTCTACTCAGTGGTGATGAGTCAGCATCACACTAGGGATGGTTCTGATTACTCTAGGCTAAATCTGAATACATATTTGCTTTATTTAATCAGCCTACACAGAGGTTTCTTTTCAGCACAAAGAAGGGCCATTTGAAGCCATCCAAAAATAATTCCTTTTTTCTTTTGAGAATTAAGTTATTGGATCACCCTAATAAAAGCAAAGCAACAAAACAGAAAGATGTTCAGATTTTTCTCTTTTAAAACTAGGATCAAACAACATAAATAATCCATGGAAGATGCAGGATCCAACTAACCTAATGTCTTCCAAGTTGATCTTCTCTCTTTCTAAACTGGTTACTTTCTCACATTAATTATATTTGGCACTGCCTCCCTCAATGCATCCATTGGCAGTGCATCCACTGATGGCACTTAAAATGAAGAGCCTCATGAGGTCAGGGATGTGGGATAATGATTTGAACTATATTCAACTTTGGGAGTTCAAACTTTTTAAAATCTGCCAACCTCACAATTGGGATTAAAAGGCCAGAAGATCTATCATAAAAGAAAGTGAGCCTGCTAGAACTTTTATCAATTCACCAACAGGGCCTGAAGACTGGATGGAAGCAAAGGGGAGGTGTGATACAGGGAATAGTATTAACAGCTAGCACTTGAATATAGGTTGATCAGCTCTCCTAGTGGGATTTGTAAATAGTTAAAGAACAAGGTATGATCATTAATTTTACATGTCAACTTGGCTGGGCCATGGGGTGCCCAGATACACTGAGGGAGGCAGAATGTGGGCTCAGTCACCACCAGACTCACTTGTTGGTGATATCAAACTTTGGATTCTGACCCAGCCAGGATCCCTGTTGTATGAAATCTTAAAGTCATAGAGTTTGAGTGCTAAAGGGATCTTACAGGACTGATGTCTTCTGTTCCCTTAACCAATGACACATCACAGTCTTAATTAGAAGCTGAATTGCAACAGCCACAAATACTGAGTTACAAAGTCCTTACTGTGTGCCAGATGCTGTGTTCAGTACTCAGAAGATTTATCTTATGAGGTAAGTTCTATGAGGTATATGTAATTAAAATCCTATTTTTAATGATTTTAAGATGTCAAGAAAGGTTAAAATAATTGCCTAAAATCACTTATCCAAAAATGAAGAAAAATTTTGGTTTGCCCTCTTGCCAAATCCAAAGAAATCTCTGTATTCTATTGAATCTGGATATAAAGAATTTCCTGTAGTGTTTGACACACGGTAAGCTCTTTTAATAAAAGATTACCATCTCATATAAAGCTAATTGTATCTGTAAATTCCTGAAGAAAAGTGGCTTTTCTTTTTCTGCTTTTATTCTTATTATTGCCTCCTAAATACCAGGAGGTCAAGCGCAAATACTTGCCCAGTTGATGAGATTTTGTTGCGACTCACCTCCGAAATGGTCAAAAGTACATATTTCATGTTGCCTTTGTGTATTAAGTAGTCAATTCTGGAGTGGATAACAGCTATGATATGTTCTTACTAACTTTTTTCTTTTTTTTTTTTTTTTGAGACGGAGTTTCACTCTTGATGCCCAGGCTGGAGTGCAATGGCACGATCTCGGCTCACCTCAACTTCCGCCTCCTAGTTCAAGCGATTCTCCTGCCTCAGCCTCCCGAGTAGCTGGGATTACAGGCATGCACCACCACTCCAGGCTAATTTTGTATTTTTAGTAGAGACGGGGTTTCTCCATGTTGGTCAGGCTGGTCTCGAAATCCCGACCTCAGGTGATCCGCCCGCCTCGGCCTCCCAAACTGCTGGGATTACAGGCGTGAGCCACCTCGCCCAGCCGTTCTTACTAATTTAATCAGTAGGAAACAAGAGAAAAACCTTGCTCAGGTTTGCAAGATTTGATACCCACTAAGTTTTCCAGAACTCAGAGTTGAGGTGCAATAAAGGAGTAACTAAAACAAAACTTAAAGAGTAAAATAAATTACTGACTGAATATTTAGGGAGTCTGAGATAGTTAATTTAGCAAACTTCCCCAACTGTGATGTAAGTCTTGCTCACAAAGATTAAATAAATATGTTCTCACGTTATGTTTTGCATCAGTTTGCTGAACTTGCACAGAAGTTAATAACAAAAATAAAATCAAAAGTGACAACAAGGCAATCTAAGCAATGTTCCATGGGTTTCTTTGCCCTGTTGGGGAGCCTTCTTGCATAGGAGATATAAAGTCTTTTCCTAGCCATATGTACTACAAGTTTTGTCCTTGGCCTTTGTTATATATGCCAAATAGAATTAATGTGAGAAAGTGAACCAGTTTAGAAAGAGAGAAAGTCAGCTTGGAAGATATTAGGTTAGTTGGATCCTGCATCTTCCATGGATTATTTATGTTGTTTGATCCTAGTTTTAAAAGAGAAAAATCTGAACATCTTTCTGTTTTGTTGCTTTGCTTTTATTAGGGTGATCCAATAACTTAATTCTGAAGAGGAAAAAGGAACTATTTTTGGATGTTTTCAAATGGTACTTCTTTGTGCTGAAAAGAAACCTCTGTGTAGGCTGATTAAATAAAGCAAATATGTATTCAGATTTAGCCTAGAGTAATCAGAACCATCCCTAGTGTGATGCTGACTCATCACCACTGAGTAGAAGAAAAGGGAGCATGAGTTTTGGATTTATTATGAACCTGAGATTTCTTTCTTCCCTTGTCCCTAACCCACTGTGTGACCTTAAGAATCTTGTGTAACTTACCTGAATCTTAGTTCCTATTTTGGTAAAATAGAATAAATACCAGTCACCTTGCAATGGTTGTGAGGATTATGACTGAATGCCCACATTTTAGGTGCTCATTAAATGGAACTAAGTTCTTATGCTTTTGCTCACCAGACACTAGCGTCTACATAGAGTTATGCTATTGCTATACTATGCAGTATTCTGTTACTGCATGCTGGAAGAAACCAATGGAACTGAGCAAGCACCAGACCAATGGCCACATACACATTGAAGATCATCATCATACTGGCACAGAGATTTCTGTCAGATCTAGTTCCCTTTCTATTCTCTCTTCACACCACACATTTCCTTGGAATTAATTCATACCAATTACTTGATATGACCAAAAAGTGAGTCTGATGGTGACAGAGCCCACATTCTGCCTCCCTCAATGTATCCATGGGCAGTGCATCCACTGATGGGCACTTAAGATGAAGAGCCTCATGAGGCCAGGGATGTGGGATAATGACTTGAACTATATTCAGTTTTGGGAGTTCAAACTTTTTTAAATCTGCCAACCTCACAATTGGGACTAAAAGGCCAGAAGATCTATCATAAAAGAAACTGAGCCTGCTAGAACTTTATCAATTCACCAACAGGGCCTGAAGACTGGTTGGGAGCAAAGGGGAGGTGTGATATAGGGAATAGTATAACAGCTAGCACCTGAATATGGGTTGATCAGCTCTCCTAGTGGTGTTTGTAAGTAGTTAAAGAACAACATGGATGAAACTGGAAACCATCATTCTCAGCAAACTATCGCAAGGACAAAAAACCAAACACTGCATGTTCTCACTCATAGGTGGGAATTGAAAAATGAGAATACATGGACACAGGAAGGGGAACATCACACACCGGGGACTGTGGTGGGGTGGGGGGAGGGGGGAGGGAGAGCATTAGGAGATATACCTAATGCTAAATGACGAGTTAATGGGTGCAGCACACCAACATGGAACACATATACATATGTAACAAACCTGCACGTTGTGCACATGCACCCTAAAACTTAAAGTATAATAATAATAAAATTTTTAAAAAAAAAGAACAAGGTGTGATAGTTAATTTTATATGTCAACTTGGCTGGGCCGTGGGATGCCCAGATTAAACATTATTTCTGGGAGTGTCTGCAAGGGTGTTTTGAATGATATTAGCATTTAAGTTGGTGGATTCAGTAATGTAAATTGCCCTCTTCAATGCAGATGGGCATCATCCAATCCCTTGAGGAAGTGAATAGAACAAAAGAACTGCTTCAGCTCAGTCATCTCATCTCACATTCTGCTGACATCTGACTGGAATTTATATACCATCAGCTCTCCTGGCCCTCAACCTTCAGTCTCAGACTGAAATACACCCGTAGCTTTCCTAGATCTCTAGCTAGCAGACAGCAAATCATTGGATTTCTCACCATCCATAATCATATAAGCTAATTCCTCTCAATAAAATATGTGTGTGTATATATATATAATCTCCTATTGGTTCTGCTTCTCTGGAGAGCCCTGCCTGATACACAGGGTATGCCACTAGATACACTAATACTTGGGTAATGCACCCACCATGGGGATAACAGAGGGTGGGAACTTGTCCCTTCCCACTCTGCAGGGAGGCTGATTGGGAAATGAGAAGCAGAGAGGCCAAAGTGAGAAATAGAAATCTACCTCTGCTTAGGTGGAAATTTCTGCAGTTGATGCTGTCACCAGCTAAGTGAGCTCCTCAGGACAGAGGATGGCAGAGACACTACATCAGTATCTGAGAAGTAAAGGCAATGCTGAGCCCCAGAGCCCAGCAAATAGCAGGAGCACATGCTTCACATTCTGATACCAGAATAACCTACATCTGGTTAGAAGATAAATACCACCTTTTTACCTTTGTGGAAAACAAAATTAAATCATTTTAGCTAAATACTAACCATAGTAATCACAGCTATACAGCTATAGTTTATTGAGCATTAAACAATATTGAGTTTATTGTGCTATGTGGCAAATACCACGTCAGACACTCCATGTAAAGCATTTTTAAGTCGTTTGGGGTTTTTTGTTTTGTTTTGTTTTGTTTTGTTTTTTGTTATTTTTTGAGATGGAGTCTCGCTCTGTTGCCCAGGCTGGAGTGCAGTGGCGTGATCTCAGCTCATTGCAACCTCTACCTCCCAGGTTCAAGCAATTCTCCTGCCTCAACCTCCCGAGTAGCTGGCACTACAGGCATGCACAACCATGCCTGGCTAACTTTTGTATTTTTGATAGTGATGGGGTTTCACCATGTTGGCCAGGCTGGTCTCAAACTCCTGACCTCAGGTGATCCATCTGCCTCAGCCTCCCAAAGTGCTGGGATTACAGACGTGAGCCACTGTGCCCAGCTTATAAGGCACTTCTAATTCTCATAACAACTCAAGTGTTGCCAATCCAATTTGAAAGATGAGGAAACCACAACTTTGGGAGATCTAACTCTTTACCCATCACATGGCTAGAACTCAAATACAGATCCAACGTGTCTTGAATTCTCACCCTTTCCACTATGATACGGCAGCAAGAAGAAGGAAACACCCCATGCATAATAGACATTTCCTGGCCGCCATTGTCACCCTTGATCCAATTCTTTCACCTAGGAGTGTTACTACCACATGCCTACAAGCAAGGAATGCCATTTCAGCTCGTGAGACTATTTGATGTTGGGAAGTCTGTTTGCTTTGGCCTATAACACTGGAAATGAAAGACTGGTCTGGATAAACCAATGACTGATATTTCTTGTTTGTAAAAGATGTGACTTACAGGCCAGATTCGCCACTAAATCAACCAACCAGAGAGCAAGCCCTTCACGTTAATCATGACTAAATAGAAGACTTGTTTGTCTAATACAGATTTAGAGATATATGAATTAGAGGCAGGCTGGTTGCATTCAAGAGTAATTAATGAATGAGAAAATGGGGTATTTGTCTCAGTCTAGTATAGCACCCCTGCCACTTCCGAGATGGCATAATGATTGGAAATAACCTAGAAACATATCTCTTCTGACTCTCAGTTCAGCAAAATCAAGAAGGCTAGAAAGTGGTATAGCTGGAACTAGAATTCCAAACCCATTATGTATTTCACTATATCACTATATAGCAGTAATAGTAGCAATATAATAACAACAATAAAAGTAGTAATAATAATGAGAAAATGAGGAGGAGAAGCAGATAAGGGGGAGGAAAATGAAAAAAAGAAACTATGACTGTCATTTAATGAGCACTTTCTACATGCACCGGGCTAAACCCTTTATGTGTATGATCCCACTGAATCCTCACAGGAGAACTGAGAAGTAATCACATTAAGCCCTGTTCAGTGAATGACAAACTTGACTCTGGGAGTTTATGTGATTTGTCCAAAGACACACAGTGAGTGAGTGCAGGGCTGGATTTGAAACTTAAAACAAGGATATGCTGACCCCCAGAACCTCTCATGCTAACCTCTTCTGAGTATTGCTCAGAATGATCACAGCCCCTGACCTCAACCGTGGCTCAATCTAGTGGGGAAAAGGTTTTAACTCCATTACATTCTAAAGAGAGTGTGTCTCTGGAAAATTCTTCTAGTTTCTCGGGACCATTTCTTCATCAATAAATGGAAATAATGCATAATTTGGCTGTCACTTCTTGTTGTCGGTAATGTGAATTACATTACACAAATACAAAGCTACTTCATCATTACTGTAGTAGTATTAGTAGTATTATTCCTCTTATTCTTATTCCTACAGCTCTCTTGCTGAGCCAAGACTGGAGTTATGTAGCAACGTCACAATATCCCCCTCTACTTTTCTTCTTTTCAGGGAACTAGAATGCTACTGTCACTTATGTATATCACCTTTTCTGTACGTGCACAATGTGGCTCAACTACCAGATAAGTTTACGGTGGAAATGCTGGCCTGCTGTTTGCACCCTGAAGAAGTTCCTTGCTGATGATGAGCAGGTGAGCGCACCCCTGTTTCGTTGCTTTCTCACCCTTAATCACTTTATGCTGCATTTATTCTTTTGAAAAAGATATACCATGGACACTGGCCAATAATAAGGATTTAATGTATGTACCTATGTCCTCTGTTTTATCTTCCCCTCATGAATGGGCAGTAGCCATGAGAATGAGACACAAGGAGGTGGAAGTGACAAGACACAGGAAGATTGTGGTTTGTCCATGTCACTAACCAACTAAAGGAACTCTAATGACCTAGTGAGCAGGGGCTACATCAGTCTTGTACATCACTTTATATTTAGTGTCTGGCCTAGTACCTGGTGTAAGGGGTGTGGAGAGAGATCTTAATAAATAATTGATGAACTCATGAATCAAAATAAAAATAGTCAACACTTAGGGAGTGTATGTGTTCAGTGGGTAAGGCACTGCCCTAAGCATTTTACATGTGGTTTCTTATTTAATTCTTTCTGTGATTATTCTTCCATTTTACAGATCAAAAGTGGAAACTTAAAGAAGTCAAATAACTTAGTGAAGGTTAGCTAATGTCAGACAGAAATTTAAATCAAGACTGAGTGACTCTAGTGGGGGCTTTTAACGACTGTGCTCTACCACCTCTCTCATCCAACTCTCTATAACTTTATAGAGGAAAGGGAGAACTGAAGACATGTTGTGACTCACCAGAGAAATTTCATGGCTTCAAATAATGCCTATGTGTAGGAGTTTCCTGGAACTGCAGAAATCTATGCCATGAAAAGGGAGAAAGAAGAAAAGCACAGTTCCATAAGGGAAATACATAGGAAAAACTTTTCCTTGGAATCAATGGGTGCATTACTGAATTTTCTAAGTTATCAGAGGCTTTGGCAAATGGAAAGGAAAGTCTAAAAGGAGCCTTGGAGGAGGAGAAGTCAGATTCCAGAAGTTTCAGAGATGATTCATTACTTGTACAACCCAAAAGGGATGTCAGAAAGTGCCCACAGGGATTAAGTTGTGGGAACACTGATTCCAAGAGCGCTGGGCTGACTTGAAGACAGACGTTTTTACAGCAATTTAAGGCTAAGGATGAGTGAATACATTGAAAGTTTTAAGAGCAGGGTCATGTATGATGTATTCAGGAGGTGGGGGAAAGGCCAAGAACAGCCAAGTTTCACTTGGTTGTAATTCCACTCTACGGTCCAGGAAGAATTAATGTTTCCATATAATTTATAAATAAATGGTGGCTGGAGACAATATAGCTAGATGGAGTTAGTGAGATTATGTCCTACACAGGACAAACTTGAAACACGTATGAGACAACTTAAAAATCATGTGCAACTGTGGTGGTAGAGGTGGAGGTTTATCCCTGAACAGTTTTGTCAATATGTAAACATTTTTTAAGAGGAGAAGAACGATTGACTAAATTATCCAATTTCCCGTTGGTAACCTAGAGTCCCATTTCTTCAGGGCCCAGTTAAACATCTGAGGCCCTCTATGGAGTTTTTTTTTAATCCACTCAATATCCAATGTCATGTGGCTCTTCTGACTCCAGTCACTCTAAGAACCTGTGTCTCTAATTGAACATTTCACACTGATGGCATTAGATCATGCATCTAATGGACGTGACTCTCCCTTCCCACCAATCAGTTGTGATGCTTTAAGAATAGAAGCTGTATCTTGCATGTCTTTTTAATTATACAAGAAGGAAATAATGGCATTGCTAAATGAGCATGGAATCTAGATGCACACAGAGCAATTCTCAAATAATGTTCTGTCCTATTGTTGCATAATTTTGAGCAAGTGAAAAAGAGAATACTTGTAGATACCCTAATGTATGACTACGTGTCTATGCCCAATGTCACCTTCTAGAAATCTAGGGCCTCAAGCCACTATGTTTAGGCCAAGTACAATTTCTCTGACCCCAAGCATGACCAGGAATGAGTGTCATTTGCATGTGGGATATATGATTTCAAACTGAGAGGGCCATCATAGAAGCAGCATGTTAGGGAAAAGCTAAATCACAACTCAGGAAGATTAGAAAAGCTAATCTACTTTCGAAGAATGTAGATGGGTCAGAGGGAAGGAAATCTTGGCTCAATCAAGAGGAAAGTCAGGAGAGAGCCTGAAATAATGCTCTGAATCTATCAGTTTTGTATCAGCGATTTTTTGAGTGACAGCACAAATGAGTCCTCTACTCTGGGTGCATCATACTTGTGTTGTCATCTACTGGGGAGCTTCAGCTTCCTCATATGCAAAAGAGAATGAGAAAGAATATCTGCCTCACCAGATGGCTGTGGGCATTGTGTAAAGTAACATAAGTGGCAGCATCGAGCAGAACCTGAGTCTCTTTCTTTTGCTTACTATCTAATAAAGTGTTTATGCTCAAAACATGTTAATTGAATGCACGACTATGTGAATAAAAGAGCTAATTAATCCTTGCTAGGGTCTTGGACACTGTCTCCTCTTCTGCCTTAAAATTCCTTTTCCCAGATTGTAGATTTAGGAATTGATGTATTTCTTAATTGCCTGTCAGTAACACAAAAGGTTAATTTTGTGTCCCTGCCAGCTCTGGTGATTGAAACATAGAGAAAGTGGCAAGGAGTATCTTGAAAGAGCAGGGCTTGAAGGTTTGCCACATTCTGTTTAGTTATAATGAGTATTTCTTTGGCAGGGATTATCTGGAAGGCCATTGGTAAATGGAGAAATGATGTCAATAAAGTATAGAAGTTGTGCTGATCCCTGCACAGTTTTTTCAATATGTGGGTATTTTTGAAGCAATCAAGGACAACAAGTAAAAAGAAAGATCAGAAGTAAAAATTGAAAATCTATGGAAGGGACTTTCTTTAGTGCAAGTGGTAGCTAATTTATTGGCTTCCAGAGCTGCAGGCTTTCCACTATGTTAACCTAACAGGGAGGGACATTTGTGCAGACAAAGAACTACGACGACATCTCCTTCTGAATTGAAACAATGAATGAATGGAGAAAGCTACATCTTGGATCAGACTTTTAAGATTGATCATTGTGCGCTCTAATAGAAGCAAATGACCTTCAAAGACCTACATTGCTAAGAAAGAGGATTAAGCCCCATATTTAAGGGGACAAATATTGACTGTAATGTAGGAAGAAGCCAGTAGCAATCTAACTGTGTATTATGTTTCCAGTTAGAATAGTTATTGTTTTTATTAGGGTTCTAGCTAGAGTCTCTTATAAATTTTGAGTCATCTTCCTCTAATCTGATTTTTCTCATAAGGTTTGTGATTTTTCGTAAGCATTTTCGTAGAACATGAGTTTTTTGGGGAAATACATAGTGTCATGGAAGAAATGTTACGAATACTGTAAGAGAGACATCAGAGGATCCCAGGGCTGGTGTCCTCTGTGGGGTTCTACCTGGTTAGGATTCTATCTAAGGACTTTTCCAATTAATGACTAGGAATGGCAAGCTGAGGAACGAACCAAGGGGTGAGAGAATGTGAGATCAGACCATGGGAGCAGGAGGAATAATGGGACTAGAAGTCCATGCAGAACCTATGGTGAAGATGAGGTGAGCAGAGAATTTCAGGAGCCAAGGGAACTTGAAAAAGAGGCTCAGCCAATGTTGCTGTTATAAATATAATTTTGTCCTCCACACCCCAAATTTATTTGTTGAAGCTGTAGCCCTTAATGAGACTATATTTGGAGACAGGGCTTTTAAGGGGCTAATTAGTGCTAAATGAGATTATAAAAGTAGGGCCATGATCCCACAGGACTACTGGCATTGTAAAAAGACGAAGAGATACTAGAGACCCCTCCTCTCTGCAGCACACACAGAAGAAAGGCCATGGAGGACAAAAGGTGGTCATCTGCAAGTCAGCAAGAGGACCTTCACCAGAAACCCATCCTGGAGACGTCATGATATTAAAATTCCAGTCTCCAGAACACTGAGAAAATAATATTTCTATTGTGTAAGCCACATAGTCTGTGATATTCTTTTATGGCAGTCTAAGCAGATTAATACAGTAGCTCCCCCAGGTTAAGTGGCATGGATTAGGTATCAAATTTAATACACCCATGTAGGCTGTCCCTACAGGGGGACCTGGACACTGTGGCAATGTTACATGGAGGGAGGAGGGGGACAAGAATGAGTCTGATGTGACCTCTGCATCTCTGCATTCCAAGATCCCCTATCTTGTGGAATAGAGTGGGGGCATAACATAACACACCTATAGGTGAGAAAGAAGAATAAATAGGTCCCATGTGAAGAACACTCACATAGTGCTATGGGGTCTCAAAAAAAGAGGAGCACCCTTCCAATAGCAGTGTTAATAAAGGATCTATAGAGAAAATTGCATTTAAAGGCTCTATGCCTTTCTTTATAAGGCCATAGGCCTAGTAGTCAATTTTCCACATATTTACCTAAAATATATGATTCATGCATGTACTTTATTTCACTTTTTATTGAGGTATAATTTACATATCATAATGTGCTATGAATATATACCTCAATGGATTTTTACATGTGTATATCCTCACATAACTACCAGCCAGAATAGATATAGAACATTTGCAGCATGCTGAAAACCTCCTTCACAGATCCTCCCAAGGAACATGACCTCAATCGTCAGAGACCTCAATCATTTATCATAGATTAGTTTTTAACTTCATTTTGTTTCAGACTTTTACATAATAATTTTATGTCTGTGACTCTCGACTATGTTGGTGTCTACTGTAATAGCTTGTTCTTCATTCTTATGCAGTTTTCCGTGTGTGTGTGTGTGTGTGTGTGTGTGTGTGTGTGTGATCACATTAATTCATTCTACTTTTCATGGAAATAGGAGTTATTTCTACTTTGGGACTATTATCAATAAAGCCATATACAAAAATTATTTGGACAGAAATGAATGCATCTTTTGGTGAAAAACCCAGCATATTTATATGTGTAAAACCAAGGAGTATTCACACGTGGACACAAACATATACCACGAAGGAGCTGAATTGCTGAATCCTAAGATGTATGCCTGTTTAGCTTTAGCAAATCCTGTCATTACATCTTCAAACTGAATGTACAAATTTATAATCTCATTCTCAGTGCATAAACATTCCAGTTGCTCCATGTCCTTAACATTATCGTTATAATTCTAGCCATTCTGGAAGAGGTTTAAAAAGTGTTTCAAATATTGAATATTTAGCATAATTGTCACATTTCATATGTGTTATGATAGATACTGTTTCAAGCATTAAATGGATTCATATATTTTCCTGGTTTGCTTATGTGCAGGATATTTTCAGGCAAATTTGTCAAAGGGCACTTTGGTCCTAAATGACTAAAAATATTCCATAGTATTAAAAAGCCATCCAAAAAGAAAAAGATCCCGAGAAGACTAAAAAAATTTTTAAAAGAGACTTTAGCCTGTACTTGTGGAGTACTACATACATGATATATTTGAATTTTAGATAAATGTTGTATTATGTGGATTGAACATTTGCTAGTCCTATGATATCCAAATATACACCACCCAGGGACAAAAACAATGTTTGTTACTTAGTAAGTGTGAGTCATTCAGAAAATATGTGCTAATTGCCTTAAGAGTATTACTTTTAGGCAGAGTGGTGCACCTCTGCAAGATAAATGAGTTTCAAATGAAATTGGGAGAGAGGGGTTAAATTAAAGCACTCCAGCAAAAGGGCTTCATTTTCCATTTTGCCTCCCAAGTGTCTCAGTAGATAAATACCAGCTGATTACCAATGAGTAGAGTTGCTTCCTCAGTGGAATTTTGAGGATTGATTAATATGTCTCAGAAAGCCAAATCAAATATCACGGGAATGGCTTATGAAGAAAAAATTATCCTGAGCCAATTTTCCACCAGTACCAAAGTTGATGTTGTCTTTCCAAAAATGGGTTTTTCTGTAGGTTGGTGCAGTTAAGACACTCATACCAGTGTCCTAGTTGAGCCACACTTTCCTAAAATAAGCAAATGTTGCTGAAGCTTGACTACACACCAGGCACAAGACTAGAAGCAGGAGACAAATGAAAGAATCGTGGTTCAGATTTCCAACAGCTCTCATTCTAGGATAGATTGTAAACCAAGCACTGTGATGTACAACCAGCGTAAGTGTGTGCAGGGGAGGCTTGGAGAAGCTGGAAAACTATTTGCTGTTAGAATGATAATCACTGTGATTTGACTCCTGCCTCTGATGCTACTTACAAGCTGAATGTCCTATGAGTTATTTAGTCCCTTTAAAATTTATTTTTATTTGTTTCACAATGATGGTGATGATACTTAGAGATGTTGCATATAAAGCGCTTGGCACAGGAAAGCCATATGATCCACAGTTGTTCATATTTTCCCATCCGGATGGGACAATTCAAAGCTGGTCATGACTTGCATGGGATGCAGCTCCTTCCACTGTCAGGGCGAGCTTCACAGCCACTAAATCCTCTGACATTTTTATTTCACCCCTAAGCTTTCCTGACTTTGCAGGAAATTAGATGTGGGTTTTGAAGGATGCTGTAAACACTGGGCCTTTTTAGGTGGCTTTCAAAGAAGCAGGAAAATACAGGAAGTCAGAACAATATTAAAAAGACATAAAATTTAAGCCATTGTCAATTTCTGCTGTTGTATCAGACTGGGCTGGATTTCGTGATAGTTCACGACCCTCCCAGAAACAAAGACTATCTTGTAGAATAGCTATATCTAAGAATGCATTCTGGTAGGAAAACAGGGCCATATGAAAACAGGGCCTGGGGCCATAGGAAGTATCAGTTCAAAATCTGAAATCAGAATCAAAACCTACATCTTTCCTAATTTCAGATTCAGAGCAGATAATTGTCTTCTAACCTAGTATTATTTGGAGCTATGTGGGAGGCTGAGTAATGCCTCCCACTTCCACCCCAAGGATGTCCATGTCCTAACCTCTGAAATTTGTGACTACGTCAGGCTACATGGAAAAGAGAAATCAAATGCAGATGGAATTCATGTTGCCAGTCAGCTGACCTCAAAGTAGGATTAGCCTGGATTGTATGAGTATGTCTAATATCATTGCAAAGGTGCTTAAAAGTAGAAGAGGGAGGTAGGAAAAAAAATCAGAGGGGAAGATGACTATGGAAGAAATGCACAGAAAGATGTGGCATTGCTGACTGAAGATGTCAGAGGGCCATGAGCCAAGCAATGTAGGTGGTGTCTAGAAAGGAAAAAGGATTCTGACCAGGACCCTCCAGAAAGGAACACACTGCCACACTGCTGCATTCATTCCTTGATTTTAGCCCAGCAAGACTCATTGTACACTATTTTTTTTTTTTTTGAGACGGAGTTTCACTCTGCTGCCTAGGCTGGAGGTCAGCACTGAAGCCTCTGCCTTCTAGGTTCAAGCGATTCTCCTGCCTCAGTCTCCCAAGTAACTGGGATTACAAGCACTCACCACCATGTACGGCTAATTTTTTGTATTTTTAGTAGGGTTTCACCATGTTGGCCAGGCTGGTCTCGAACTCCTGACCTAAGGTGATCCACCCACCTCGGCCCCCCCAAAGTGTTGGGATTACAGGCGTGAGCCACTGTGCCTGGCCCCCATTTTACACTTCTAACTCCAGAACTGTATATGCGGTGGCTTTTGACAGCAGCCATGAAAAACAGATACCAACTGCAACCACAGAATGGAACAAAATGCTGTCATTTACCAGCCCCTAAACTGATCTTACTTGTGAATTATTCACTGGCCTGGAAGTCATACCAAAGCATGGTCACTGGTTTTCCTAACAACAAAACCACCCCTACATTTACTATTATTAGTGTAAAAGTATTTTATTAATAACTATGATTCATTTATACAACATAGTTATTAGAAACAGTGAAACGTGTTATTTGTTAGGCATTTGCTATTTGCTGAGCCCAGTGTTAAATTCTTCACCAGCATTATTTCATGTAGTCCTCAAAATCACTTTAGGAGCTATTACAGGCTTTTTCTCTGTTTTACAGATAAGGATTCTTTTTTTTTTTTTTTTTTTTTTTTAAGACAGAGTCTCTCTCTGTCACCCAGGCTGGAGTGCAGTGGCGCAATCTCGGCTCACTGCAAGCTCCGCCTCCCGGGTTCACGCCATTCTCCTGCCTCAGCCTCCTGAGTAGCTGGGACGACAGGCGCCCGCCACCGCGCCCGGCTAATTTTTTTGTATTTTTAGTAGAGACGGGGTTTCACCGTGTTAGCCAGGATGGTCTCTATCTCCTGACCTCGTGATCCGCCCGCCTCGGCCTCCCAAAGTGCTGGGATTACAGGCGTGAGCCACCGCGCCCGGCTCAGATAAGGATTCTTATATGCACATGGCCATGAGAGAAATGAGACACAAGTATATATCCAACTCCTAATCTGCACTCACTCTCAACATTTATTTTATTTTATACTCTTTTAAAACAAATAAATATATCAATTTTCAAAATTTCTTTTTTTTTTTTTTTTTTGCAACAGAGTTTTGCTCTTGTTGCCCAGGCTGGAGTGCAGTGGCGCGATCTCGACTCACCACAATCTCTGCCTCCCAGGTTCAAGCAATTCTCCTGACTCACCCTCCCAAGTAGCTGGGATTACAGGCATGCACCACCACGCCTGGCTAATTTTGTATTTTTAGTAGAGATGGGGTTTCTCCATGTTAGTCAGGCTAGTCTCAAACTACCGATCTCAGATGGTCCGCCTGCCTCGGCCTCCCAAAGGGCTGGGATTACAGGCACAACTCACTGCTCCCAGCCTCAAAATTTCTAAACCATGATATGTACAGGAAATGTTCTATCTGAAGAGTTCTCTGATACTGAGGGAAAAAAAATGTTCATATTCAGACCCAGGTAAATGCAACGTGTGAAACATCCAAACTTTTGTGAGAAAAAAAAAAAAAAAAACAGATTATTTTTATTAGGCAAGAATTACTCTAAAAATATTTTGAAAACAAGCATCTCTCAATGAATGTAAAACATACTTTTTTATTCCCAAAATGTTCATTAAAACAGGAACTTTGGAGAAACTGGCATAGTAATGCCTTTCTATAAATCAAGGTGTCAGCCAGAATTAAATTGGTCATTGGATATGAAAATGCTTTGTAAATCGTGCCTTTTGTGTGTATTGGTTACTTGCTATTTTTCAGAAAACACTAATAGTAATAGCATAAATTTCTGTAGCCTTTGGAATATTTAAAGGTCTTCAAAGGAAGCACTCTCACTAATTAATTAATCAAGATCTCAAAGATGGGCTGGGCAGGCATCTTCATAAATAAAGAATAGAGGCTTTGCATTTAGTTCCCTTTGAAAGACTCTTACCCAAAGGCAGCCATGCGCCATTACTGTGTGAAACACAGGACACTAAAGATGGATGAGACATGGATTCTTCCCCAAGGAGTTTGTCTACTGGGAACAACTAGAGCATAAATAATTCCAATATGGTGGAGAAAATGATAGTATTAAATGACTTTGCCCAATGCCACACAGAGAGAATTAACCCCAATTTCCTGGCTTCTAATCCAATCTCTCTCTCTCTCTCTCTCCACACACACACACACACACACACTCACACGCGCCACATAAACACACACACAATCTGTCTCTCTCTCTGCCTCTCCCCTGCACACACACACTCTCTCACTCGCTCGCTTTCTGTTTCCCTCTCTCTTTCCCCTACTCTCTCTCTCTTTCTCTCTCTTTCTCTCTTCAGCCCTTTCTTTCCTCCTTAGGATCATCTTGCTTCTGTGCACACAGAAGAAGGCAAGCACCTCTTTGTCTTCTCACAACTCTCCAGACTGAAGTTCACCCCAGTAAGGGACGGTTCTTGGTTCTTTTCTTCAGATGTCCTCAAACTGCTTAATGCAGTTATAAGCAATGACAAAAATGGGTTGAGGTGCAGCTGAGTCACATTCCTCTCTGCACTTATCAGTATGCTAGGCAGTTAGCAGCCCATATGAGCTGATCCACTAATTCATTCAGTAAACAGTTATTCAACATCTACTATGTTGTAGGAAATGTGGTAAGAGCTGATGTTATAGAAATAACTCCACTAATTATAATAGCTATTGCCTAGAGTGTATTTATTATGCACTAAGCATTCTTGTAAATATTTTGCATTAACTGATTTTATTCTGATGAGAAACATACCATTATGATTGTCATTGTACAGACAAGAGAACTGAGAGAGAGGTTAGGTGATTTGCACAAGACACCACTGGTAAGTGAGTGAGCCTCAATTCAAACTTGAGAACTTGGCCTGATCTCACATACTTAACCATTACACCAGTTCCTGACTTTGAGAATATTTGTGTGCCTGGTGATTTCCAGGGTATTATCTGTGGCCCACTGGTGGGTCTCCAGGATCTTTTGGATAAGAAAGGAATGGATACAATTCTTTGTTATTGCAGAGTCCTTAATCCGTTACCAAATAACAGTGGGAGAAGCATGCTGTGAAGCATTTTGCCCCTTGTAATTGAGTGAAATCCAAAATGCTAGAGAAACACGGGTTTAGAGAGGGAGGGATGGCATTGAGACATCACTAATGTGTTGTCTTAAGCGCTCTGACAGAGATCTGTAGAAACTTGGAAGGGCTGCTCAGGGCTGCTAGAAGAAGATGACTTGTGGACAGAGATTTAAAGATTTGTAAGAGCTAGACTAGCTTGGGGAAAAGTAGTTGAGGGGGAAGTGTGTTTCGGGGGGAAAATAGCAGATATAAATACAAGTAAGACATGAGATAGTATGACAAGATCAGAGATCTACTTTCAACTTTTAGTTCAATGTTGCTAAAATATTAGGTGGAAGAAAGACAACAGTAAAGACAAAGTTGGAGGGAGAGTAACAGCCACATCGTGAAACACCTTCTGTATTGTCATCAGCATAAATTTACTAACAAACTATCAAAACCTCTACTGTTTGGCATTTTCGCCTCCAGAAGCAAACAAGAAGAATGAGGCAAGAAAAGAAATAAAGACTTCTCAATAGTCACAGGGGTCTGCTGGTACTTTGGGTTATTTCGCAAGGTGATTTTATTCAGCAGCTCTTAATTAAACCAAAAAGTTGTTGTCTAGTCCCAGTTGGAAAGTGAGAGTTGTGTGCATTTAGTATTCAAATACTGTAACAACTCAAGAAATTACAACAGAAGATCTTTGCTGTTAGATCTTATTTTTTTAAAAATCTGTTTCAAATTTTCTGCAATGTATTTTATACACTGTTGTGTAATAGGTTAGTTGAACACTGCCCATGGAATCATAGTTACTGCTCACTTACTATGAGTCCCACACTGGGCCCAGTGTCTTGTAGACATTCTTTCATTTATGTCCTAAAACAAGCTTGTGACATATGTAATATTAGCTGAAGAAAAAGAAATTATCCCAATTTTAAGATTCAAAATGACGGTGTTGAGCACCATTTCATACTTACTGGCTGTTTAGATATTCTCTTTTTAGAAATGCCTAAAGTTTTTGTCTATTTAGTTAAAATTCAGTTATTTGCTGTTCTTGTCAATTTTTAGGAGTTTTTAAAAGTATATTCAGGTTAATGAACCTAACTTTTTACTTTATAATTTTTATAATGTCCAGTTTATCGATTTTTAAAATTTATAGTGGGTTCCTTTTGTGCTTTTCTTTTTCTTTTATTTTATTTTAAATTCCAGGATACACGTGCAGGATGTGTAGGTGTGTTACATAGGTAATCATGTGCCATGGTGGTTTGCTGCACCTATCAACCCATCACCTAGGTATTAAGCCCCACATGCATTAGCTGTCTATCCTGATCCTTTTGTGCTTTTCAAGCAATCTTTGCCAACAATGAGATTATGAAGATAATTCTCCTATATCTATGTTTTATTCTAGGAACTTTAGAGTTTTACTTTTCACATTTAAGTCTATGACTCATCTTAAAGTTTTGTGTCTGGTGTCAGTTAGGAGATCATATTCATTTCCTAGGGTTGCAATCACAAATTATTACAAACAGAATGGCTTAAAACAAAGGAAACTTATTTTTCACAGCTATGGAGGCCAGAAGACCCTAAACAAGGTGTTGATAGGACACACTACCCCTGAAGGCACTAGGCCAGGATCACTTGTTATCTTTTTTTAGTTTCCTGCTGGCTCCAGGTACTGTGTGGCTTCTGGAAGTATAACTCCAATCTCAGCCTCTACCTGTACATGGCTGTCTCTTCCATTTTCTCCCTTTGAAATCTCTTATAAAGACAGTTGCCATCCAGAATGATTTCTTCTCAAGACCCTTCACTTAATTACATCTACAAAGACCCTTTTCCAACAGAAGTCACATTCAGAGGTTCTGGATAAACTTATCTTTTAGGGGTCTAGTACTGAACCCACTGCAAAGGTTACACAAAGCTTTCAGAAAAATGGAGAACAGGAATATGCCCCAATTCATTTTATGAAGATGATACAATTCTAATACCAAAAGCAGAAAAGAATATGACCTCTCATCCTCCGCAAAAAATGTAGACCCATATTTCTCATAAACATATAAGCAAAATCCTAAATAAACTATTATCAAATGAAATTTAGAGATATAGTAAAAAATATTACATCGTGACCAAATGGGACTTATCCTGTGATTATTATACAGTTTTATCTTTTAAAAAATTAATCAAGATAACTAACCACAAGATAAGCAACTTTGATAATCATCAAAATAGATGAGAAAAACAACATGATATAAGTATACATAGAAAGGCATTTAATAAAATTTGGCACGTTTTCAAGATGAAATTCTCAGGAAACTGGGGATAGAAGAAAGCCTCCTTAATCTGACGCAGGGTAACTACCAAACAAAACAAAATAAAAACCTAGCATGACACTTTGTAGGGAAAATCTGAACGCTTTCACCCTAAGATTGGGAACATACTAAAGATTTCTATTATTGCTATCTCTAACATTATAGAGGAGATTCTAGCCATTTCAGTAAGGCAAGAAAAAGGGGGAAACACGTACAGATTGGGAAAAAATAAAAGTAAAAATATCTTCACTCACATATAATGCACATATACGTTTATTTTATAGTATATTTAAAATGCTCAAAAGAATCTACAACAGATAAAAATTGTTAAGAGAATTTAGGAAGGTTGCTGAATGAAAGATCTGTGTACAAGTATTGATCATATTTCTGTATATTAATAATTAACGATTAGAAAATTACTTAACTTTTACATGCTTATAAGACTATAACAATGAAATAATTTGAACCAAAACTTTTCCTCTCCTACTTTGGTCTTTTGGCTTCCTTTTCTTTTTTCTTTTTCTAATTATAGATTTTATTTGTATTTTTTAGTAGAGATGGGGTTTCACCGTGTTAGCCAGGATGGTCTTGATCTCCTGACCTCGTGATCCGCATGCCTTGGCCTCCCAAAGTGCTGGGATTACAGGCGTGAGCCACCGCACCCGGCCCAGGCAAGCAATTTATTAACCTGCCAGCTGCCCCCTTAACAGTCAAGGGAAACAGCCCCAAGTTTACAGAATGAGGGGTTTATGCTGGGGAGAGGAGTTTGAGGGAGTTCTTTGGTATGGCCGCATCCCGGGGTTGTTTGCTGGTTAATTTTGCCACATAGCACCTTGTGATGTTTATTACAGGAGGTGTAGGTAAAAGTTTGTTTATGCTTCCCACCACTTCACCCTGTGCGGCCTAGATGGTTTGTAATTGGGGTTTGCTTATTGAAGCACGGTCTGATAAGTGGTCTGGGGGCTTCACCATGGTGCCTAGATAACGGCTTAGAAATGTAAAGAGGCTTGGGGAAATGGTGGGCGGCATGGTGAAGAGTTGCAGAGCATTAGGGGGAGGGGGGCCGCACCAAGAAGCTTTCTTGGGGCAGTTTGTCCCTAACAATAATGTTTGGAGATGGGACTTTCAGGAGGTAATTAGAATTAGATAAGGTCATGAGGGTAGGGTCCCCATGATGGAACTAGAGGCTTTATAGGACAGGAAAAGAAACCTGAACTGACCCACATGATCTTGCCCTCTCACCATGAGATGCCCTTCACCATGTTATGATCAACAAAAAGGCCCTCATCAGATATCCATACCATGCTTTTGGACTTCCCAGCCTCCAGAACTGGTTGCTAATATATTTATTTAAAAAAAAAAATTACCCAGTCTGTGGTATTTTGTTACAGCAACAGAAAATGAACTAAGACAAAAGGTTTACGTAACTCAGGAAATTATACTGCCAGATTCAACTCAGATATTCTGGGTCTACAGCTCTTACTTTAAATCATTAACACAAAACTACAACCCACCCCCGCCACCACCCCGCCATTTGAAAGGAATATCATCACAGGGCATATTATTTTAAAAGTATTTATATCAGTTTATAAAATCATTATGACAGTTATAGAAACAGGAAGGCTTACAGGATACCCCCAACTTTTTATGAATTTTGTCAGAGTTAAAAACTTCTTATGATGTATGTCAGAGTTTAAAACATTGACCTACAATCGTTTATTTATGTTCTATTCCCTAAAAGGTTCCTCAATCATACCAATCTACTGGGCGAGGTGTGATAGCCCCAAAACAGGAAGTGGTCAACTCGCGTGTTGGTAAAAAGAATTTACCAACAACAGTGTAGGTTTGAAAAAGGAAAGTTTATTAGAAAGGAGGAAAGCTACAAGAGTGTAGCGGGATGCCTCGGCGAGAGGACTGAGCGCCCCCTGGTGGATATATCATCGGGGTATTTATGGAGCTTAAGGCGGGAGCTTAGGGTTGTAAAATGAGTTTCAGGGATACATCGAGACTTTAGTTACTTATAAAAGCTGAAAGAGGCCTGGAACCAGATGCGACCAGGTGGTCTTTGTTCCCTTCTATTAAATACCTAAGATAAGGAGTTTTGCCTCCGAATAGTCTGACCAGGTGATTTTCACTCTCCTTATTTATGTTCTTTCCTTATCAGAAGATCAAAGGAACTTTTATTTGTTTATTATTTGATTGTTGATCCTTCACTTGTGCCAAGATTGTGTTTCATCAAACACCTCTTTCTCTCCCTTGCATATTCAACCAAGGCCAAAGTATTAGTTTCCAAGGGCTGTTGTAACTCAGTACTACAAACTGGATGGCTTAAACCACAGAAATTTACTGTCTCACAGTTCTGGAGGCAAGAAGTCCAAAATCAAGATGTTGGCAGGATTTGTTTTTTCCGAGGACTGTGAAGGAGAATCTGGTCCATGGCCCTCTGGCTTCTGTTGGTTTGCTGGCAACCTTTGGTGCTGCTTGGCTTCTGCTGTATCACCCCAGTCTTTGCATCATCTTCACGCAGTGTGCTTCCCTGTGTGCACCTGCACACAAACTTTCTCTTTAAAAGGACACTAGTCATATGGGATTTGGGCCCCACCCTTACTATAGCGTGACCTCATCATAACGAATTACATCTACAACAAACTTATTTCCAAATAATGTCATGTTTTTGAGGTACTGGGTATTAGGATTTCAACACAGGAATTTGGGAAGAGATACAATTCAACTCACAACAGCGACCATAGTATTTATTTATTCAGTTAACAAAACTAGCATTTTTCCCACCCTATATAATTAATAACTTCTGGCAGAGGAAGGACATCTGGAGTCAGTTACTCCAGAACTACAAATGAGAAAGAGAAATGGGTTTCAAAGGAGAAATCAGATTCTGTTACCAGATAAAATATGGAATAAATGTTGGGCAGGCATTGACAACAGAATTTTTATACTCTTGAACATTTTCTCGTGTGTCTTTCACTTTCTAATTGAGAGAAGGCTGGATTCCCCTCTTATCACGTCACTTAGCTTCTGCTAAGCTCATAAATATTTTTTATTGATGAGGTTAGTAGTATTTTGTCTAAAATATCCACTGCTCTTTCTTGCAGAAGGCTAATATTTGTTCCCTTCTAGGAAGTGAGGCTTGTGCACGTGACTTGCTTTGGCCAATGGAATTGGAAGTATCATGTGCAACTTCTGGCCAGAGGTTTTAAAAGACACTGGTTCTTTTCCATTTTTCCTCTGCAATAAACATGGCTACATCCAGATAGAGCCTGGACGTTTAAATGAAGACATGGAGCACAGCTGCCATCAACCCATAGTGAAAAAACAGAGACTTTGAGCTTTGAGGTAAGTGACTTCACTTTGATCACTGTCAGGATTTGGTGAACTTTTTTATAAGAATTTACACCTTATTAGATCTTGTGGGTGCCCCTTCCAGTTCCAGGGTCCCAAATTCAAATGCCTCTGGGAACTGAACAGGTAATTTCACATGATTCTAAGGCCAATGGTAATTGTACTAGGGACAGCTAGGATCAGAGGTGAAAAGAGTGCATACCCCTGGCTAAAAGCATGTCAACTTAAATCCTTTTCAAAAACTCCGCCAAACCAAACCTACTTTCTGCAAGAAATCAGTCCTGGGACCACCAGTTGACCTCTCCAGCTACACCGGGCAGTTCTCTCAGTGCAGCCCAGGGTGGCAATTCCTACAAGCTTATAGGGATTAGTTCTTAACAGACTGGAGCCTGAATTGGAGCCTGAATTCCAAGTAACTACCAAGGATCTTTCTATAGGGAGATCAACGCTAATGAAGGGCATTGTATAGAGCTACAAAGAATGGAATTTAAGCCATCACAGTACAGTTGCATGAATAAACTTTAATTTTTTTAAATTATCTGTTGTAAGACAAGGAAACAAACAAACAGGTTTTCCTCAAGGAGAGAACATGCCCCAATAGCTGGCTTCCTTTCATTTCATCCTGAAATCCTTGTTTAAAATAACTTAAATCATCGGAGAAGCACTAAACTTCTCCTTACAGCTAATCTGTTCAGCAATGCCACAGAAGAATGCAGACTGAATAGCAAGTCTGAGCAGATTCCCTGGGACAGGACCTCTTGAAAGGACAGGGGAACTGTTTTCCTCAACATAAAAGGGAATAGAACACATTTGCTCCGTTTTTTACTTTTCTGTTCTGAAATATGAGAAACACTTTCAAAGAGTTCCTTAGGAATCCCTAAGAATAAACTATTTCTGTCCCCACACACCCATTTCTCTTTGTGGAAATCAGATTACACCCTCCCAGTGATTTCTCAGAAGAAAATCAAAGCATACAACTCCGGAAACATTCAAAATAGTCTCCCTTCCTCAGAGCGCGCTGGTAGCTGTGTGGATCCAACGGCACTGTGGGAGTCTGAGTTCATATCCTGGTATTGCTAGGCAGATGACATCACTCTTATTTTCCATAAAGAGTTGTTCCATATGTGCTGCTTGCTGAGAAAAACACACATATGTGGCAACTGTAGATGAAATATACGTGCAATGTGAGCCCAGTCCAATTCGCCTCTTAAAAGAAACAGCGACACTATTTAAGCTCTGTTTAAGCAATACTGATAAAATAGCATTTTCTCTTCTGACTTTAAAAACAATTCCCAAGCCTGCATGGAATCAATTTCCTCAAATAGTTATAAACCTTTTGTTAAGTCTTCTTAACATAATAGGTTAGCTTTACATTTGGGAGTCACTAGATATAACAGAAATAATAGGTTATGTTTACCAAGAGCTTGTAGCATGCTGGGGTAGCCTCCTCAAATGGTGTGCTTCCCACTTTAGAGGTGACAGAAACTCAGCCTCAGAGAGGTTATATAAATTGTGCAGTTATGCTGCTGATACTGGGGTCTGAGTTTCCATCCCTGGCAAATCTGAAAGCAAACCTAGAGCTCCTTCCACCTGGGTGTGTTCAGAAAACAATGAAAAGGTGAAAGGCAAAGAGTTGTTTCTGATAATATTGTTTTGGAATGGGATTATGTGCCGAACCTCTTCTCTCTGGAATGCTTCAGAGTCAATCTGTTCCCTCAATTTTTTTTTTTTTTCATTTCATTCTGAAGGCAGGCTGGAGTAAGAGAAGCAGACACTTTGAAGCCCTTTAGAAGCAAAATAGCACATAAAGTGAAGAAGTCACAGTGACTGCTGTCGTTCCGAAAGCGCAGACTGCATTTCCAAAAGGATTTGATCTTGTCTGAGTTTAACCCGGAAGATTACAAATCTGTGTCACTGGCAATACTATTAATTCCTAGAGAGTTTTACTAATATCTTTTCTCTATCTTGTCTGCCTTAAAACTTTCCCCAAGGTACCGGGTGAACAGAATTCTTTTCCTTTATAATTGTTGTAATCTCCCATTTTCTCACTGACCTCCCCTATCCCCCCAAAACCTTTCTAAATCTTCCTAAGTGGCAAATTAAAGGATTTGCCCCTGGTGCTGCCTCTGACCCTTTAGAAGCTGAATGACAATTGTTTCCTCTCTTTTCTTCCTGACTCCTCCCCTTATCCCTGTCTTGGGAAGTTGAGCTTCTTCCAGTGAAGTCTTTCCCATCAATCCCAGGGACCTCCTCTGCTCTGTTTGTCTACAATCATGAGATTGGGCATTTCTTCAGAGTTTAAAATCAGGCTTTGCAATTTGACTTTTGGGGACTGGGAACAGAGTGTGGTATGGGGATAATTTTTTAATAATGCCTTGGTCTCTTACCCAGAGAACTGTCAGCCAACCCCACTCTCCAATCCCCAGGGGAAACTGCCAATATTACCATAGGAAGGATCAATAGAGTTGCCTCAGCAACAGTAATCAGCCATGAAACCATTTTTCCTGGCTGTTTGGATACACTGAGTGGACTGGGAGCAGAGGTGTGTCCTTCCTGTCTTTCACGGAGTCCATGGATATGAGTTGATTGTATTCACTGGATCCAGTCCCCTGCAATGGGCACTAGGTGAGGTCACAGCCTGAAGAGGATCTGTGAGAAGCCTGATTTCACTTGAGATTTCCTAAGAGAGCCTTTGAAATATGCCGCCACATCCTAAAAGTTTTCAAGAACATTTGTCAGGAGCCAAATTTCTAGGAGTCAGAAATGTATATTTAACAGCCGACTCCACTCTGGTCATTTGCTGAGATCTGCACCCCTTGTTCTGGCATAGAAAAGAAAAGAATCAGTTGGAATCAGGGTGGAAGAATAAGACTTGGCTGTTAGCTGCAAAGACAAGGAGCAGGCAGAGTAGATTGTGGGGTTTTTTTCCCCGCTCATTGATTCCAGCTTTAGCCCAGCACAAGTTTATTTTTAAAAATGTGGATGCTCCATTTTCAGAGAGTGATCTAAAAATATATGCCTGCATGCCTGTGGCTGTAATGTGTATATAAATCCAAAGCCACAAAAGAAAGTGATTATATTATACTCAGGAGCTCAGATGCATTACAAAGCAGAACTGGAGGAGCCCTCCCTACCTTCCTCATCAGGAAAGAACATATGTGCACATTATGTCCATGTATATATTTTCAGAGTGAGTTTCATGAATGAGTAAGATAGGTTTTCTATGCAGAGTAATTTAAGGACACCAAGAAAGGCTGTTTTTCAAGTATGATGCCATATTGGCCCTCTATGCTGTCTAAAATGACACCCTTGGCAAAAATAAAACTATAAGAATGAAAGCAAACGTTGATTAGGGGTGCTGTTTCCACATGTTAGGCATCATGCTTAGTCTTTTCAGGTTTCACTCCCTTTACTCCACATTAGAACAAAGTAAATCAGGTACTGATATTATTATGATGTAACAGATGAAGAAACTGAAGTTAATGAGATTGAGTAAGTTGTCCAAAGCCATGCCCAGAAGGAAAATGTTTTCTGATTCCACAACCCATGTCGTTAACAACCACATGATGAGAGGCAGTGTGCACGGTGGTTAAGAATGGGCCCAGCTTCTAGCGCCAGGCTGCCTGGATTTGAAACTGAAGTCTGCCTAATACCAGCTTTTTCATTATAAGCAAGCTATTTAACCTCTCTGTGCCTCAGTTTCCTTCTCGGTAAAAAATAAGGATAATAATTTGACTCTTAGAGTTGCTGAAAGGAATCAATAGGTTAATTGATGTAAAGCTCTTAGAGAATGAAAGTCATCAGGGACTGGCAAAGTTTTACTTTTTGCATTGCACGGCCACCCAAAGCCTATACTGCATAGTGAATGTGTTTTCTTTTACAAACGAGTAGAGTACTAAAAGCTACAGACTCAGACAATCTGCTGTTGAGGCTCAGAAAAGCCAATACTCCAAAATGAAAGTCTCATAAGCAAAATTTCTCTTGGAACTTCTGCCCTCCTGTCTCTCGCCTCTTATTCTCTCCTGAGGAATAGTAATTAGAATACCTCTTCCCCAGGATGGGTCAGAGAAACCAGAACCCCTTTCCCCCAAAGCCAGTTAGAAAGCCTGAAAATATTACTCTAACCTTCCCTCATCTTTCTGTGTAACAGCAGGCCATTAAGAAATTGAGACCTTTATTCCAGAGAAGTCCTATCCCATACCTGGGAGGAAAAAAAATAAAAAGCTACAACAGAGAGGCCAAGAAGAATCTGGACAGACAGGCCTTGGTGGGTTTCCTCACTCAACTACCATTAGCTCATAACCTTTTTGTCCAATCGCATTTCTACATGACTGTCCTGGCTTCATTGAACCTAAGCATAAAATCATACAGCTTCTCCTGTATCTTTGGGTCTTCAATCTGAAAGCCATTGTTGAATAAAAGTCTAATCAAATAAATTTGTTATCCATTTCTCTTGTTAAACTGTCTTTTGTTATAAGAGTGTCAGCTGCAACTTTAATGATGGGAAGGAAAGGGATAATCCTCTTTCTGCCCCTACACAGCCATTCATGTTAATATAGATTGCTTCATTTAACTAGCTCAGATGAGGACAATGAAAGATTGGGCATATGGTTTGGGGCTGGGGAAAATTAACTCCAGTGTTTGGAGTAGTGATAACGGAGGTTGGGGGGAAAATGGAGTGGTATGGCTAACTAAAGGGCTGTGATATCGTTTGGATATTTGTCCCAACCCAAATCGCATGTTGAAATGTAATCCTCGATATTGAAGGTGGGGCCTGGTGGAAGGTGTTTGGATCATGGGGGCAGATGCCTCATGAAGGGTTTAGGCCATCCCCTTGGTGATAAGTGAGCTGTGGGTCTGAGCTTCCCACAAGATCCGGTCCAGATGTTTCTCGTCTCTCTCTCTCCTCTCTCTCACTCCCATTTTTACCATATGATGTCCCTCTTCTTCATTCACCTTCTGCCATGACTGAAAACTCCCTGAGGCCTCCCTAGAATCCAAGCAGGTGCCAGCACCATGCTTCCTGAAAAGCCTGCAGAACTGCGAGCCAATTAAATCTCTTTATAAATTACCCAGTCTCAGGTATTTCTTTATAGCGTGCAAGCATGGCCTATCACAGGCAGCACAAAGGCCCTGGGCCCTTAAAAGGAAGGAGAAAGAGAGTAAGAATTAGTATAGGAAGGCATCGGCAAAATTCTGTAAACAGCCAGATGTTTTCTACCCTGCAGGCTGAAATAAAACATCATACACTTAAACATTTTTGAAATCTGCTTTTTGAACCAATCTTTAATCTGCCATTGAAAAGGAACCATTTTTTATTTTCATAATTTTTTTTTTTACCTGGGAGCTGAAAGGGAGACTTAGTGTAGACAAAGAAGTCACTGGGCTGAGTAAGATGGAATCTGCTGCTGCCCTACTCCTCTCCACCCAGGCAACCTGAACTTTCTGGGGAATCCAAGAGCCAAACAGGGAGATTCTGACCACCCAGAAAGGGACAAGATTCGTGCTTTACCTGAAAGAAGGACCAGGAAAGACTTCCTATGGGCCATTTCCATTGATTTTTGGGGAGACTATCTCTGATACAATGGAAATATTTTTAGTGGTTAATTTCATTTATTGCGCATATATGTTGGTAATCCTAGTGCTGGATAAACCTTGCTTTTAATAGCAATTTTCTCTTGAGCAAGCAGCTCACCATGTTTGAGCCTCGGTTTCTTTAGCTGCCAAATGAGGACACAATGATGATGTCATTATTAGAAATACATAACCAATTTTTTTTTTTTAAAAAGACATAATTGCTGATAGAGAGGAGGAGCTCAATAAATGACAGTTCTTTCTGTTTGGCACACCAAGTCTCTGCCCTTGACTGAAGAGGTTACAGATACATTATTCCAATAGTTAAGCCAATTATTGCCAATATTTATTGAGCCACCACAAAAAACCCAAGAGTGAACTGGGCACTAAGGAAGCAGAATTTAATCTCTGCATTTAGGAAGCTAGTAGTCTAGTGGAATATGGTTCAAGTACAATGCAAGGTATTTTTGGAAGTAAATGTAGAATTGTATGCTACAAACATCTAGTACTTTAGATTTTAGGAAACAGTGAATTCAAATGGAGCTGAGATCAGCACAGAATCCTTCAGGGAGGCGATGCTAGTGCCTAAGTCCTAAAGGGTGAGCATGATCTGGGTGGGTGGGAAGGTGAAAGAAGGCAATGTTCATCTTTAACCCACCATTACATGAGAAATGACTCACAAAATAACCTTGCCTCACCTCAAAGGAGGCCACAGTGTTATTCATTTTCTTGGAAAGAGAGCTAAAGTTTCCAAGGCATTTTGAAAAGAGAATTGGATGCTACACCTTTTTATGATTCAACCATTTCCAGATATGATTCCATTAAGTGCCTTTTTAAGACTTCTGCTATCATTCTCTGAAGCTCAGGGAAAAGATTCTTTGTGGTTTGACATTCCTTTTCATTTACTCTGGAGGAAAACTCACCATGAAAATTTCCATATGTTCATCTTCTCCTGTACATATTTATATCAACAGTTTCCCTTTTAACAACTTTCAAAACGTATGCTCTTTCCAAAGTTATTTTCCCTAAAAGTAATTCACCAGTAACATAATTCATAGATTACGGGGACTGCACAAAGTTATAGAGGCAGGTGTGACATTTCTACTTGGTAAAAGTCATTGTCCCAGAGCATAACAAGGGGCAAGATTTACCCACTGGCTTGAGGTATTCACATTGTTCTATTATGATCTGTGATAAACTTATCACTGCTGAAGCAGGCTGTTGGTTTTAGCAAGAGATTGTTACCATATATATTTGTGATATAAAATCCATCTTAATGAAAAAACATAGCATGTGGGTGGGCAAGAGAGGCAGTCAGTAAATGCAAAATCATGAGATTGGAAGCTATTGATTTCCGTACTCCCTCCACCCCCAGGTTCTGTGAAACTGAAATAAGAAGCAAAAGTTAAATAACATGAGAATATTTGAACTTGCAAATATCAAGCCAGGAATTTCCTAAAGAAGCATTACAGGCTTTTTATAATGAGATAGTCAATCCCATTATCCCAAAGAGTCCAGTTTAGTTTTGGCATTTACATACACTGCCTTAATAGCCTGGTGTAATTCTGAATATATGTTTTAATAGGTACATGTATGTAGGCTAAAGAAGAGACAGCATTTAACAAAAGTATGGTTTGGCCATGTTCATACTCCCTAATAGCCATAATCAAATATCTCCTCATTCTGTTGTGTGATTCTTTATATATATATATATATATATATATATATATATATATATATATATATATACTTTAAGTTCTGGGGTACATGTGCATAACTTGCAGGTTTGTTACATAGGTATACACGTGCCACAGTGGTTTGCTGCACCCATCAGCCAGTCATCTACATTAGGTATTTTTCCTAATGCTATCCCTCCCCTAACCCCTCACCCCCAACAGGTTCCAGTTTGTGATGTTCCTCTCCCTGTGTCCGTGTGTTCTCATTATTCAACTCCTAGTTATGAGTGAGAACACGCAGTGTTTGGTTTTCTGTTCTTGTGTTTGCTAAGAATGATGGTTTCCAGCTTCATCCCTGTCCCTGCAAAGGACATGAACTCATCCTTTTTTATGGCTGCATAGTATTCTATGATGTATATGTGCCACATTTTCTTTATCCAGTCTATCATTGATGGGCATTTGGGTTGGTTCCAAGTATTTGCTAATGGGCCACATACATGCTTAACCAAGGAGACTCTTCCAGAGCATCCTATGTCTTTATGCCTTTAGACCAAAGTAAATGTGTATTGGAAATAGAGATGGACCAACACCAGAAAAGCCACACTGTGATCTGAGAACATCATTTATGATCTAGAACATCATTTATCCCTCTGCCATGTTTTCATGCTTGAAATGAAGAGGTAGACTAGAAAACCTCTAAGGTTCCACCATCACTGATTTCTTGCTAAGATTAAGAAGAATCAATGGAAATTAGCATGGACCATCTACAAAGGAGAGCTCTTGATGTGCTCCTCACTGCATGAAGCACAGCTCAAGCATTTTCCCACTTTCAACTCTTGGGCTGTTGGCCAAGATAAATGAGTTGCTATGTGGAAAGCACTGAACACATAGCTCTCTAAAATTTAAAAGAAAAAAAAAAGGAAAAGAGAAAGGGGCCCTATTAAGCAGGTACTGTTATTTTCCCTATTTTATAAAAGAGGAAATTGAGGTTGTAGATAGGTAAAATATTCCGCCCAAGGCCACCCAAATAACATGGCATGAAGCCATGACTCAAATTTAGGGCCCTCAAATCCAAAGTTCACATTGAATTGCTGTTTATAAATCTGAAAGTAAGAGAGTTGCATAACCATAGAGCAAAGAAGATGCCCAACTCTTCCTGAACAACAGTATAGGTGGTCAAAAATTTTAAAGGTATTGTGTTTTGGTGATGCAAGTGGAAGAAGAACCAAAAGTAATGGTAAGCTAGAACTATTAGAGATGGATTTGGGATTTGAATTTTCAAGATGGATGTGTTCCAGGTTCATGTACTGCTGAGCAGTTAGTTACATTTAATGCTTGTTTCTCATTTTAGTTCACATACCTTTCAAATAAGAAGTATATGAAGTAAAAGCTTGGATTTGCTATGTTTATAGTCTTATTACAACTTTTAATAAAGTTGTTTCCTATGCAAAAACAAAATGGCCAAGATTCTGATCTCACAAATATAGGTTTCCTCCCTTGCTTTATTTCTTGATCCATTCGTCTTTCCATTTATTTATTCAAAAGCACAACTATTAAACAAAGCTTTAGGGATACTCAGAAGAGAAAGGGGGATGTATTGCTGGGGAATTAAGGAAGGTTTTTCAAAGGAAATGCAGGTTGAATTTGGTATTGATGAAGGAGAAGGAGTTCACTGAATATCCAAAAGGGAAGCGAGTCAGGGGTTGGCATTTCAGACAGTGTTCCGGGGATGATTACAGATAAGATGGCTTTTTTGAGATGGTGAAAAGTTCAGGAGGTGGTTGAAGGCTACGGGGATAGGATGAGAATTTCTTGCTATGTAGGAGTGAGAGAAGGACACCGTGCGATGACAGACAAAGTAAGTTTTGAACCATACACTAAAGGGTTTGAGTTGAATGGAGAATTTACGTTAGAAAGTAAATTGAAAGGGATTTTCAAAGGAAGGATGGAATCATTCCACTGGGTTCGGATGAGGGGAGTTCAGACTGGTTTCCTGGTTGTAAGAAAAGGAATTCATTCTACGCTGTAAAATGTTATTCCAATGATAAATTCTCTCACTAGCATATCCACTTTGAAAAACAACGTTATGAACTTCCCTGCCCTGTAATTCAGGAACCATAGAGATTTAGATCATGCATCTTTGAAGTGTTCCCTACAGTGTAATACTGGCCACCCAGCCTGCAGCATCTGCTCCGTCTGTGTCCAGTTTCCTTCTCTTGCACCACGACCGATGCAGCTCTTCTTTTTTGGTGTACCTCAAATTCAGAAGCACACCACTTCTGCCTCCTTTTCAGGCTGGCTTTCTCCATTCTTCTCATTCTTGCTCCTTCCCCTCTTTCCTTCTTTCTTTGTACTCATTTTCCTCCCACCCTCTGTTCTTCCCACTTTCCCTCCCTCCTTTTCTTCCTTCCTTCCTTTCTTTTAAAATCAAGTGAACACAATTATCCCCGTTTTCCAGATGAGGAAACATAAAGAAATGAAGTGACTTGCCCAGGGTTGCTGATCTCTATTCTATCTGCATTCTCCTGAACTGCCTTTACCCTATATTTTAGAAATGGATTTTAAGGGCAATATTTAGAAATCAAAAATAAAACTAAATTTTAAAAAAACTAAAATTTCTCAAAGAACTTACACTATTTCACGGGTAGGACAAAACTATAGGCCAAAAAGAAAGCTTCAGATTTCCATATAACATGCCAATTGTATATTTTGCCATATAATTATTATTGATCAGAAAATATTGAGTTTTTTGCTACTTTTTAAAATTAAAAACTGTGATTTCCTTGTAATATTGTGACTCATAAGATAATACTGAATTTAAAAAAAAGTCTACCACTATATGACAAATACACAGTTTTCATTTTCTCATATTCCCATTTTATTCCATTCAAATATGTTTTACATGAATAAAATCATACTATTTATAAAATCCTGCTTAATATTTTTATGCTGATATCTACATTGTGCAGTGTTCACATTTATCATATTTAAAACATATATTTTACTACCTAATAAACTTATGGATTTAATTATCCTCCTATTGTTGCATATTAGGTAGACATAATAGTTTTTGCTCCTAGAAGTAGCACTGTAGTGAAAATTTCTTACGTATGCCATTCAGTCTTGCTAAATTGTTTTATTAAAATAAATCTCTCACTAGACTATAAACTTTTTCAAACAGTTTTTGCCTTGTTTGTTTTTGCAGATCAAGTGCTCAACTGGGGCACACAATTAGGACTTTTTGAATAAAATAAATAAAATAATTCTAAGATTCATAATCATTGGGGCAAAAGATATGAATAGCTATCTGGCTTTTAATATTTGTTAAATATTACCTAAAGAGTCATACAGTTTCCAATGACTTTAGCAATGTACAGGTTTCATCACAATAGGACAGTACTGGCTGTTAAAATTTTAAAAAATTTTATGAATGTCGTTGTTAGTAAAAGAAGTTGCTTTAATTTAGAAGCCTCTGATTAGTTTTTTTCTTTCAACTATTTTTTTGTTGTTTACTAATTTTTCTTTTAAGAAATTATGTCCTTATAAGTGAGAATCTCCTTAAAGTATTTTTCATTAGCCAACATTTTTGTCTGTGAAGAGGAAGGAGAAAGAAAAGAAGGAGGAAGAAGAGAAACTTCTAGCCCAACTTTTCCACTTCAGGGAGTAGATTTTAAATGTGTTTCATTCAGGACTGCCATCTTAACTAGACCCAACGGCATGAAATTTGAAAGCATATCAAGTTTACCTTTTCAAAGGAGATGCTGCTAAGTGAAGTTAGGATATTCATGTATATTCAGAACTTTCAAACTGTGCCCCAGCATCAAATGCCAAAATACTATACAGCACATAAACATCTTTGTTCTGCTGAAAATGATATTGCTCGGGTCAAAATGTCTCTATGGCAATATTTCTAACTCAGGAAATTGTTCAGGGAATTAATGTGAACTACACTTCCAGAAGCTAAAATGAAGTGCCTTTGCTTTGGAAAAGCACAGAGTTTCCCTTTGTTTATAGGTACCCTAATTTTACATTTTACTTAAGCATCTTATGAGGAACTTAAGAGATATATTTAGACATGGAAGCTCTTAAGTGTATATCAACTTCGTTATTTATAAGAATAAAACTTCTCTAAGAGGAAGGAAACAAACATGAATTTAGAATGTCCCTTGCAGGAATCACTAGGCGCTTTCACTGTTATTTAATCTTTACAACATTTGAGGTATATATTATTGTCACACAGAGAGATTAAATAAATTGACTAGGTCACACGATTATTATATGAAAAAGCTAGACAAACTCTCTCTGACACCAGAGGTTTATACTTTTTCATTGACTGCCGTGTTGGACACAGTTTTAGCTTCTAAGGCAAAATGATCTGAAAATGTTCAAAGATGACTGATTAAAAGCAGTAGAATAGGTTACTCAGTCAGATGAACTATGCCATTTTTATCTGTCTATACGGCATAAACTATGAAACTGTCCAAGGAAATCCCATTACATTCCACCCTCAAAATATATTTTTCTGTTCTGCTTACATTGTTTTTTGCCAACCATTTTGTTTTTAACAATCAACATCATAGAATGTTAAATTAGAAGAGGTTTTAAGCGTCATCTATTCCAACCACCACATTTTAGATATTGCAAAATGATGGTTTACAAACTTGCTCATAGTTACATATTCTTATGATAATTGAATTTGAGACTAATATTGGTAGAAATAATTTCTTTGTGTAATATTTTGAACCACAGAAAATTAAGTTCATAACCATTTTTCTAACGAGTGAGTGAATAAATGAAAGAACACTTATTTTCCCTGTTCCTTTTTTGTTTTGTTTTAAGCTAAATAGGGCAGGACTGTGGTGCCAGACATATACATAGATTTTTTAAGGCACTAGACCCTGTGACTTTAGCTACTCAAGGAGAAATGCCCCTTTTGTAATTTTGTCTTTTTCTCATCCTGATCGGATGTTAAAAGAAACAATGCAAAAATCTTTCTTCTGTTTAACATGAAGACTTTATTATAGAAATCTGACTTAGGTACGTCATCTCCATGAGGACCTGTGGGAGGCATTGCCTTTAAAACCACCTATATAGAATAACTGTAGTTCTTCTGAGCAATTGACTTACTTTTACCTAATAAGAGCTATGATTTTCACACTTAAACTATTTGCATCTTTATATTGACTGCCAAACAATGTGTTAATGGTAAAGGTATTTACAAAGTTTTTATCACAAAATTAATTATGATAAAATATGAAAAGTAGAAAAAAACACATTGTTTGGCAGATTTCTTAAAACAAAGTTTCTGAGGTCAAAGAGATGATGTGAGTCTGGAACTTAAAAAGTGTCTAACTATTTTTTACCTCTCTAAGGCAAAGTATAGGAAAATGTATTATCTCTTGAAAATTAGTAATAAAATATTTTCCAGAAGCATTGCAGCAATTCACATTTGTGAGAGCATCATTTATACTAGAGAGCTAGGAATCTTTATTGTCATTATTACTGTATTATTTTTAGTATTGTTATTACTAAGACGCAATAACATATGTCATTATTTACATTGATTTATTTTAGGCTTCAAGATAATTGACCAAAATACCAAAAGATATTCAGTAAATAAGTATTTTGTGAAGGCTTTCTTTTGCGTCAGGCAAAGTTCTAAGGTCTCTGCTTAGTCCAGCAACCCAGTCATCATTCGTAGGGTAATTTAAAAATTCTGATCAAATGAGGGTGAGTGCTTTCAGTGGATTCACCAATTTGGTCAACAGGCAGTTAATAAAAGCTTCCCATGTGACAAGCACTAAGACAGGGACCAGGGCTACGGTAGTGAGTAGTGGTTTTATTGGGATTCAGTATGACTCATAACGGACATTGGTTTTAGTCCTATAGCTTTTTATTGTTTTCCTTCTCCTTCATCATGTAAAAATAGACATTTCTCAATACAATATTTCCAAGTTTGATTGATTATGATATGGAAGCTGCATAGTACAAAAACATAATTATTAAAATTTGGAATGAAACACTTGCTTTATTTTTTATGTTTGTTCTGTTTGACCTTGGGAAACTACCGTTATGTGCCAAGCACAGTGCCAGTTTTTGCCAGCTTGCTTGTATTTTTCTGCTAATAACCTTATAAGAAAAAGCTACAGACATCAACAAGGAGTTTAGAGGCATTTGTAAAACTGGCTAACACAATGGTACCTACATCAAATGGTTGTTGCAGTGATTGAATAAGATACAGGCATTGACAAGAAGTATAAAGGTTTCAATACGTTTTTCCTGTAGTTGCTGATCCTTAAATGGGAAAAAGATTGTCTCATTAACTTCCTGTAATAACAAGGCATAAGGAGAGGCTGATGAACTATCGCCCACCTGCCTCCCTTACTGAGTTCTCCTGTAACAGCTAAGGAGTCTGGTACTGCCAACTCGGTTCCTACTGCCTGCAACCATGACAAAAAATCACAAGCTGCTTTCCTATGTAAACGCCTGCTTTCACTCCCTGACTCCAGCATATTTAGGAGACAAACCTCCCGCCCCGTTTAAGAAGCCTCCATTCAGCATGACCTGCAATCAGAGACTGGAAACAGGCAGAGGAAGCCTCATAGCAAAAGATGTTTTTCCTAGGGGGAATCTATTGAAGCCAGGGTTTTGTCGCTTTTGACAGAGAGCTTAATTAGCCTTTAACTCTTTAACCACAATGTGATCTTAAAGTATGGAGAGGAAATTAACCACCACTGCTCTGAGTCACATGGAAGAAATTAAAGTAACGTCCTCCTTCACTAATCCTCTTTCAAGGCACAATAGTAAACATGCATTATATTTAACAATCATGCTCCCCTGGAGCTAAGCATGGGTCTCAGTGAAAATAAATACTCTCTAATGTGTCTCAGAATGCTACCCTAGAATCACAAACAAAAAGTCTTGTGACTGCATCCCCAGCAGAATGCACTGCCTAATGACAAGGACTGGGATCAATATATAGGCTTTGAGGGTTGATTTGTTATCTAGGATTTATAATTCATTTTTGGTTGCAAAACAGAAGCTCAGTTAGGTGTGATGGTCACTTCCCAAGTCTGATGCTCTTCCAGTCTTGGAGATAGTTGTAGAGAGAAGTGTTGGGAGTGCTGGGTTCTAAGGCACAGAGATGACATTGATGAGTGTCCTGGCTATATCATTTACCTACTGCACATCTGATTTCTGTAATATGACAACACGCATTTAGTTAATTATATATATTTTTTCATTATACATATACTTTTTCATATAGATTTGTAATATATATTCATTCAGATACATAAATGTATAAACATAAAATATATGACTATATAAACTCATATATAAATACAGAAATATGTAAATGTATACATCTATCTAAACATACACATACATAAATATATACACAAATATATAAAAATATCTTTGCATAAATAAAGCGTGGATGTATCTATTTCCTTGGATGTGGAAAAGGATTGCAGGGGTTAGTGTCTTATTTATTTCCTCATGAAATCACATTGCAAATATATATCTCATTGCAGTGAGATATATTTGCATCTACTATGGTTTGGATCTGTGTCCTTGCCAAATCTCATGTGGAACTGTCATCCCTAATGCTGGAGGTGGGGCCTGGTGGGAAGTGATTGGATCATGGGAGCAGTTTCTAATGGGTCTGTGAAACAATGAGCCAATTAAACCTCTTTTCTTTATAAATTACCCAGTCTCAGGTATTTCTTTATAGCAATGTGAGAACGGACTAATACAGCATCTAGCTCTGCATCCTAAACACGTTATTCACTAGCTTTGTGACCTTGAGCCAGGTATCTGTGTAATAGGGATAGAAATAGCCATTAGATTATAGGGTCTTCACGAGTCTTATACATTATAGCGTTGTCGTGAGCTGATGTGCGTAAAGCATTTAGCACAGAGCTGGGAATATATTAAGTGCAAAATAAATGTTAGCTATTACTATATGTCTATATCGCTATTTCTCTGTATATATAAAGCCATAATTAAATATTAGAATCCTCTGAATATTGTGCTTGAAAAGGGACTCTACTGCTTTTCTAAAGGACTCTTTAAACATATTGATGTAGTCCAATATAAGGGAGATAAAATCCAGAAATGATGTGACTGTGTCAAGGTCACAAGGGGCTGTGGTCTCTTGGTAAAAGGAAGGTCTCAGGAAAAAATTTGGGACGGTTGGTTTAAGAAAAACTCATTGGAATCGGTTAATAGGTTGTTGAATGAAAGGGAATTGATTTAATCCTTCTACTGACACTATTGCCTCTATTGTCTCCCCGACTCACACATGGATGCCCACACATGCAACTGCCCCAAAAAACTCACCCCCACAACACACACAAACACATACCTGTTCACTCACATATTCACGTGAAAACACATACACACCCGGAGTCTGCTGGGTGCAGAAGCTTCACAGACTGTTATTTTTCATTTCCACCTTGCACGCTACACACTGAGTCATCAAGAATTACCTTGTTTTGAATGGTAGGTCAATCCTACCAAATCAGGGTGCCTTGGATGCTCCTTTTTCCTACTCTTTGCCTGACCCATCTATTGAGCTTTCACTATATTAAGCTGTTTACAGGTATTGTTTCCTTTAAAAATTATAACCACCTAATCAGGTAGAGAGTAGCCACTTACCAATTTTTTTTTTTTTTTTTTTTTACTCATAGAAGTTAAGCGAATTGGCCCTATCCCAGAGCTATTTGTTGGCAATATCATGATTCAAAACCAGTTCTGTGTCACCCCAAAGTCCATGCTGTATTCCAGGGTTTCCTAAGCTGGGGGTCTCAATTCATGAATATATTTAAGAAACTCGATTAAATAAGTTTCAGCTAGCATCTAAAGTAATTGAAACAGAATGGAAGAAAAAAAGTGAGTATATTACACACAGTAAGTGTTGGTTAGTGCAGTTTTGTAAAAGTTGTCTAAATATGCACGTGTTTGTGTGTTCTGGAGAGCTACATAAAATAGATTTTGTATTATAGGACTCAATCAGAAAAATGTTGAAAACTACAACTCTGCTCTATACAGCTGGGTTCAGTCCAGTCTTTCAGCACTAGAACTTTACTGGAGCCCATCAGCCAGAATAAATTGCTTCCGCATGTGTGTTCCCCAAGCACAGCGAACATTCCTATCCTATAACCCTAATCAAATTGCACTTTGGTTTCCTCCTCGAATAGTGTCTATGTATATGTGACTCCTTCCTCCTGTGCCTTTCATCTCTGCTTCTCCTGGTCTAGCGCAGCAACGGGGAGAAAATGAGCACTCAGTGAGTGATTATTGCCTTCGCCTTGATGAAATTAAAAACTCATTTAAGAGCTGATTTCTCCAATTTTTGTATCTACTGGATTTCTCTCTATTATAGCCTAACCTGAGACAATTTTACTTTTCCTTAGCATCTACAGCAATGACAGGCTAAAGAAGAAAAGAACAAGGAGGAGGAGAAGAAGAAGGAGAAGGAGGAGGAGAAGAAAGAAGAGGAGGTGGAGAGGAAGGTGGAGGAGAGGCAGGAGGAGGGGGAGGAGGAGGAAAAGAAGAAGATGACAGAGGAATGGAAAAAAGAATAGCATATGCAAAATTATTAATTTGGGTAAGACTTCAAAAAGAAGATAAACTTAGTACTATTTATTTAATATAAGTTTTGATATTAAAAATATAAGAATTTATCCATAGGCCCACAAAGTCCCAAGAGCTGATAATTAATAGCTGGAGGAATTTGGTTATATCCAGAGCAAGGACCCTTTGGGCTATTAACCAAGGAAGAGAACATCAGAAGAGAAAGAAATGAGAACTTTCCACCCCCTCTTCCTGAACTATCCTTTTGCTAGCACACAAAACCAGGCCAAGAATTGCCTCCTGAGGCTAGAGAGGGTTTGATTGTACTTTTTTGGCTGTTTATGTGGTTTTACTGCTTTATATTTTCACATGCCTTTGTGGAAGGGAAGAGGAAATATAGTCCTGAGAGTCTGTTCTCACGAAGAGGAAGCCACAGCAAATCCTGATAGAGGCAGAAACCCCTTGGGTCATATTTTCCCTTGCTCTGTTGTAGGAGGAAAATACTTGAGTGACTGGGTTCATCTTCTCACATAAATAAAGAGTTCTTTATTTGGAATCAGTGTTGACCAACTAGGGCATTGGAAAGCACAGTATATTCTCACTTAAGGGCTAATATAATCCAGTGGAGTGACATGAATTAGTTAGTGGTACACAATTCTCAGAGAAAGTCACTTTATGAGTTCTTCTATTTATATTTTTCTATTATTATTATGATTATTACACGATTGTCTTATTCTATAGTGTTACTTTTTAAGGGCCTCTTATCCTACTCTCTAAGATTAGACCTATAAGCCTTGCCAGAACGTAGAGCTTAACATGGAGACAGGATACAGGGTACATGGAGGCTGGCACTGTTGTAGATCCCATGACTTTTTGTAAACTATGATCAAAAACAGAGAAATTGACACTGCAAAATATGATCCTACACGTTTAAATAATTCACTTGGCCAGGCATGGCGGCTTACACCTATAATCCCAGCACTTTGGGAGGCCTAGGTGGGCAGATCACTTGAGGTCAGGAGTTCGAGACCAGCCTGGCCAACATGCTGAAACCCCATCTCTACTAAAAACACAAAAAATTAGCTGAGTGTGGTGGTGGATGCCTGTAATCCCAGCTGCTTGGGAGGCTGAGGCAGGAGAATCGCTTGAATCCAGGAGGTGGAGGTTGCAGTGAGTCAAGATCTCACCACTGAACTCTAGCCTGGGCAACAGAGCGAGGCTCCATCTAATTAATAAATAAATAAATAAATAAATAAATAAATAAATAAATAGTTTACTTAAATAAAATATAAGATAACAAAATTAAGTGGAAAGTATTTCTATTCAAGTCTCAAACCCTAAGTTATCTTAACCTATTTGGTTAGACAAGAAAAATATACTGGTCGAAATTAAGCCATTTCTTTGATAAGAAAAATATACTGGTCGAAATTAAACCGAGAGAACCTTGGGAATGTAAGTGTGCCACAGCACACCCCTTCTTCCCATCTCCCACTGCGATGAGTTACTACCTCCTAATTCAGGGTGAGTCTTCTTCTTTCCATCTTGACCATTACTTTCTTAGTTCCGACTCTGTCACCTAATTACATCAGCTCTTGAAAAGCAGAGGATGTTCTCTGATTGGTGGTAGAAGTAGAAGTAAGAGAGATTCAACCATAAGAAAAATTTTACATGCCATTGCTGATGTTGAAGATGGAAGGGCCATGTGCAAGGACTGGAGCTGGGAGAGGCCCCCAGCTGACAACCAACAAGGAAGACCTCAGTCTTACAACCATGAGGAACTGAATTCTGCCAATAACAGGAATTGAAAGAAGAGCCCAAGGTCCAGATGATAATGCAGCTAGCCACCACATTGATTTCAGCCTATTGAGACCTTGAGAACCTAGTTATACCACCTAGACTTCTGACCTCCAGAGCGGTGAGATAATAAATGGGTATTGTTTTAAGTTGCTAAGTTTGTGGTACTTTATTATAACTAATACACTAGCACATAGAACTCTGTGCACGGTAGTCATTCCTCTTTTAGGAACAAGAAAATTTCAGCTAATTGAAGATTTACTATCTAACCAAAATATACAACTACTGGATAACTAAGAAAATGCTAGATGGGCTGGATGCAGTGGCTCACGCCTGTAATCTTAGCACTTTTGGAGGCTGAGGCGGGCAGATTGACTGAGCTCAGGAGTTCAAGACCAGCCTGGGCAACACAGTGAAACCCTGTCTTTACTAAAATACAAAAGAAATAAGACGGGCATGGCAGCAAGTGCCTGTAGTCCCAGCTACTCAGGAGGCTGAGGCAGGAGAATTGCTTGAACCCAGGAGGCAGAGGTTGCAGTGAGCCAAGATCACACCACTGCACTCCAGCCTGAGCGACAGAGCAAGACTCTGTCTCAAAAAAAAAAAAAGAAAAAGAAAAAGAGAGAGAGAGAAAGAAAATCCTAGATCATAGCAAAGTTTACTAAATTAATATGTTTATATTTCTTTTCTTTTCTTTCTTTCTTTTTTTTTTTAGACTGAGTCTCCCTGTGTTACCCAGGCTGGAGTACAGTGGCACTATCTCAGCTCACTGCAACCTGTGCCTCTGGATTCAAGCGATTCTTCAGCCTCAGCCTCCCGAGTATCTGGGATTACAGGCACCCACCACCATGCCCGGCTAATTTTTTTCTTTTTTTAGTAGAGACAGGGTTTCACCATGTTGACCAAGCTGGTCTCAAACTCCTAGCCTCAGTTGATCATCTGCCTCGACTTCCCAAAGTGTTGGGATTACAGGCGTGAGCCACTGTGCCCGGCCTATGTTTGTATTTCTAAAGCCTGAAGTTCAAAACCACATACTAGTTGGAAGAGGCTAGATCCTAGGCCAGGTATACAACTCAAAACCAAAGACTCTTCATTCTCTACTGTACCAGGAGATTTGGCCACTTTTACAGATCTGGAAGTTAGTCTCATATTAAGATTAAGTCATTATCTCTCAATTCATCTATCACAAACATATACACAAATAATAATAAATAACATCCTCTTATAGAACTTCAAATTTTGCAAAGTACTTTAATTATCTTCATGTTCTATGCCCACAATTGTCAGAGGTGGTGTTCAATTCCCATATTTTAGGTAGACTAGGAGACCAGGATCTCCACTATTAACTTCCTCAACCACCTCCGTCCTCACCTGTAATGGCTTTAATTCCCAAGGACTCTTATTCAAGAACCACATTTCCTACGTATCTGTGTGATCTTGGCCAACAAGAGTAGGTAACACTTGCTAAGCCCTTACTATGTGCCAAGAATGAGTCTAAATACTCTACTTCTATTAACTCATTTATTGCCTTCTTTCATTTTGCTAATTGCCTAAGAGTTAGCTATATTTTTGCAGAGTAAAATAATATATAACATTAATGGAGTGCTTACTATTCTAAGTATATAATTGTATTAACTTAGTTTATGCTCACAACATTGTTAGATAGATCTCATTGTGCTTCTCAGCTTTTAAGATGAGTAAACTAAATCACAGAGTAATTATGTAATTCGCTTAAGATCATGGAGCAAAAGCCAGAATTCAAACCCAGGCACTGGGGTCCCAGAGGTCTCATACTTACTTTTCAGGTCATGTTGCCTGAGCTTTATTCTCTTTATTTGTAAAACTGGCTAACGCAAAGGTATCTACATCAAATGGTTGTTGGAATAATTGCATAAGATATTCGCTTGAAAATATTTTGGCCAGGCACGGTGGCTCATGCCTGTAATCCCAGCACTTTGGGAGGCCAAGGTGGGCGGATCGCCTGAGGTCGGGGGTTCGAGACCAGCCGACCAACATGGAGAAACCTTATCTCTACTAAAAATACAAAATTATCCGGGCATGGTGGCGCATGCCTATAATCCCAGCTACTCGGGAAGACTGAGGCAGGAGAATTGCTTGAACCTGGGGGGCAGAGGTTGTGGTGAGCCGAGATTGCACTATTGTACTCCAGCATGGGCAACAAGAGTGAAACTCCATCTCAAAAAAAAAACAAACAAAAAAAGAAAATGTTTTGTAAGTGCTAGAAAATAACATGTAAGTACTAGATATTATTGAAACTATGGGGAACAGTTAAACTAGAAACCAATATTGACTGTTGAGTACCCAGTGAGTTCACCTGAAAAGACAGGATTAACATTTGTTGAATGCCTACTAGCTGACAGTGGGGTTTTTAAAAACTCCTATTGCCTTATTTTGAGATTTTTGATGGCCAATGTATAAAAGAGCAAACAAAAGTTCGGAGAAGATTTAGTAATATGTCTATATGACTCATCTGGAAAACAACACAGGCAGAATTAAAAGCCGAGTGTGACCATGTCTGAGACCTACTTTCTTTCTATTTCACCATGATGATTTATGAGAACAAAGGAGATTGTCTCCCTATGGAATGTGGTCATGAGATGCTCATTTTGCTTCTCTTCTTTAATGATGAATAAAGTTATCATATGGAGTATTGTACTATTGAAAATAAAATATTTCTCTGTTTTCTGAGTTTTCTCATCCTGAAAGCCAAATTTCTCAACTAGAAAATTTCCATTTTAAGATTTAAGTTTTAGTTTATCTAGATCATTTATTTAAAAACTGCTGGACCCATTTTACATACTTGGGTTTCAGGCCTTGTGCTGACAAATTTCCAAGGAAGGGAAATGAGTCTCAAATGTAGCCAGATTCCAAGGATGGGCAGAGTAACACATAGGAAATGCCTTCAGAAGTTCTTTGTCCTAAATTTAAACATGAGCTTCCCATCAAAACTTGGATTCAAGTCCTCACTCTTGTTTTTACTGTGTGATTATAAACAAATAATGTAATTTTCAGAACTTCATTTCAGAAAATGGGATTATTACATCTGCCTCATATGCCTCTATGCAATACATAGTATTAAATAAAATGTGGCTGTCACACAGTAAATGTCCAATAAATGTTCATTTTCTTTCTACCAGTTCCTTTCTAGAATAAAGCTTTGGATAACTAGAAGTGAAATCAAATTCATTGCCATATTCCTGGAAGTCAGGAGTGGCAGATAAAGATAAGTTCATATTGGAAGGCTAGAGAATGCCAACAGTTAGCTTTCTTTGGGCTTAAGTGGAATATATCAGTTAGGACCCCTGGTATATACATTACATAAAAGAATAACTTTTAAATCTCATTAATTCTGGAGTTAAAAGGAGAAGAGTAGTTGGGCCAGTGTGATGGCTAAAATAATGATAGATGGAGTAAGATGTGGTGTCAGGAATTTAACTTTATTTTCATCCCCTTAACAGGGACTTGATGGGAATTGTCATGTGCTTCTTGAGTATGAAGTCATTTCTTTCCTTGCTCCTGCATGCTATTCACACAGAGGCCACTCCAGGGAAAAGCATATTCTCATTCATGAAATAAACTTCTGGCCTGAATCCCTGTCTTCTTTTTTTCTCATTAGATGATGGGGTCTGTCGGCTGGCATTTATTAGGAAATTGATGTGATTTAGAGCAATCAGAGGATGCTCTGATCAAATTTAACTTCTTCCAGTTCCTTGAATGGCACAAGCCCTTTTTTGCTTCGGGGCCTTTGCACATGCTCTTTCCCCTCCCTGCCTGGGAGTGCTTCCCTTTCTTCATGCTGCTTCAGGCCTTATTTGTTCAGAGAATTGTTCTGTGACCCCACCCATCTTCCTGAGACACCCATCTTCCCAAGACTAGTTAGTGTCCTGTAGGTTTCCGGGCATTTAATATGTCATTTTCTCAGCATTCTATGTCATTCTTTGTTCACTAGATTCCTCCCCTGAGTATTATGTAACTGCAGCGAGGACTTGATCTGTCTTGCTCACTGCTGTATCTCTGTGATCTGCACCATGTGCAGCACATACCAGGCACTCAAAGAAATGTTTCTTAAATGAGTTCATAAAAGAATGACTGAATGAAAATGAATGAGTCAAGTTCTTGTGATGTAGCAGAAAGAATGTTGAACTGTGAAACAGAATGCCTCAGTACCATTCTTAGCTTCAATTTTAACTAGCAAAGTGACATCTAGGCCACTTTAATTTCTTATGCTTAAAGAAGCTTATATATTATTATCTCAAAAGGTTGTGAGAATTAAATCAAGTGTCTGTGTATTGGTGGATGCTTGGTGAAAAGTGAGTTCTTTCTCACCGTGAGATTAATCATGGATGGAATTGTGTGATCACTAAGGTTTCAAGAATTGGCTGTGTTACTGAAAATCATTGGCCAAAACACCATCTCCTGGCCTACTGATCAGGTAGAAGCTGTGAAAGAACTTAATCTTGAGGAGCTACTGGGAAGGTGGGAATCTGAAGGTGGGACCTATGTCCTCACTTTTTCCTTCTGGAGGGGAATGTGGATCTGGATGGGGGCATGGATGGCACCTCTCAGTGAGACAGGCCTCTTTCGGGAAGACTCCTGCTCTGGCATCAATGACCCTAGTCATAAAGATTGTTCATTTTCTAGTTTTCTGGGCTTCAAAGCAACATATATGAAGTGCCATAGGCTGGAGGGAAGCACACACCCTTTCTCTCTCCTGCAATGACTTTTGTGCTACAGGGAATCCTGAGAAGTATTGAGGAACTCTTTGAGGTTCTTTGGAAATGTGAATGTTATATATCCTCATTAGCTCCTGCTCCTGGCACTGGACTGGAGGTTCTTGGATATACCTGCCAATGTGTTGTGCTGGGGTTACTTTCCATTGAAATACCTCAAAAAAATATTGCAAAGACAAAATTATAGATCCAGAAGCTAAAAACTTCTGGCAGCTCCTTCCTTGAGAGATCCCTTGCCTAATTATCAATTCCAACCATAGTGCATGAAGGAACTGGATGCTAGATCCTTATTAAATCATGCTTTTATGGGGGATGGGTGGGACACCACTGAAATGGACCCTGGCAGGCAGGCCCCTACAAAATGCTCTTTGGCTAGCCCAGACAATGGGAAGATGTGATTTCCTGCTTGCTGTGGAGGCCTTGGAGTCTAGGCATTGTTTTGTTTATTTTCTGCTCTGCTATGGGATTTTGGAAAATCTAGAGCATTTCTCTACACTTTATGTGACACTAATTAGACTACAAACCTGTCACATGGAGGGATCTTGGACTTTGGGGTGAGACTAAACTGAGCTTAAAGCCCATCTTTCTACTTATCAGTGATGTGACCATGGACTCATCACTTAACCTCTCTCAGCCCATTTCTTAACACTATAAAAATGTCTACTTTTGGGGGTCGTTTTGGAGTTCAAATGAGTCAACATATGCAAAGGGCCTACAAGTACCTACCAACTAGTAAACAAGGTATCCCTTTCCTTAATACTGCTGTTTATTTTTTAAAAAGTGAATGAGATAATTATCTAGAAAAGTAGTGTTTTTGTGGATATAAGTTTGTCAATCAAGGGCAATTGTTTTCCACCCAAATATATTTGAATATTCTTGAGTCTTAAATAAATTTAATATTTATTTACAACATGTTATAAATATAATATGCAAATATAGTATACAAAATAACACCTGATTGGGTGGCTGGCAATTTATGACACCAGGAATAATAGAGGTAAAACCTTTAACATTTTGTTTTTATAATTTATAAGTTTTTCATACGGCTCACAATAAAATCACATATTCAGTCGGATCAATAATCATGAAAACTGAGACAACAGAAGTAACACCGATGGAAGAGAATAAAATTGTAAAAAAAAAAAAAAGGATTATATGGTGACAGTGCTTGAGCTTTTGTCAGGTATTCAGCTTCCAAATAGCTGAAGCAAAAAAGGGAAACATGAAGAATTATAAAAAGTCTCAACTTTTATGCAAGGAACCCCATTTACATTATCTCATTTAAGAGCCACAAATTACTTACAAGGTTAAAAAATGAAGTACACTGGTGTCAAGTATCTTTTCCAGCTTCCATAGCAACCAAGGGCAGACCATAATCCATCTAACTAGAAACTCTATACTCTTTCCACAGCATTGTGCTCAGAATGAGGGGAGTGTCTCGCCCTTTCCCTGCTGCCTCTGTCTAACAAAGATGTGACTCTGATCATCATATAGAAATATAGAATTCCTAAAACCAATATAGAATGCCCAAAGAGCCTGAATAGCCAAAGAAATCCCAAGCAAAAAGAACAAAGCTGGCAGCATCACATTACCCAACTTCAAACTATATTATAAAGCTATAGTTACCAAAACAGCATGGTACTTGTACAAAAATAGACATATAGATGAATGGAACACAATAGAGAAACCAGAATTAAGCCCAGACACCTACAACCATCTGATGGTCAACAAAGTTGATTTAAAAAATCAATAGGGAATGGACTCCCTATTCAATAAATGGTGCTGGAATAACTGGCTAGCCATATGCAGAAGAGTGAAACTGGGCCCCTACTTTTCACCATATACAAAAATTAACTCAATGTATATTAAAGATTTATATGTAAGACCTCAAACTATAAAAATCCTAGAAGAAAACTTAGGAAATACCATTCTGGACATCAGCCTTGGGGAAAAAAAAAGTATGACGAGGTCATCAAAAGCAATTACAACATAACCAAAAATTTACAACTGGGAACTAATTAAACTGTAGAGCTTCTTTACAGCATAATAAACTGTCATGGGCATCAACAAAAAACTTGCAGAATGGGAGAAAGTATTCACAAAATTTGCATCTGACAAAGGTCTAATATCCAGAATCTACAAGGAACTTAAACAATTCAACAAGCAAAAAACAACCCCATTAAAAAGTGGGCAAAGGACATGAACAGACACTTCTCAAAAGAAGACAGCCAACAAACATAGAAAAAAATGCTAAATATCACTAATCATCAGAGAAATGCAAGTCAAAACCACAATGAGATACTGTCTCATGCCAGTTAAATGGCTATCATTAAAAAGTCAAAAAATAATACATGCTGCAGAGGCTGCAAATAAAAGCAAATGGTGGTAATGTAAATTCATTCAACCATGTGGAAAGGAGTTTGGAGATTTCTCAAAGAGCTTAGAACTAACCTTCAATCCAGCAATCCCATTACTGGATATATACCCAAAGGAAAATAAATGATTCTACCAAAACTACACACACACTAGTATGTTCATTGCAGCACTAGTTACAATAACATACATGGAATCAACCTAGCTGACCATCAATGGTGGATTGGATAACGGAAATGTGGTAGGTAGAAAACATGGAATACTACACAGCCATAGAAAAGAACAAAATCATACCCTCTGAAGCAACATGGATGCAGCTAGAGTCCAGTATCCTAAGTGAATTAACACAGCACAGGAACAAAAAAGCAAATACCACATGTTCTCTCTTATAAGTGAGAGCTAAACATTGGATACATATTGGCATAAATATGGGAACAAAACAATAGACATTTGGGACTACTAGATGGGTGAGAGAGAGAGAGCAAAAGTTGAAAAATTACCTATTAGGTACTATGCTCACTACTTGGGTGATAAGATCATTAATACCCCAAAACTCCACATTCAAAATATGCTTTATACAGCTATACATGTAACAAAACTGTATATGTACCCCCTGAATCTAAAATAAAATTTGAAATTATAACAAAAGAGAAACATAGAATCTTTATTGTATTTACTGCCCACAGTCTGCGGACGCAGAATGGAGAGGATTCAGTGTCATGCTACACATGGCTTAACCTATTCAATTTACAACACTCCTTTAACATAAGGATGATCACAAACCCCATTTTATGAACGTAAAACTGAGACACAGACCAGTTGAATGAGTTGTCAGCTATCACGTCATAATCTAATAGATGACATAGCCCATGTGGACGCTACACCATTTGGTTCCAGACCCCAGGTCTCAATTACTACAGTAGATTACCTTAGTAAAGCCTGTGACTTTGATCCCATCTACCTATGAGAAATAAGGAAGCCCGTAAGGCCAGGAAATGCTGGAAAGAAGCAGAGTGGAAATCTAAGACCCCAGTTGAGTTTGGGGTCCTTCCACATAAAAAGCATTTAGTCTGTGTGGTTTGAACCTGAATCACCTGCTAGGGAGGCCTGAAAGGCTCTGATCAGTTGCCAAGGATCCAAAGCCTTTAGAGAAAAGGAGACTAGACCTCAGGATAAAATAGGCTCAGAGGAGTGAGGAGGGAGGTGGGAATGCTTTTTGGTGGAGGAAAGAACATCTTCCCTGGGTATCCTAAAATTCCTTCTCTGGGATTTCCAGGAAGTAAAGAGTATATGTCCCAAGCCAGGATTCTTGGCTCCATTATCTGAGTATACTTACATGTGGTAATTAACATTAATATATCAGTATGATTTCCAAAATCTTAAAATCAATGGCTTAATTCATTGCTTAATGAAAATAAATCTTCTACCAATAGTGTTCTATCCAACTTATCCTTTCTGAGTCATTCTGATGATTATTTCTGTGGGAATTTCTGGATCTCTCATAGTGATGATAATATGTTGATTGACTGATGATTGATTGATTCACAGTCTTGTTGCAGAAATGTTTTAAGCAGCTTCCTTAAAACATAGCAAGTTACTGTAAGTTGGCCCAAGGTAGAGAAGAAAACAAAATTTTTTTAAAGGAAAAAGATTCAGAATGACCTTCCAAATTGCTAGGGAGCGATCACAAATTATTTTAAGCATTACAGCAGTCACTGAAAAACAAGAACAGAATAAAACAAAAAAAAGGTAGTCACACAACTCTATGTGTACATAGTAGATAGAAACGTGCACTAGGTACTTAACATGACTTTTCTCTAATCCTAGCAAAATCTTTGCAAGATAAGTAGCATCATCTCTGTAACTACAGTAGGAATTAGGACAGAAGTCTAGCTCAGTGTTCCACTGATGTAATATTTGAAGCCAAATATATTTAGTTCCCGAGTCTGTGTTCCTGTCAAAGAAAGATGCTGTTTCTCTTCATTGTGCGTGGAGAAGCTTTAGTGGACCTATAACCTAGTGGGTTTTCTTTTTTCTACCTTCCTTTGCAGAGATTCTAGGGAAATGTATGAAGTTGCAAAGTGATTACATTACAGGAGGGCAGCCAGCAAACCTGCCAAGTTGAGTGTGAGTATTTGTTCAATACTTACATCAGGGTGAAGTTCAAAGACATGCAACTCTTGCAAAAAGCCAAGACATAGGTCTTTTAGACTGAGCCCCTTGCAGTTTCTTGAACTAGTTTCTCAAGTCTATTATCTCCACCTGCCACCTCCCTGTGTTCTTGTGAAAGGAAACCCCTCAACCCATATTTTATAAGCTCAAATGAAGCCTTTCCCCCACATACTCTCTCTTACCAGCAGATTCTGTATCTTTTTGTTATACTTGGCTGGACAGTCGTGATTGATACCTGCATACTGCCCTTCTAATCCCAACTGTGTAGCTCCATAGCAATCTCACTTCTGAAAGAGCTGTCTTTACATTTTACACTTGCGAGAGGCCAACTTTTCTGTCTATAGAATAAATGTTGGCACTTCACCATGCTTTCTAAGTCGTTGCCTATTTTTCTTTTCTTTTTTTATTTTTTTTAAGTTTCCACTATCCTCACTGGGAGAAAACTGAACCAATAACCTAGTTCAAAGGCATGTTTTAAAAGAAGCAATCAAATGAACATTTATGAGATAGCTGTTGTTACTTTTTGTGTTTTAGATGCTTATTTTCCAATTGCTTTCTGAGGAGCATCCCCAGCGGAGATTGACCCCTATATCATTGCACATATGACCTAGTTCAAGGGGGGTTCCCGTGGTCCACCTTTCCACAAGTAATAGAGGTAAATGAGTTATGAGGCTAAGCTATGACTTCAGTTAGCCAATGAAAGTCTTGCTGCCAAGTACATGCGACAGTGAAGGTCAGATTATTACAGTAGTGGTCTCAGCAGCACCTTCCTAAGGGTAATGAGAGTTATGTTGGCTGAGGCTATGGAGATGTTGGATAAGGTCGATCTCAACACAATCCCCTATACCTTCTTACCATGAACCATACATAGATGTTACTGTCTTTATTTTAATTACTCAACTCAATTTTTATGTACATGTCAGTTGCCCTAATAAATCATATTCTCCCTAAAGTTAAAAGCTATGTTTTCTTTGTCCTCTTTCTTACCTCCAGAGGTTGGCACAGCACTGGATGGGGTTGAGAGGTAATGTGAAGAACAAGGGAAAGAGCCACCAGTGCAAAGGCATGGAGGTGAAAGACAGTATAATCTGGTCCAGGATTCAAGTAGAATAGAAAGGAGGCCTTCTCAGACCCACTCTGAAATTCATTTTCTCTGTGGGATAGATTAATTGCAAAAATGACCCAAATTCTTTACCCTTCCTATAGCCTCGCCCTTTGCCATATAACTTTGCATTGCCTCACACTCTAACTCTGGGCGTAACCATCTGACTTCTTTTGGCCCATGGGGTATGAGCGTGCGTGACACAAGCACAGGTTCGAAAGTGTTTGTACAGTTGCTCTTGATTACTGTTGTAGTTCTGCCACTGCTGTGAGAATATATCTGGACTACCCTGAAGAAGGATGAATGACAAGTTGTCCTTGATTGTCCTGGTTGAGGCCATATTAGGTCAGCAGACAGCCTGTAAATCCAGAAGTCTAGACAAGAGCAGCAGAACTACCAGACAACTCATGGCTGAATACGCACTATGGGAAAGCCCAGGTAGCATCAACAAATACTCCTCTCCTCAGAGGACTGGAGTCCTCTGAGCAGACACAGGAGCAAAATAAACATTGATTGCAGTATGCCACTGAGGGGTGTGGTTGTTCATAGCACAGGATTTTGTGGCAGTAAATAACTAACACATCCTATAAAGAGCATATATAGAAATAAACAGAAGAATGGCAAAATGCTATTGAAAAGCAAATGCCGGGCAGGCAGCTAGTTTCATTCAGCAGCATAATGACTCCCTTAAGCTCACCAGCCTGAAGTATGCATGATTAAAATTAGTGCGTCAATAAATTTACCTATTACTACATGTCATTAGCTACTCAACGACACTTGTCAGCTGTAGAAACTGAAACATTAAAGGTACACATGGCTGGAGTTTAGTGTTTGTGGGGCAGAGAAATGGTACGAGATGGGGCTGGTGACACAAGAAGGAGCCAGACAGAGATGAGTTTGGATGCTTTCCTGGAGTTATCAGGAAGCTCCAGGGATTAATGAAGTCAGTCAAATAAACAAGATAGTCAAGTGGGGGTGGGTCCTTCTTCTACCTTCGTGAAAAACTGGCTCTGTTCTTTGGTGAAAATGTCATCTGCTACTGCAAATTTTACTGGACTTGTGGGCTTTTATTTGAAGAATATTTGCCAGGTTATATAGCATATAATCACAGACATAGGGCATCTTTAAATGGTGTAATTTTTCAAGGCAGAAAAGCCTTCTGTTAGAAGGAAGATGGGAAGAAGACCAAATTAAATAACAATTATGAATAATACCCTACTCAGCCCTTAACAAAAGGCTCTGGATTTTATAATATGTTCCTGCCAAAGGCCATGTGTAATATTTCCTTGTTAGTAGCTCCCAACCACTATGAAATCCACAAAACCTCTCCCAGCTGTTGAAGACTTATTCTCTGTCCTTTCTCATTCTGGGACACAGCCATAAGGTTTAGAAAATATGACTAAGTTTCCCAACTTGAATGACACTAATAATAATTTTCGAAGGCTTTGGAGAAAGATGTAAGAAAACCACAGTGCATGTCTACTTAAAAACTGTTCTATTTAATGGTATGTAGTGTTCCAAAGGTGGGGGGGTGAGACCTAGCTATTTAATAAACTGTCTTCCAATGACCTGACTAATGCTGGGAGTTAATTAATAATCAGCAGAAATAAAATTACAGTAAAAAATTGAGGTTTGAAGCATTAAGAAGAAATTGAGCCAGTAGGTAAATTTCCTTCTTTTTTTTTTTTATTATACTTTAAGTTTTAGGGTACATGTGCACATTGTGCAGGTTAGTTACATATGTATACATGTGCCATGCTGGTGCGCTGCACCCACTAACTCATCATCTAGCATTAGGTATATCTCCCAATACTATCCCACCCCCCTCCCCCCACCCCACCACAGTCCCCAGACTGTGATATTCCCCTTCCTGTGTCCATGTGATCTCATTGTTCAATTCCCACCTATGAGTGAGAATATGCGGTGTTTGGTTTTTTGTTCTTGCGATAGTTTACTGAGAATGATGGTTTCCAATTTCATCCATGTCCCTACAAAGGACATGAACTCATCATTTTTTATGGCTGCATAGTATTCCATGGTGTATATGTGCCACATTTTCTTAATCCAGTCTATCATTGTTGGACACGTGGGTTGGTTCCAAGTCTTTGCTATTGTGAATAATGCCGCAATAAACATACATGTGCATGTGTCTTTATAGCAGCATGATTTATAATCCTTTGGGTATATACCCAGTAATGGGATGGCTGGGTCAAATGGTATTTCTAGTTCTAGATCCCTGAGGAATCGCCACACTGACTTCCACAATGGTTGAACTAGTTTACAGTCCCACCAACAGTGTAAAAGTGTTCCTATTTCTCCATATCCTCTCCAGCACCTGTTGTTTCCTGACTTTTTAATGATTGCCATTCTAACTGGTGTGAGATGATATCTCATAGTGGTTTTGATTTGCATTTCTCTGATGGCCAGTGATGATGAGCATTTTTTCATGTATTTTTTGGCTGCATAAATGTCTTCTTTTGAGAAGTGTCTGTTCATGTCCTTCGCCCACTTGTTGATGGGGTTGTTTGTTTTTTTCTTGTAAATTTGTTTGAGTTCATTGTAGATTCTGGATATTAGCCCTTTGTCAGATGAGTAGGTTGAGAAAATTTTCTCCCATGTTGTAGGTTGCCTGTTCACTCTGATGGTAGTTTCTTTTGCTGTGCAGAAGCTCTTTAGTTTAATTAGATCCCATTTGTCAATTTTGGCTTTTGTTGCCATTGCTTTTGGTGTTTTGGACATGAAGTCCTTGCCCACGCCTATGTCCTGAATGGTAATGCCTAGGTTTTCTTCTAGGGTTTTTATGGTTTTAGGTCTAATGTTTAAATCTTTAATCCATCTTGAATTGATTTTTGTACAAGGTGTAAGGAAGGGATCCAGTTTCAGCTTTCTACATATGGCTAGCCAGTTTTCCCAGCACCATTTATTAAATAGGGAATCCTTTCCCCATTGCTTGTTTTTCTCAGGTTTGTCAAAGATCAGATAGTTGTAGGTATGCGGCATTATTTCTGAGGTCTCTGTTCTGTTCCATTGATCTATATCTCTGTTTTGGTACCAGTACCATGCTGTTTTGGTTACTGTAGACTTGTAGTATAGTTTGAAGTCAGGTAGTGTGATGCCTCCAGCTTTGTTCTTTTGGCTTAGGATTGACTTGGCAATGCGGGCTCTTTTTTGGTTCCATATGAACTTTAAAGTAGTTTTTTCCAGTTCTGTGAAGAAAGTCATTGGTAGCTTGATGGGGATGGCATTGAATCTGTAAATTACCTTGGGCAGTATGGCCATTTTCACAATATTGATTCTTCCTACCCATGAGCATGGAATGTTCTTCCATTTGTTTGTATCCTCTTTTATTTCATTGAGCAGTGGTTTGTAGTTCTTCTTGAAGAGGTCCTTCACATACCTTGTAAGTTGGATTCCTAGGTATTTTATTCCCTTTGAAGCAATTGTGAATGGGAATTCACTCATGATTTGGCTCTCTGTTTGTCTGTTGTTGGTGTATAAGAATGCTTGTCATTTTTGTACATTGATTTTGTATCCTGAGACTTTGCTGAAGTTGCTTATCAGCTTAAGGAGATTTTGGGCTGAGACGATGGGGTTTTCTAGATAAACAATCATGTCGTCTGTAAACAGGGACAATTTGACTTCTTCTTTTCCTAATTGAATACCCTTTATTTTCTTCTCCTGCCTGATTGCCCTGGCCAGAACTTCCAACACTATGTTGAATAGGAGCGGTGAGAGAGGGCATCCCTGTCTTGTGCCAGTTTTCAAAGGGAATGCTTCCAGTTTTTGCCCATTCAGTATGATATTGGCTGTGGGTTTGTCATAGATAGCTCTTATTATTTTGAAATACGTCCCATCAATACCTAATTTATTGAGAGTTTTTAGCATGAAGGGTTGTTGAATTTTGTCAAAGGCTTTTTCTGCATCTATTGAGATAATCATGTGGTTTTTGTCTTTGGCTCTGTTTATATGCTGGATTACATTTATTGATTTGCTTATATTGAACCAGCCTTGCATCCCAGGGATGAAGCCCACTTGATCATGGTGGATAAGCTTCTTGATGTGCTGCTGGATTCGGTTTGCCAGTATTTTATTGAGGATTTTTGCATCAATGTTCATCAAGGATATTGGTCTAAAATTCTCTTTTTTGGTTGTGTCTCTGCCTGGCTTTGGTATCAGAATGATGCTGGCCTCATAAAATGAGTTAGGGAGGATTCCCTCTTTTTCTATGGATTGGAGTAGTTTCAGAAGGAATGGTACCAGTTCCTCCTGGTACCTCTGGTAGAATTCGGCTGTGAATCCATCTGGTTCTGGACTCTTTTTGGTTGGTAAACTATTGATTATTGCCACAATTTCAGCTCCTGCTATTGGTCTATTCAGAGATTCAACTTCTTCCTGGTTTAGTCTTGGGAGAGTGTTTGTGTCCAGGAATTTATCCGTTTCTTCTAGATTTTCTAGTTTATTTGCATAGAGGTGTTTGTAGTATTCTCTAATGGTAGTTTGTATGTCTGAGGGATCGGTGGTGATATCCCCTTTATCATTTTTTATTGTGTCTATTTGATTCTTCTCTTTTTCTTTATTAGTCTTGCTAGCGATCTATCAATTTTGTTGATCCTTTCAAAAAACCAGCTCCTGGATTCATTGATTTTTTGAAGGGTTTTTTGTGTCTCTATTTCCTTCAGTTCTGCTCTGATTTTAGTTATTTCTTGCCTTCTGCTAGCTTTTGAATGTGTTTGTTCTTGCTTTTCTAGTTCTTTTAATTGTGATGTTAGGGTGTCAATTTTGGATCTTTCCTGCTTTCTCTTGTGGGCATTTAGGCTATAAATTTCCCTCTACACACTGCTTTGAATGCATCCCAGAGATTCTGGTATGTTGTGTCTTTGTTCTCGTTGGTTTCAAAGAACATCTTTATTTCTGCCTTCATTTCGTTATGTACCCAGTAGTCATTCAGGAGCAGGTTGTTCAGTTTCCATGTAGTTGAGTGGCATAAGTGAGATTCTTAATCCTGAGTTCTAGTTTGATTGCACTGTGGTCTGAGAGATAGTTTGTTATAATTTCTGTTCTTTTACATTTGCTGAGGAGAGCTTTACTTCCAAGTATGTGGTCAATTTTGGAATAGGTGTGGTGTGGTGCTGAAAAAAATGTATATTCTGTTGATTTGGGGTGGAGAGTTCTGTAGATGTCTATTAGGTCCGCTTGGTGCAGAGCTGAGTTCAATTCCTGGGTATCCTTGTTGACTTTCTGTCTCGTTGATCTGTCTAATGTTGACAGTGGGGTGTTAAAGTCTCCCATTATTAATGTGTGGGAGTCTAAGTCTCTTTGTAGGTCACTCAGGACTTGCTTTACGAATCTGGGTGCTCCTGTATTGGGTGCATATATATTTAGGATAGTTAGCTCCTCTTGTTGAATTGATCCCTTTACCATTATGTAAAGGCCTTCTTTGTCTCTTTTGATCTTTGTTGGTTTAAAGTCTGTTTTATCAGAGACTAGGATTGCAACCCCTGCCTTTCTTTGTTTTCCATTTGCTTGGTAGATCTTCCTCCATCCTTTTATTTTGAGCCTATGTGTGTCTCTGCACATGAGATGGGTTTCCTGAATACAGCACACTGATGGGTCTTGACTCTTTATCCAACTTGCCAGTCTGTGTCTTTTAATTGGAGAATTTAGTCCATTTACATTTAAAGTTAATATTGTTATGTGTGAATTTGATCCTGTCATTATGATGTTAGCTGGTGATTTTGCTCGTTAGTTGATGCAGTTTCTTCCTAGTCTTGATGGTCTTTACATTTTGGCATGATTTTGCAGCGGCTGGTACCGGTTTTTCCTTTCCATGTTTAGCGCTTCCTTCAGGAGCTATTTTAGGGCAGGCCTGGTGGTGACAAAATCTCTCAGCATTTGCTTGTCTGTAAAGGATTTTATTTCTCCTTCACTTATGAAGCTTAGTTAGGCTGGATATGAAGTTCTGGGTTGAAAATTCTTTTCTTTAAGAATGTTGAATATTGGCCCCCACTCTCTTCTGGCTTGTAGGGTTTCTGCCGAGAGATCTGCTGTTAGTCTGATGGGCTTCCCTTTGAGGGTAACCCGACCTTTCTCTCTGGCTGCCCTTAACATTTTTTCCTTCATTTCAACTTTGGTGAATCTGAGAATTATGTGTCTTGGAGTTGCTCTTCTCGAGGAGTATCTTTGTGGCGTTCTCTGTATTTCCTGAATCTGAATGTTGGCCTGCCTTGCTAGATTGGGGAAGTTCTCCTGGATAATATCCTGCAGAGTGTTTTCCAACTTGGTTCCATTCTCCCCATCACTTTCAGGTACACCAATCAGACGTAGATTTGGTCTTTTCACATAGTCCCATATTTCTTGATTTCTTGGAGGCTTTGCTCATTTCTTTTTATTCTTTTTTCTCTAAACTTCCCTTCTCACTTCATTTCATTCATTTCATCTTCCATCGCTGATACCCTTTCTTCCAGTTGATCGCATTGGCTCCTGAGTCTTCTGCATTCTTCACGTAGTTCTCGAGCCTTGGTTTTCAGCTCCATTAGCTCCTTTAAGCACTTCTCTGTATTGGTTGTTCTAGTTATACATTCTTCTAAATTTTTTTCAAAGTTGTCAACTTCTTTGCCTTTGGTTTGAATGTCCTCCCGTAGCTCAGAGTAATTTGATCGTCTGAAGCCTTCTTCTCTCAGCTCGTCAAAATCATTCTCCATCCAGCTTTGTTCCGTTGCTGGTGAGGAACTGTGTTCCTTTGGAGGAGGAGAGGCGCTCTGCGTTTTAGAGTTTCCAGTTTTTCTGTTCTGTTTTTTCCCCATCTTTGTGGTTTTATCTACTTTTGGTCTTTGATGATGGTGATGTACAGATGGGTTTTCAGTGTGGATGTCCTTTCTGTTTGTTAGTTTTCCTTCTAACAGACAGGACCCTCAGCTGCAGGTCTGTTGGAATACCCTGCAGTGTGAGGTGTCAGTGTGCCCCTGCTGGGGGGTGCCTCCCAGTTAGGCTGCTCGGGGGTCAGGGGTCAGGGACCCACTTGAGGAGGCAGTCTGCCCATTCTCAGATCTCCAGCTGCGTGCTGGGAGAACCACTGCTCTCTTCAAAGCTGTCAGACAGGGACATTTAAGTCTGCAGAGGTTACTGCTGTCTTTTTGTTTGTCTGTGCCCTGCCCCCCAGAGGTGGAGCCTACAGAGGCAGGCAGGCCTCCTTGAGCTGTGGTGGGCTCCACCCAGTTCGAGCTTCCTGGCTGCTTTGTTTACCTAAGCAAGCCTGGGCAATGGCGGGTGCCCCTCCCCCAGCCTCGCTGCCGCCTTGCAGTTTGATCTCAGACTGCTGTGGTAGCAATCAGCGAGATTCCGTGGGCGTAGGACCCTCCAAGCCAGGCGTGGGATATAGTCTCATGGTGCGCTGTTTTTTAAGCCGGTCTGAAAAGCGCAATATTCGGGTGGGAGTGACCCGATTTTCCAGGTGCCTCCGTCACCCCTTCCTTTGACTCGGAAAGGGAACTCCCTGACCCCTTGCGCTTCCCGAGTGAGGCAATGCCTCGCCCTGCTTCGGCTCGCGCACATTGCGCACACCCACTGACCTGCGCCCACTGTCTGGCACTCCCTAGTGAGATGAACCCGGTACCTCAGATGGAAATGCAGAAATCACCCGTCTTCTGCGTCGCTCACGCTGGGAGCTGTAGACCGGAGCTGTTCCTATTCGGCCATCTTGGCTCCTCCTCTCTACTTCTATTTTTTAAAAGCCTTTTATAGGACTTTAAACACACGTGGGAAAGTTATGAATTCTCCTGTTAATATACATGAGGTAGTACCTAATTCTGCTGGAGTCAAATTTCTCTTGAATAGAGAATAAAAATATAAGGCTTGTGCTGTTGAAAATAACACACCAAATGAGGAGAAAGTACCTTGAAAGAAACTAAGAAAACCTGTGATGCATCCAGTCTTCATTTATTTGAAGTATCTAACCAGTTGTTGGGGATATCTATTGATAGCAAACTTGTATAGTGCCCATGACCGAGCCAGGCAATACGCTAAACACATGTACTAACTTATTTAATTATTACAACAATGTTTTAAAGTGGATGCTCTTTTTATCCCCAGTTTTAGATAAATATGTTAAGGCTCAGAAAGGTTAATTATGTTGCCCAAGATCACACAGTTAGGAGGTAGTCATCAAGCCCATGTCCAGGTGATGCTAGAGCTCACGATTTAATCACCACACTTGATTATTACCACCTTTTGACACTACCTTTGTTCAGGGAGCTAAGTACTGGTGGCCCTTTAATTCCAAAACATGGGGTCGGGGATGTTTTTTTTTGACTCTTGAGAACATTCTGATTATGATGAAGCAGCTACTGACAATACATGCAGGGCAGTCAAGAGGCCTTTTAATTTGTATCTAAGTATTGGTGTTTCTTTAAACTTTGCTATAAGTACTTAGCAATTCTTGGCTAGTTAAATTAAATTGTTTCCTAAATTGGCAAAGCATTATCTTTAATAGAAAAGGCATAATTACCTAGAAGTCTTACTATATTGCTACTCATGCTGAAGAAAGCTTAGCCAGTTAGCTCTTGAAGCAATGGAGCAAGAAACTTGTGGATACTTCCCACAGTCTTGCAAACCTAAATCAATAATGTAGTCATACATGCCACAGAGAGTGCCAAGAACCTTGAATTTACAGGGCCTGCACATTTAGAGCAGCCATAGCAGAGGTCTTTTGCGATTAGTGCACCTTTTCCTTTCATCAGTAGGAGTGACCGCTGACATGTGTGTCCTTGTATTATCATATCATCCAAAGGTAAGAGTGAGTGATCTCCCTTGCCTTTGCTGACACTCTCGAATACCTTGGAAAATTTATGCTTCTTTAATGATGCCAGCCCTTGCATTCTTGTTGGGAAAATAATGTCCAGAAGAATGTGTCCAGAGGTGTTTTAATATAGATTTTATGAATATTTAGGAATGTCAAGGTCAACAGATCAGGAGAGGATTGCCATTGGGAAGACAGTTTGTTACAGATCCCAAGAGGAGCTGGCATGCTGTAGCAGGTGAAACCATACAGGGGAAATACTAGGGTCAGTCAAGAGGCAGAGGGAGAGGAGGAACTATGGACAAAAGCCTCTAGTAAGATTTCTGTAGGAAGAAACAGACAAGGCAGGGTAAGCAGGTGTAGGATTGGCTTGTTTGAATAATTTCAGTGGGCTCCGGGTTGTAGGCACTATCCCTAGTTCACAGGTACCTGGCCCTTAGGTAATCAAGGCAGGTGGATAATGGCAAGGAGTGTGATGGGGTGTGGGCTCTGAATTGGTTTGCTTGCCTTTGAAAGGCATGCTCCTGGGCTCTAGAAATTGGCTAGCTCTGGCAGGGGCAGGCCCTCTAGGGTTACCAAGGTAACCAAGGCCCCAGATGTTAAAGCATTAGCATACAGAAAACAAAAGACAAAGTTAATACAAAAACTTTGAAGAGTTCATTTTCCTAATGAGAAATATGGTGTGTGTGTGTGTGTTACACACATGTACACACTTGGGGGTGTCTGTATGCCTATGCTGTATTAATTTGTTTTACAGCATCACCTGAAGTCTTAGAATTGTTAATGATTTAATATGCATTTCCAGGAAATGAGGATTCCACATGCACTGTGTTATAAATAGCATATGTGTCCCTATCCATCCTTTATTGGCTTGGCCTGGGTCCAAGAAATCTAGTTAAGGAACACAAGAAGTTTTTTTTTTTTTATGAACTCTTCCTCCATTTCTAGGAAGTCATTGATTCTGGCTGGAGTTAGAGGTTCTATCATGGAGATAATGATTTTAACCTCTTATTCTGACTGGCTCAGCTAAACTGACAGCTGTGGTCATTATTGAAGGTGGGGAATAGGAACAGAGGGAGGGGCCATTCGTTAAATAACAGCAGGCATCCTCCTCTATAGTATGACTGAAAGTTGTTCTTAAGAGTTGAGATTTAAATTAACCAATTACTTCCATAAGAATATTTATTTATTAACTTGTACGTTCTAACATTAAACTAGGCACTTTGAGGTTATCCAAAGAGAAACTAAACAGAAAGCTTATAGCTCTAAAAATAAGTCTTAGTAACAGCTTCCTGAAGGCAAAAACCATTTATTCATTTGAAAATACATTTGATAATTCAATCCCTTATTAAATCTTAAATATTTCCTGAACTTTGAGAAAGATATTATTTTGAATTGCTGTTGGGAACTCCAGAAAACCACAGAGATGGTAGAGACTATATATGTATTTGGGAAACAAGAAAATCAAGATGTGGGGCTCCAGAGTCATATATACCTAATTTCAAATTTATCTATAGACCTCACTAGTCCTAGGACTTTGGGAAAATTGCTTAGATATCTAAGATTTGTTTCCTTCATCTATTCAAGAAAGTAGTATTTAAAACAAATCATAGTGGAGGAAAGAATTGATACAATTAGAATTATCAGAATAACTGAAAAAATTATGTGAATTACTCAACACTGTGCCCAACTCATATCAAATACTCACAAATTTCTTTTATCATTATTAACTTTGTGATGAATGCAATGCGTTACAGTAGAAACCTATTAAGAGTTGACACCAGGAAAGTAGGTCTGAGTCTCAATGCTGATTCTGCCCCTGCTAAGTGTGTAATCCTGAGTATGTTACTCAACATTTCTGAATCAGAAATAATCAAGCCTACATTTGAAAGGTTTCCTGAAGCTGGAAGATAATGAATGTGAGATGCCCATAACTTATTATTTGTTGATTTCCAAAATAAGCAATAGCTGTAACTATCAGTGTTATCTAGTGATTAACTAACAATCTTAGACTCAAGATTATCAGCAATGCATTTCTGAGGGAGAAGAACATAGGGCAGGGAGATGAGAGAATCCTTTTGCTTTTTACTATGTTCTGTTTTTCTTAGCATGCTGGAGCAGAGGTCACTGGTCGCCGTCTGTACAGAATGCCTGTGGTTCCACCCACCCAACCCAAAATGCTTTTCATCCAGTCTCCAGAACCTGCACTGATGTCTGTCTTTGTGGCTGTTTCTGACCACAATTGGAGAAAGTCCAGTCAGCTGGGGGAGGCTTGTGTGTAACTGTGTGTCCCTGGGTACCTGCCAGTGGACTGATTTTGCTGGAGGAATGTGTAATATGTGCTGAGATTCCTGGGGCCTCAGAGTGGGAAGACAGTCACTCAGGGCCAAGGGGACCTGGAGCCTGGGGAAGAAGGGCAGACAGCAGGCTGTGCAGCCAGGTCTTTACATGGAGGGTGTCACAGATATCAGCCCAACCTCAAAGGGTTTGCTCTATTCCCAGTGGGAGGGACTGAGAAGCGTCCATGAATAGAGCCAGTAACAAATAAGACAGTAGAAAATTAAAGGATGAGAAATGAATCTAAACTCAGATGACTTGGTTTTGAAGATAGTTCTACCACTCCTAGCTGTGTGCTTCTGTACAAGCATCTTTCTCTCTCTGGATCTGTAAACTGGGGATCATAGAATAATGAGCATCACACATTCATTTTGAAGATCAAATCAAGCACTTGCTGTAAGTTTACTTGATCATGATTGACACTTTTGCACCAAAGAGCACAATCCACGGATGTGTTTTTCTTGACAGTGAGTATTCCAGAGAAAGATATACATGAATATTTCTGGTGGAAATGTAACTTATATGTAAATTATGTTGTATATTTTATATATATATACATATACATATATATATCTCAATACATTGATACCTAAGAAATGTAAGATACTTATGCAATTCTATTCAGAAATCCAATACCTGCTGTTATTAGTCTGTTCTCATGCTGCTAATAAACATATACCTGAGATTGGGTAATTTATAAAGGAAAGGCGGTTTAATGGACTCACAGTTCCACATGGCTGGGGAGGCCTCACAATCATGGCAGAAGGCAAAGGAAGAGCAAAGGGATGACTTAAATGTCAGCAGGCAAGAAAGTGTGTGCAGGGGAACTCCGCTTTATAAAACCACCAGATCTTGTAAGATTTATTCACTATCACGAGAACGGCACTGGAAAGACCCGCCCCCATGATTCCATTACCTCCTACCGGGTTACTCCCATGACATATGGGAATTATAGGAGCTACAATTTTAAATGAGATTTGGGTGGGGACACAGCCAAACCATATCACCTGCAAATCTGGCCCATAGAAATAACAAAACACTGTCATCTATAAGTATATGTGGGTAAGTATTGAGATGACTGGCTGGTAGGAAAAACATGATTTATATTATATTATAAGTTTTTATGTATAAGTATCTTCATTATGACATTATTACCATCAACAAAATAGCCATCAACAGAGAATGGTTGAATAAATTGTGGTATAATTAGATAGATAGCAGTGAACTAGTTTCCTAACTGTTTTGATGCTACTTCCCTTTCCAGCTGCTACCCTCTTTCTTCATTCTCTTTTGAAGAAATCCTTTAAAAAAAAACCTGGTATGGGCTGGGCTCAATGGCTCACACCTGTAATCCCAGCATTTTGGGAGGCCGAGGCGGGTGGATCATGAGGTCAGGAGATAGAGACCATCCTGGCTAACACGGTGAAACCCCGTCTCTACTAAAAATACAAAAAAATTAGCAGGGAGTGGTGGCACACGCCTGTAGTCCCAGCTACTCGGCAGGCTGAGGCAGGAGAATCACTTGAAACCTGGAGGCGGAGGTTGCAGTGAGCCGAGATGGCGCCACTGCACTCCAGCCTGGGCGACAGAAGGAGACTCCGTCTCAAAAAACAAACAAACAACCCATGGTTTCTGCTCTATGATTTCAACTCTTCTTTTCCCCATTCTCTTAAGCTCCTATCATCCAGCAAGGCTGCTCTTGTACAGGTTATTAATGCTGCACCCAGCAGTTAGTTCTGAGAACTCACTTAGAATCCTCTGCAACATTTAACGCAGTTGATCACTCCTCCCTCTGGAAACATTTTCTTCACTGAGCTTCCAGGAAATTTAAGACTTTTGATTTTCTTGCTACATTATTGGTTGCTCCTTCTCAGCCTCCTCTTCCGGTATTTCCTTTTTGGCCCCACCTTAATGTTGAATATCCCAGGGCAGAGGCCTTGGTGTTCCCTGCCCTATCTAGTGTCACTCTCTCTTGGTGACCTCATCTAGGCTTATGGCTTAAATAACAACTATAACTACTAATTTATATTCAGCATACGGCAGGGGCTTATGTGGTAGTAGAAGGAAGGAAGGGAGGGAGGGAGGGATAAAGAAAGAAAAATTGAAGGAAGGAAAGAAAGAAGTTAATATTGTTAACTTGAAAAAGTGGACACTAGAGGTATTAAAAACCTAACTATAAGAGCATGAATTCTTGAGCCCAGGTAACCTGAGTTCAAACATAGATTCTTTCACATCCAAACTATGTAATTTTGGGCAAGTTATTTAATTTGTTGATGCTTCAGTTTTCTCATCTGTAAAATGGGGACAACAACAACAGCGATCTTATTTGCTTGGAGGTAGTTCCTAGACCTAAACATGCTAGGGCGTGTGAAATACTTCAAACGGTACCTGTATAATAGAATGCCTTGTACAAGAATATCCTAATGACTTAAAAGTGGTGAAAAGCTAGTTAAACAAGATTCCAATGCACAAAATCATCAAATGAAATAATTATATACATTTTTGGGTCTTTATTTGAGACAATACCTTAGGCAGTGTTAACAAATGAGTGATGTGTTGGGAAAATATATCTTTAATATTTAAAATTAAAGAGAAATTAATTTCTGAGATATGCCTCAATTCCAAATTAGCAAAATAAAGCAGAAAACTATAGTAGAAAAAATAGGCAGAGTGACCAGGCAATTTGCAGAAATGGCAGCACAGGTGTCTGAAGAGTATACAAAGATATGCTTGAGCTCATCGGAAATCACAGGAATAAACATTAAAACAACGAGATACTACTTTACACCGATTGGAATGGCAAAAAATAGAAATATTGAGACTATCATTTGTTGTCAGGACTTTAAGAGATAGGAAATTGTATGCACTGTTGATGGAAAGTAAAGTGTAACAACCATTCTGGGAGGCATGTAAGCAATTTTCCCATGTGTATAAACCAGAACAATTCTTGCAAATGTTTGTAAGGGATCATATACAAGCCTGTTTTTCAGTGTTATTTTTGGTGTCAAGGAACTGAAGTCAATCAAAGCTAATCTTTAAGGAAATAAGTAAGTGATGGTTGTTCACTAACACACTGTGGGCATCAGTAGGGAACACAAACTAGATGTTCATAGTTACATGGGTAGATCACAACAAAAGTATTGAGTTAGAAAAAAGATAGGTTACAACATAATATAATTTATGTGAATTAAAACACACATATAAAAACTAAGTTGTTATCTTATAAGAACATACTATTAATAATATTTAAGGGCATATATTGAGCGCTTTATATTGGTTATCTTTGAACTAGAGAATGGGACTGGACACCAAAGATTTGGGGGAAAAGGTGAATTAAACTCCACTGTTACCTGCAGGGATAGATTATGTCAGTGTTCTTAAGATGACTAGCTCAGCTCTTTACACTTAAAGTTTAACTTAAACAACAAAAAGGACATTTTTCTATGTAGACATTGACATGACATAAAACCCAAAAACATTTCCAAATACATTTAAAACTGAGTTTATTCTATACATTACAGTGTTCTAAGAACAATAAAAGGAATCATCTTTGACATGATTTTTAAAACTTATTTGTATTCATAGTCTTGCATCATCTTTCTTTGAAGTTTCTATCAATATCCAAAAGAAATTTTAACTTTTTATTGCCCCCAAACTGTACTTTTCTTTGTAGTTGCAAAGTTTACAAATGTTTCTGTCCATTTGCCAATGGGCCAAGGCTGAAAAATTATACAGTTGACCTTGAGCAAAACAGAGCTTAGGGGTGCCGAACCCCCAAGCGGGTGAAAATCCACATACAACTTTAACTAGAAAACTTAACTACAAATAGCCTACTATTGACCTGAAGCCTTGCCAATAACATAAACTGTTGATTAACACTGATTTTGCATGTTGTACGTACTGTATACTGTATTCCTATAATAAAGTAAGCTAGAAAAAAGAAAATGTTATATAGAAAATCATAAAAAGTCTTACATTAATAACATAGTTGGCTAACACATAGCTGATTAACACATATTTTGTATATTATATATATATAATATGTACTGCACTCTTACAATCAAGCATGCAAGAGAAAAGAAAATGTTTTTAAAAAATCATAAGGAAGAGAAAAAACATATTTCCTGTTCATGAAGTGGAAGTGGATCATCATGAAGGTTTTCACCCTCATTGTCTTCACAGTGAGTAGGCTGCAAAGGACGGAGAAGAGGAGGTGTTGGTCGTGCTGTTTCGGGGGTGGCAGAGACAGAAGAAAATCCACATCTAAATGTACCAGCACAGTTCAAATCCACATTGTTCAAGGGTCAACTGTATACATTATTGAACTAAGCAGACTAAATGCATACAAGAGTCCACTGATTGTTTCAATATGTACAACCAACCACTATATGAATGGTTTGTTACATTCTTGTACAATTGTCACATCATCTGTGACCCAATTTCTATTGGAACACCTCCTCTTGCCAGACCCTTTAGATTTATCTCCCTCAACCTCTGCAGCTTGCATTTGCCTTTCCCTTTGCTAACTGGCCAAGTTCTACCCATTTCTCTAAAAGTAAGCTGCAGTAACACTTCCCAAGGTGTTTCCCCCATTGAAAGTGGTGTGTACAATAATATCTTGTCTTTCTTCTCCAAGTAGAGTCATCTGGGTACTCAACCAATTAGCTGAAGGGATAGGAGTTAGTATATTCAACTGGAGGAAATTTCACCTGGATAGTGGAAGAGGTAATTCAAAACTGTTTTATGAGGCTTCTGGGGAAATAATCACACCAGAAGAGCTCAGGATCATATGTGTGTGAAACTTGGTGTTTAATCACCTGTGCATTCCTTTTGTGATATTCACTGAAAGACTGTTGGCCTGTGAAGGAGAACAATAGACTGGCTAGCGTTCACATTAATTGTTCCCTTGATTGACAGCTAAACAAAGGCTTGGTGTTATTCTTCCCAATAAAGGCCACAAACCTCCTACACAAATTGCTAAAGAGTATTTTTAAATTTATGAGTTTTGCAATACCAAGGTTAGATTTCATTGTTGTTGTGTGTGTGAGTGACAAAATATCCTATAAGTGATAACGAGATTGTTGAAATGAAGTGAAATTCTTTTATTGAGCAGTCCTCTATTGTTGGTGAATAACTTGTAAAGAAGAATCTTGATTTTCATATTAGTCAGGGCTCTCCAGAAAAAACACAATCAATAGGCTGTGTGTGTGTGTGAGTGTGTGTGTGTGTATCAGTGAATTTATTGTAGAAATTGGCATGCTCTGAAGGCCTGAGAACAAGGAGGTCCAATGTCTGAGGGCAGGAGAAGATAGATATTCCAGTTCAAGAAAAGAGAAAGAAAATTTACTCTTCCTTCACCTTTTTGTTCTGCTTAGCTCTTTAATGTATTGGTTGATGCCCTTCCACATTGGTGAGGGTGGATCTTCTCTCGCAGATACTCATTCAAATGCTAATTTCTTCTGGAAACACCCTCCCAGACACACCCAGAAATAATGTTTTACCAGCTATCTGAGCATCTTTTAGCATGGTCAAGATGGCACATAAAATTACCCACCACAATTATGTACTATTTGTGGTCAACCTGTAAAGAAGAATCTTACAGAATATACATTGGAAGTAATGCTTTAGAGACTAAAAAAGTAAATCTCAAAGCAGCCCTGAACTCATGAAATCTATGAAAAGAATGAGAGCATTTAAAAACTCCGATAAGACAAAGAAGAAGACTATTCTTCCCGTCCATTTTGACTACAGACAATATGAAGAATAAAGATATCATAATGAATAGATGAATACTAATTAAATAATTGAATGGAATGGTTTCAATTATCAAACTTGTTTTACTATTTCTTATAATAGGAACCTTTAATGTTCACAGCTCATGGAGGTAAGTGCAGCATTAGAAATAAAGAAGACATGATGTACTTTAACAAACCAAACCATAACTTATTCTTTCATAGCACACAGCTAAATAGCACAGTTTCTTTTGTATCACTGAGATGACCAGAGTAATAACATTTGTTACTGACTCTAATGATTATACCCATGCCCTTCTATTGAGACCCTTTAATAACTATTTTCTGAGGGAGAGCTTATTTTTAAAGGGGAATGATTTTATAATAAATATCTTATAAAGCTCTCTCTGAGCTCTTCTTAAAATTCGACTTATTAATGGTGGACTTTAATACAGGGACCTCTGTAACTCTAAAAGGAGGAGGAATTATATGGTCTAGAAAGATATAGTTAGCTACTCTATCAGTGCACAGTACTATCTCTTTGTGTTTAAATTTGTACATCTCTGTTTATGAACAATTTTGATCATCTTGTTATGCACGTATTTGCTTTAGTTTTCTGTAACTTGCCTGTTTGTATCTTGAGCCTGGTGTATTTGGGGGAGGAAATGTTCTTTTGAATCAGCAGAAGATTGATTTCTGTTCTAGATATTCTTTTTTTTTTTTTAATTTTAAACGCGGGGCAAAGCTCCCATTAAATTTATAGCTTTATGTTTTACACTTACGATGTTAATCCTTCCAGATTTCAATGTTTTATATGTGGTGTTAGATAAAGATCTGGATTCATTTCTCACATGAAAATGAACCAGTAGTGCTCTTGCTGTCTACTAAATAATTTGTCCTTTTCCCATTAATTTCGTGTGCCAAATTTATCATATATTTAGATGTCACATGCTAATGAGCCTGTTCCAGAGCTACTTATTATCAAATTAGTCAATTTGCCTGTTTTTACACCAATAAAACGCTATTTATATTACTACAGTCTTACTATATGTCTTGATATCTGGTAGAGGCAAGCTTCCCCTTTTTACTATTTTTATAGTTAATTTAGCTATTTTTAGTCAACTTAAAGTTTTGGAATAGGTTTACTAAGTACATTAAAACCATATAATTAGAATTTCTATTGAGCTTGAATCAAATTTGTATCTTAATCTGGAGAGAATTAATATCTTTAAAATGTTATCCAGTCTAAAAGCATGGAAGCTTTTCCATTTATTCAGATTACTCTTTATGTCCTGTTTGGAGTTTTAATGTTTTGCCCATAGGAATCTAGTGATTCTGGTTAGTTTAATTTCTAGGAACCTTAGTATTCTGCTATATTATGTAATATTTTATTTTCAAACATTTTTAGTTGCTCATTTCTTGTGTAAAGAAAGAACGTTGATTTCGCAAGAGTGACATTGTATCAGGAATCATCGTTGAACTCTTATAAATTCTAACAGTTTATTGATTTGATTACTTTTTAACAGGTAGAAAAAAATCATCTTTAAGGATTATATCTTTACTTACATATTAATACCTATTTTTTTCATTTCCTTGCTTCATATATTATTGCTGATGAGATAGGCATTCATGTCTTGCTAATGATACTAGAAGATGTGTGGCCAAAGTTTGCCAATCAATTGTTTTATTTGCTTATTAGTTTGTTTCATTATGTAATGTCCATCAAGTCGAGAACATTTCCATTTATTTCCTATTTGTTTTTGTTGTTATTGTTTATTTGTTTAACCATTAATGGTGCTAAAGCTTATTATGTTCTTTTTCTAAATTAAATGTATCCATTGATTTTTCTTCTTTCATCTTTATAAATTTAGTCAAGTTGTGGTGAATTTTACTGATGGAGTCTCTGATCATTGTACTTGATCAAGATGTGTTATTTTGAATGCATGATCAGCTTTATTTAGCAAATGATTCTTTCAATTTATACAATTGTGGTTATAAGTGAAAAGGGCAGAAATTAGAAAGATAGCTAACACCAGACATGGACAGATGTTCAGATAAAGGAGACTTAATACACTGCTGACTAATGGATTTATACATTCTAGTAACCCTAAAATTTCTCTCTGAGATATATATTCCACGCAGCTCTATAAGTAATTTTGCTTGAAGCTACTCACTGCAGTTTATTTGTGTTGACAGAGTTAGAAGCCTCCTGGGTATCCATCACTTGGAGAATGAATAGGTAATATATGTTGGACATACAATATGGAGAATTTTTCAGCAATAAAAATCAAACCATAAAGGAATGTTTTGGAAATGTAGCAGAGTAGGAAGCAGCAGGAATCTGTCTCCATACCTAGACAACAATTACAATGGCAGAATATATCCAAAGTAACTACTTTGGAACTTTGAAGTCTATTGAAGGCTTAAAACTTCCAGAGGAAGCCTTGCTTCATAAATTGCTGTTCATTTCAGCTGATTTCAGCTATTAGCACATTAGCAGCTACCCATTCCCCATCCCTCAACCCCATGGTGGGCAGATGTTAACTTGTTCCTGGAGCAGCTTGCTGATAGCTTAAAGGGGAAGGAGTGGGCCAAAAGAACCCTAGTCTTTAAGTACTAGGTAACTGTGATTTGATAATCGATTGCTGCTTCTGACCACAGAAGTCCAGACAATGAGGCTGTGACCATTGTTTTTACATCTCTTCCCATTGTTGCAAGCTTCTTCTGCTCTCGCTGAGGTGATTTCCAGAGAAGTTAAAGGACTGATGCTATCCCCCTCATTTCATTTTTTTCTTCATCTTTTTTTGAGAGTCAGACATTGAAGAGTAGAATATACAAAAGCAACTACATATGTAAGAAAATTTAGAAAGTCACCATGCATGCTCAGGGGTAGGGCCAAGCTCAGAAAAGACCTGAGAATACCTTAAGCTTACAACTTAGACTGATCTTTCACACAGAGACAGCCTATAACTATGAAGAAACAAAAACAAAACAAAACAAAAAACAGCACCAAAAAAATCTCAAGGTTAATAAAAAACTGAAACAGGAGAGTATGACCCACTCAAAAGAAAAAGTAAATCCATAAAAACTGTCTCCAAAAAAGACCTAATGACAGAACTACTAGAAAAAGACTTTAAGACAACAGCCTTAAAGATTCTCAAAGAACCAAAAGATGACACAGAGATAGTCAATAACAAAATGTATGAACAAATAAAAAATGTCTAAAGAGATATAAAACCTAACATAAACCACACAGAAAAAACATTCTGGAGCTGAAAAATGAAAATAAAAATGAAAATGAAAATCCACTGGAATATTTTAGAGATAGATTTGAGCAAGCGAAAAAACTATTTCAAAGATAGGACAAAAAAATTGTCAAATTTGAGAAACAGAAAGAAAAATGGATGAAGAAAACTGATCAGAGCATCAGAGCATACATGACCTGTAGGACACCTTCAAGGAGACCAAGATAGATGTTATGGAATTGCCAGAAGGGTAACAGAGGGTAAAAGGGGCAGAGATAATATTTAAAGAAATAATGTCTGAAAACTTTTCTAATTTAATGAAAGACATGATATAAGCATCTAAGAAGCTCAATAAACTCCCACTCCAAAAAGAATGAACTATAAGAGAATCACACTGAGAAACATTATAATCAAGCTGTCTAAAGTCAAAGAGAGAATTTTAAAAGCAGCAAGAGAGAGGTAACACATCACACACAAAGGATCTTCAATAAGATCATCAGTTGATTTTTTTGTAAGAAAGTAGAAGTCCAGCAAAAAACAAAAAAACGAACAAAAGAAACCCCTGTTATCCAAGAATCACATATCCAGCAAAACTATCCTTCAAAAGTGAGAGAGAAATAAGGACATTCCCAGATAAACAAAAGCTAAGGGAGTTTATCACTGCTAGACTTGCTGTTCAAGATGTGCTCAAGAGAGTCTTGCATTTTGAAATGAAAGAAAACTAGATAGTAACTCTAAGTCATATGAAGAAATAAAGATCTCAGTCAATGTAAATACATGGGCAATTATTAAAACTAGTATTATTATAATGATGATGTGTGGCACCATATTTTTGTTTGTTGTCTACATAATTAAAGAGACTAACACATTAAAAAACTAGTCTAAAAGGTAAGTATTGCATATTTCTCTTTCAATACTATTTACGATTCATTTACATTTAAAAATTAATAGTTTATGTTTTTGGACACACAATGTACAACAATGAAGTTTTGTGGCATTAATAACAGAAAGAAATGAGGACAGAACTGTTAGAAGAGCAGAGTTTTGTACTAAAAACTATAAAAAGGGCAGAGTTATATAAGTTAAGCTGGCATAAATTTAACTTAAGGGTATTACAACTTTAGGATTTTGAGTATAATCCTCATATTAACTACAAAGAAAATATGTAAAGAATTTACACATAAAGAAACAAGAAAGGAATTTAAAAGTTTAATTACAAAAAATTAACTAGGCACAAAAGAAGACAGTAATGTAAGAAGTGAGGGACAAAAAGCTATAAGGTATATAGAAAACAATTAGCAAAATAACAGAAGTAATTCCCTCCTTATCAGTAATTACTTTAATTGTAAATAGACTAAATTCTCCATTCAAAAGACAGAGATTGACAAAATAGATTTTAAAAATTATCCAATTATTTGCTGTCTACAAGAAATTCACATTAGACCCAAAGATACAAATAGGTTGAAAGTGAAAGGATGGAAAAGAATATGCCATGCAAATAGTAATCAAAAAGAGAGTAGGGTTGGCTAGGCTAACATCGAGCAAAATAGATCTTAAGTTTTTAAAAAGTTACAAGAGAGAAAAAGAACATTATATAAATAATAAAAGATGCAATACAGCAAGAAAATACAATTATATAAATTTACAAAGCTAATAGCAGACCATCAAAATATATGAAGTAAAAATTTACAGAATTGAAGGGAGAAATAAACAATACTACAGTAATAGCTACAGAGTTTAGTACCCTACACTCAATATTTGATAGAGCCACCAGACCAAAGATAAGTAAGGAAATAGAGAACTTGAACAATGCAATAAGGCAAACAGATCTAACTCATATACAGAACACATTTTCCAACAACAACAGAAAATACATTCTTCTCAAGTGTACCTGGGACATTTTCATGATAGACTACATGTTAGGCCACAAGTTAAACCTCCCCATGTCTAAAAAGGTGGATATCATACAAAGTATATTCTCTGACCACAACAGAATGAAGTGAGAAATCAGTAACTGGAGAGAAACTAAAAAAATTATATATTTGCAGAAATTAAACAAAAAAGTCTTACACAATCAATGGATCAAATGAGAAATCACAAGGGAAATTAGAAAATAGAGAAAAATGAAAATAAAACCACAATATGCCAAAACTTATGAGACACAGAGAAAGCTGTGCAAATGAAGAAATTTATAGCTATATATGCTTACATTATAAAATAAGAAACATTCAAAGCAAAAACAACTTTATAATTTAACGAACTAGAGAAAGGAAACAAACAAACCCAAAGGTAACAGAAGTCAGGAAATAAAGATTACAGCAGAAATAAAATAAAACTGGCAATAGAAAAATAGTAAAAAAAAATCAATAATACCAAAAGATTCTGCCTTGAAAAACTGAACCACATTAACATTTTTAATTGTATTAAGTTCGATGAACTAAAAATAAAAAGACTCAACCTACTAAAATAAGAAATGAAAGTGGGAACATGGTTGCCAATTGTACAGAAATAAAAAGGATTATAAGAGCGTACTATAAGTCTACACAAATTGAATAACTTAGATATAATAGGCAAATTCTTGGAAACACAAAACTAACCAAAAGGAAACCAGTTACTAACTTTCTATGAAGCAGCATTAACCTGATACCAAAGGTAGACAAAGATACTACAAGAAAAAAACCTTCGTCACCTTTTTAAACATTGATACAAAAAATCTCAACAAAGTTCTAGCAAGCCATATTAAAAAGATTCACACTATTACCAAATGGAATTTATTTCTGGAATGCAAAGATCATTCAACATATAAAAATGGATAAATGTAATATATCACATTAATATAATTAAAAAAACACATGTGACTATCTTCATTGATACAGAAAAAAGCATTTGACAAAATTCAATGCCATCTTATGAGAGAAACACTAAACAAACTGAGAAAAAAAGGAAATGACCTAAATATAACAAAACCTATATATGTAAAACCCACAGCAAGTATCGTACTCAATGCTGAAAACTGAAACCTTTCCCCTAAGATAAGGAACATGGCAAAAATGCTTGCTTTTACCATTTCTATTCAGCATAATAATAGAAGTTCTAGTCAGAGCAATTTGGCAAATAATAATAATAACAAAAGGCATTTAAATCAGAAAGGAAAAAATAAGATTATGTCTGTTAACAGATGATATGATCTTACATGTAGAAAATCTAAAGATTAAACAAACAAAAGCCCAGTTAGAATAAAAAAATTCAGCAAAGTAGTAAAATATAAAATCAACACGAAAAAAATCAGTCGCATTTCTATAAACTGTCAACACTCTCATAAGTAAATATTTTAAAATTATATCTGTAATAACATCAAAAAGAGTAAAATAGTAATCAATTAAGAAGGTAAAACACTTGCATAATGAAAAGTTCCAAATGTATCTGAAATAAATGAAAGAAGACATAAATTGAAAGACATTCTGTCTTCATAGACTGGGAAGACAATATTAAGATGTCAATAATGTTTGCTTTAATCCATTTTGAGCTGTCATATTAGCATACCACAGATTGGGTAATTTATAAAGATATAAAATTATTTTCTCAGAGTTCTGGAGGCTAGGAAGTCCAAAATCAAAGGGTCAACTTCTGGTGTCTGGTGAAGCCTTTTGGCTACATCCTCAGATGCGGAAGGCTGGGGAGTAAAAGGGACAATCTTCCTTCATCAAGCTCTTTTATAACAATGGTACTTCATTTCTGAGGGCAAAGCCCTCATATCCTAAACACTTTCCAAAATGCTCCGCCTCCCAACACTGTTACATTTTAGATTAAGTTTTCAACATATGAATTTGGGGTAACACATTTAAACCACAGTATTACTTAAAGTAATCTATAGACTTAATGTAATCTCTACCAAAATCTCAAAAGCATTATTTACAGAAATAGAAATACCCATTCTAAAATTAATATGGAATTTTAAAGAGATGCTGGATAGGCAAGATAATCCTGAAAAAAAAATGGAATAAAGCTGGAAGACTCTAGTCTGGGAAAACTGGATATCTATAAGCAAAATTTGAGATTAAACCCTTTCCCAACAACATATACAAAAATTAACTCAAAGTGCATCTATGACCTAAATGTAAGACCTAAATGTATAAACCCCCTAAAAGAAAATAAGACAAAAGTTTTGTAATATTATATTTGGCAATGCTTTCTTGGATATGACACCAATGGCCCAAGCACTAAAGCTAAAAATAGACAAACTTCATGAAAAAAATTTTACAGTGCATCAGAAGACACTATCAGCACCGTAAAAAGGCAGCCCACAGAATGGGATAAAATATTTGCAAATCATATATCAGATAAGTGACTAGTATCCAAAATATAGAAATAACTTTTAAAATTAAACAATGAGAAGATAAACAACCTGACTTAAAAATGAGCAAAAGACTTTGATAGACATTTATCCAAGGAAGATTCACAAATGGTCAATTAGCATGAAAAGATGCTCAACATTACTAACAGGGAAATGGAAATCACAACTATGAGGAAACCATGACTGTCAGGCCTCTGAGCCCAAACTAAGCCATCATATCCCCTGTGACCTGCACGTACACATCCAGATGGCAGGTTCCTGCCTTAACTAATGACATTCCACCACAAAAGAAATGAAAATGGCCTGTTCCTGCCTTAACTGATGACATTATCTTGTGAAATTCCTTCTCCTGGCTCATCCTGGCTCAAAAACTTCCCTACTGAGCACCTTGTGACCCCCCACTCCTGCCCGCCAGAGAACCCCCTTTTGACTGTAATTTTCCTTTACCTACCCAAATCTTATAAAATGGCCCCACCCCTATCTCCCTTCGCTGACTCTCTTTTCAGACAAAGCCCACCTGCACCCAGGTGAAATAAACAGCCTTGTTGCTCACACAAAGTCTGTTTGGTGGTCTCTTCACACGGACATGCATGAAATTTGGTGCTGTGACTCGGATCGGGGGACCTCCCTTGGGAGATCAAACCCCTGTCCTCCTGCTCTTTGCTCTGTGAAAAAGATCCACCTAGGACCTCGGGTCCTCAGACCCACCAGCCCAAGGAACATCTCACCAATTTGAAGTTGGATAAGCAGACTCTTCTTATTCTCTTCTCCCACCTCTCTCACTATCCCTCAACCACTTTCTCCTTTCAATCTTGGCGTCACCCTTCAATCTCTCCCTTCTCTTAATTTCAGTTCCTTTCCTTTTCTGGTAGAGAACGGAGACGCGTTTTATCTGTGGACCCAAAACTCCGGCGCCGGTCACGGACTTAGGAAGGCAGCCTTCCCTTGGTGTTTAATCATTGCAGGGACGCCTCTCTGATTATTCACCCATGTTTCAGAGGTGTCTGACCATGCAGGGATGCCTGCCTTGGTCCTTCACCCTTAGCAGCAAGTCCCGCTTTTCTAGGGGAGGGGCAAGAACTCCAACCCCTTCTCTCCATGTCTCTACCCCTTCTCTGCTTTTCTGGGAGGCAAGAAACCCCTGATACCTTATTTCTGTGCCCCGACCTCTTATCTCTGTGCCTCGATCCCTTATTTCCACACCCCCACCTCTTATCTCTGTGCCCCATCCCTTATTTCCACTCCCCGACCTCCTATCTCTGCTCCCCAATCCCTTATTTCCATGCCCCGACCCCTTTCCCACTTTTCTGGAGGGTAAGAACCCCCGAACCCCTTCCCTCTGTGTCTCTACTCTCTCTTTTTTCTGGGCTTGCGTCCTTCACTATGGGCAACATTCCACCCTCCATTCCTCCTTCTTCTCCCTTAGCCTGTGTTCTCAAAAACTTAAAATCTCTTCAACTCACATCTGACCTAAAACCTAAATGCCTTATCTTCTTCTGCAACACCGCTTGGCCCCAATACAAACTTGACAATGGCTCTAAATGGCCATAAAATTGCACTTTCAATGTTTCCATCCTACAAGATCTAAATAATTCTTGCCGTAAAATGGGCGAATGGTCTGAGGTGCCTGACGTCCAGGTATTCTTTCACACATCGGTCCCTCTCTAGTCTCTGTTCCCAATGCAACTCATCCCAAATCTTCCATTTTTCCCTCCCACCTGTCCCCTCAGTCCCAATCCCAAGCGTCGCTGAGTCTTTCTAATCTTCCTTTGTACAGACACATCTGACCTCTTCCCTCCTCGCCAGGCCAAGCTAGGTCCCAATTCTTCCTCAGCCTCTGCTCCTCCACCCTATAATCCTTTTATCACCTCCCCTCCTCACACCCAGTCTGGCTTACAGTTTCCTTCCATGACTAGCCCTCCCCCACCTGCCCAGCAATTTCCTCTTAAAAAGGTGGCTGGAGCTAAAGGCATAGTCAAGGTTAATGTTCCTTTTTCTTTATACCAAATCAGAGCACATTTAGGCTCTTTTTCATCAAATATAAAAACCCAGCCCAGTTCATGGCTCATTTGGCAGCAACCATGAGATGCTTTACAGCCCTAGACCCTAAAATGTCAAAAGGCTGTCTTATTCTCAATATACATTTTATTACCCAATCTGCTCCCGACATTAAATAAAACTCCAAAAATTAAATTCCAGCCCTCAAACCCCACAACAGGACTTAATTAACCTCATCTTCAAGGTTTACAATAATAGAGTAGAGGCTGCCAAGTAGCAACATATTTCTGAATTGCAATTCCTTACCTCCACTGTGAGACAAACCCCAGCCACATCTCCAGCACACAAGAACTTCCAAACGCCTAAACCGCAGTGGCCAGGTGTTCCTCCAGGCCCGCCTCCCCCAGGAGCTTGCCACAAATGCCAGAAATGTGGCCACCAGGCCAAGGAATGCCCGCAGCCTGGGATTCCTCCTAAGCTGCATCCCATCTGTGTGGGACCCCACTGAAAATTGGACTGTTCAACTCACCTGGCAGCCACTCTCAGAGCCCCTGGAACTGTGGCCCAAGGCTCTCTGACTCCTTCCCAGATCTTCTCGGCTTAGTGGCTGAAGACTGATCCTGCCCAATCGCCTCGGAAGCCCCCTAGAACATCACCGACGCTGAGCTTCAGGTAACTCTCACAGTGGAGGGTAAGTCCGTCCCCTTCTTAGTCAATACGGAGGCTACCCACTCCACGTTACCTTCTTTTCAAGGCCTGTTTCCCTTGCCTCCATAACTTGTGGGTATTGACGGCCAGGCTACTAAACCTCTTAAAACTCCCCAACTCTGGTGCCAACTTAGACAATACTCTTTTAAGCACTCCTTTTTAGTTATCCCCACCTGCCCAGTTCCCTTATTAGGCTGAGACACTTGAACTAAATTATCTGCTTCCCTGACTATTCCTGGGCTACAGCCACACCTCACTGCCACCTTTTCCCCCAGTTCAAAGCCTCCTTCACATCCTCCCCTTGTATCTCCCCACCTTAACCCATAAGTATAAGACACCTCTATTCCCTCCTTAGTGACCGATCATGAACCCCTTACCATCCCATTAAAACCTAATCACTCTTACCTGGCTCAATGCCAATATCCCATCCCACAGCATGCTTTAAAATGATTAAAGTCTGTTATCACTCGCCTGTTACAGCATGGCCTTTTAAAGCCTATAAACTCTCCTTACAATTCCCCCATTTTACCTGTCCTAGAACCAGAGAAGCCTTACAGGTTAGTTCAGGATCTGAGCCTTATCAACCAAATTGTTTTGCCTATCCACCCTGTGGTGCCCAACCCATATACTTTCCTATCCTCAATACCTCCCTCCACAACCCATTATTTTGTTCTGGATCTCAAACATGCTTTCTTTACTATCCCTTTGCACCCTTCATCCCAGCCTCTCTTCGCTTTCACTTAGACTGACCCTCACACCCATCAGGCTCAGCAAATTACCTGGGCTGTACTGCCAGAAGCCTTCACAAATAGCCCCAATTACTTCAGTCAAGCCCAAATTTCATCCTCATCTGTTACCTATCTCGGCATAATTCTCATAAAAACACACGTGCTCTCCCTGCTGATCGTGTCCAACTAATCTCCCAAACCTCAATCCCTTCTACAGAACAACAACTCCTTTCCTTCCCAGACATGGTTAGATACTTTCAACTTTAGATATCTGATTTTGCCATCGTAACAAAACCATTATATAAACTCACAAAAGGAAACCTAGCTGACCCCATAGATCCTGAATCCTTTACCCACTCCTCTTTCCGTTCCTTGAAGACAGCTTTAGAGACTGCCCTCACCCTAGCTCTGACTCATCCCAATCCTTTTCATTACACACAGCTGAAGTGCAGGGCTGTGCAGTCAGAATTCTTACACAAGGACCAGGATTGCATCCTGTAGCCTTTTGGTCCAAACAACTTGACCATACTGTTTTAGGCTGGTCATCATGTCTCCGTGCAGTGGCTGCTGCCGCCCTAATACTTTTAGAGGCCCTCAAAATCACAAACTATGCTCAACTCACTCTCTACAGTTCTCATAACTTCCAAAATCTATTTTCTTCCTCACACCTGACACATATACTCCCTGGCTCCTTCAGCTGTACTCACTCTTTGTTGAGTCTCCCACAATTACCATTCTTCCTGGCGCAGACTTCAATCCAGCCTCCCACATTATTCCTGATACCACACTTGACTCCCATGACTGTATCTCTCTGATCCACCTGACATTCACCCCATTTCCCCATATTTCCTTATTTCCTGTTCCTCACCCTGATCACGCTTGATTTATTGATGGCGGTTCCACCAGGCCTAATCGCCACACGCCAGCAGAGGCAGGCTATGCTATAGTAAAAGCCACCAGCCCGCCTCTTAGAATCTCTCATTTCCTTTCCATCTTGGAAATCTGTCCTCAAGGAAATAATTTCTCAGTGTTCCATCTGCTATTCTACTACTCCTCAGGGATTATTCGGGCCCCCTCCCTTCCCCACACATCAAGCTCGGGGATTTGCCCCCGCCCAGGACTGGCAAATTGGCTTTACTCAACATGCCCCAAGTCAGAAAACTAACATACCTCTTAGTCTGGGTAGACACTTTCACTGGATAGGTAGAGGTCTTTCCCACAGGGTCTGAGAAGGTCACCGCGGTCATTTCTTCCCTTCTGTCAGACATAATTCTTCGGTTTGGCCTTCCCACCTCTATATAGTCCGATAGCAGACCGGCCTTTATTAGTCAAATCAGCCACGCAGTTTTTCGCTCTTAGTATCCAGTGAAACCTTTATATCCCTTACGGTCCTCAGTCTTCAGGAAAAGTAGAACGGACTAAAGGTCTTTTAAAAACACACCTCACCAAGCTCAGCCACCAACTTAAAAGGACTGGACGTACTTTTACCACTTTCCCTTCTTAGAATTCAGGCCTGTCCTTGGAATGCTACAGGGTACAGCCCATTTGAGCTCCTGTATGGATGCTCCTTTTTATTAGGCCCCAGTCTCATTCCAGACACCAGACTAACTTAGACTGTGCCCCAAAAAACTTGTCATCCCTACTATCTTCTCTCTAGTCATACTCCTATTCACCATTCTCAACTACTCACACGTGCCCTGCTTTTGTTTCCACTGCCGTTTACTCTGTTTCTCCAAGCCATCACAGCTGATATCTCCTGGTGCTATCCCCAAACCGCCACTCTTAGCTCTTAAAGTAAATAAATAATCTTTGCGGGCAAGGCTGTGCTGAACCTCCTTAGGCACTCTCTAATTAGATGTCCTAGGTCCTCCCAATTCTTAGTCCTTTAATACCTGTTTTTCTCCTTCTCTTACTCTGTTTAGTTTTTCAATTCATACAAAACCGTACCCAGGCCATCACTAATAATTCTACACAACGAATGTTTCTTCTAACAACCCCACAGTATCACCCCTTACCACAAAATCTTCCTTCAGCTTAATCTCTCCCACTCTAGGTTCCCACGACGCCCCTAATCCCACTCGAAGCAGCCCTGAGAAGCATCGCCCATTATCTCTCCATACCATCCCCCAAAATTTTCGCTGTCCCGACACTTTACCACTATTTCGTTTTATTTTTCTTATTAATATAAGAAGACAGGAATGTCAGCCCTCTGAGCTCAAGCTAAGCCATCATATCCACTGTGACCTGCACGTACACATCCAGATGGCAGGTTCCTGCCTTAACTGATGACATTCCACCACAAAAGAAATGAAAATGGCCTCTTCCTGCCTTAACTGATGACATTATCTTGTGAAATTCCTTCTCCTGGCTCATCCTGGCTCAAAAGCTCCCCTACTGAGCACCTTGTGACCCCCCAACTCCTGCCCGCCAGAGAAAAACCCCCTTTGACTGTAAGTTTCCTTTACCTACCCAAATCTTATAAAACGGCCCCACCCCTATCTCCCTTCACTGACTCTCCTTTCAGACTCAGCCCACCTGCAGCCAGGTGAAATAAACAGCCTTGTTGCTCACACAATGCCTGTTTGGTGGTCTCTTCACATGGACGCGCATGAAAATGACACCCATTAGGATGGCTATAATCTAGCAAAAAAAAGAAATACAGAAAATAGAATGTTTTTGTTAAAAATAACATGTTGGTGGAGAAATCGAACCTTGTGCACTGTTGGTAGGAATGTAAAAGGGTATAGCCACTGGCCACTGTGGAACACACTACTGTGGTTCCTCAAAATTAAAAATAAAATTAATATATGATCCAGCAATTCTACTTCTGGGAATATAATCAAAAGATGGACAGCAGTATCTCATAGAGACATTTGTACACCCGTCTTCATAGGAGTACTATTCACAGTAGCTGAAATGTGGAAGTAACCCACATGTCCATCAATGGATGAATGGACAAACAAAATGCAGTATATGCATGCAATGGAATAATATTCAGCCTTATCAAGAAATGGAATTCTGACATATTCTACAACATGAGAGAATCTTTAAGATGTTTTGTTAAATAAAATAAACTACCCACAAGAATGACAATTATTGTATAAATTTACTTACATGAGGTACTTAGAGTATTCAAAATCATGGAGACAAAAAGTAGAATGATGGTTGCCAGGAACTAGGTACAGAGGAGAATGGGGAATTATTGTTCCATGCGTGTAGTTTCGGTTTTATATAATTAAAAGGGTTCTGAAGATTGATGATGGTGTTGCATGAACAATATAAATGTACTTACTATCACTGAACTGTACACTTACAAATTATTAAGATAGTATATCTTATATGTATTCCAGTAAAAAACATTAGAAAAGAACAACAGAGCAGTGTATGTTCACATGAAAAACGGATGGCTCTTAAAAATGGAGGGTTTGTCAGAGAAAGACAAATACAAAATGAGATAGATAATGCAATTCACACAAAGCAAAAAAAACTTGTAAAAATACATACAAATCAAAAGAAAACTATAAATAGAAAGATTACTTGTGAGAGGGATCAGGAAATAGAGTCGGGAAAGAAAAAGATAAAAGAAAATAAAAATAATTAATAAAAAACTAAAGTAATCTTATATGAAACAATAATAATATGTGCCATAAACTGAGACATATAATTAACTCAAACATACATGCCTGTATACTGAATAGTTAAAAACTATTTTTATCTATTGGTTAAAATTTGGGTGATTTCCTTGTCTCTTTCTCCTGTAGAAAGATGGACTGTGGATGTTCCATGCTTAGAAGAACACTTTTTAGCCTACCTTGAGAGTCTTAGAAAGGGTTTATAGTCTGGATCTGGCTTCCCCTTTTCTCAATCTTTAGAGAGGAATATTCTTATTTTTTTCCCTTGGAGCCATTTTCTATCTGACACCTCATGTCATCATCACAGATGTGGGATCCAGCATACCAAGATGAGGGCGTGAGCATCGGAGAAAGCAGCTGAAGAGGCTGTGAGTCCTAATTTTAGTAAGAGGTTTGAGGTAGGCTAGTTAAGGAAGCACACCACTCATGTGTGATACAGCCTGAATGTCAGAGAATGAAGCCACTAGGGAATTTGATGCCAATTGCCCCGGATGACTAGCAGTGGGTGGAGGAACAGGTATACATTTGCTTGGATGGAATTCTACACATACACATTTGAGACCTTGCTTCTGGGTAGGTGGTTGGTGGAAGATTCAGAGAATAGATTCATAGTCCATGTTTCAATCTGTGATGACTAAAATGATTATATTATACAACAGAATGACAGTTGCAAGAAACAGAAACAAATCAATCTGTCTTAAAAAACAACAAAAAAACCCATTTATTACTTCTTTTTTAATTTTTTATATTTATTTATTTATTATTATTATTATTTTTTTTTTTGAGACAGTCTCACTCTGTCGCCCAGGCTGGAGTGCAGTGGCACCATCTCGGCTCACTGCAAGCTCCGCCTCCCGGGTTCATGCCATTCTCCTGCTTCAGCCTTCCGAGTACCTGGGACTACAGGTGCTCGCCACCACACCCGGCTAATTTTTTGTTTTGTTTTGGTTTTTTTAGTAGAGACGGGGTTTCACCGTGTCAGCCAGAATGGTCTAGATCTCCTGACCTCGTGATCCGCCCACCTCAGCCTCCCAGAGTGCTGGGATTACAGGCGTGAGCCACTGCTCCTGGCCAACCATTTATTACTTCTATTTACAAAACTGGTGAATTGAAAGCCAAGTCTGGCCAAACCTAGAGGTTCGGGTTACATTGCTAGTCTATTTCATTTCACATTCCTTCACTTTGCTTTCTTCTCAAATACCTTGCACATAATGGGAAAGATGGCTGCTGAAGGTCCCAAGTCCACATTATACTGCCAGTTCACTGAAAAATAGTCTTTTTTGGCAACTATAAATAAGAACAATCTATTTAAAGTTCCTAATTTCGGAGAATAAGGTACATTGATTTGATTAACCTGGGTGAAGTATGCATCTTTGTATGAGGGAATGCAGAAAAGAGCCAGGTATGTCACATTCAACCCATAGAGCATGGCTTTCTCCAACAGAAACAGGACTGTTTACCAGAAAAGGAAGAAAAAGTTTATCAGTAGTTAAATATAACGAATATTTCCAAAAACTGAATTGTTAATGTTATTTCTTTTTCTTTCTGAAAGTCTTCTTTAAGCCAGAAATCAGAGTGATCAAACATAATGCAGTCATGGCAAATTTCATTTTGACCATGACTTAATGGGGCAGTGATGGATAGAAAGATTCTCCCAATAACTGGAGAATAGTATTGGAGGAAATAATGTTGAAATTTTTCATACAAATATTGATTGAATAAAACAACAGAGTTTTGCTAATGACTAGAATTGGATCATTTTGCCTTTTATTGAATATCTTTTTATTTAATTTCAGGAAAATTTAGAATTAATATCTATAACTACAGTTATATTTAATTATTCACTTTCAACTGATTTTTTAAGAAAAGTGTTAATATTGTATGATCATAGCAACCATTTGAGTGACTACAATATGTCTAATACACTAAATTATTGAGATGCAAAACCAGCCATTACATTGGTAATATTATTATTTTTCATGAAGGAAACAACTCATGCTCAGAGGCGTAATGAATCAGTTTCTCAAAATAACACAGCAGTAGGTACACAGATGTGATACCAAGTCCTGGCTTTTGCCAATGTAACCATTCTGGGTGTAGACAGTCAGATCTTTGTGTGCTAAATTGTATCTGCTCATTCATTTAACAATGTCTCCAGTGAACAGGTAAACTTGGAAAGGAATTAAATATAATTTATGCTGGTTATCCTATTTACCCCTTCTCCGCAAAAAGTCTCTGCTCCATTCTCCTCTGTTCTCTGAGTTGCAGAAGCCATCAGACTTGATCAACCTTCCACTTTCATTCAACCAATGAAAATCAATCAACAAGAGATTGGTGATCTACACTAATATTTCTTTGTCCATGTATTTTTTGCTGTTTTTGCAACAGTTGTGTCCCTCTAAAATAAAAACTTCTGCCAGGATGCCCTTCTTTCATGGTTTTAGCTTTCCGAGGGACTCTAGTAACATACTATCTTCTTCTTACCTCCTCAGGATGTAAGGGGTTTGCAAATTGCCAATCTCTTGGTACTTCAACACATTTTATGGTTCTCTGAAGCCTGCCTATAAGTAGTGCCTACCTTAAGTTCTCTTCTGAATTCCTTCTGAGTGTATCTTTCATCTCCTATTAGAATTTTGACTTATATATAAGTCTGCTAATATTGAGTGAGTAAGTTTAATAATAAATGCTGTGAGGATTTACACGGGTTAAAAAAAAAAAAAGAAAAAAAGAAAACCCAAACCTTTACTATTCAGCCATAAAAAGTGATATTTAAGTCCTGTTACATGCTACAACATTAGTGGACTTTGGAAAGATTATACTAATTTAATGAATCCAGAAACAAAGGCCACATATTGTACAATTTTATTGGCATGAAAATTGAAGAGTAGGAACATCAATAGAGACAAAAACTAAATTAGTGGTTTCCAGGGAAGAGGGGAAGGGTATTGGAACTAACTATTAGTAGGTATGGAGTGATAAAAATGTCCTGGAATTAGACAGATGTGGTAGTTGCACAAAAGAGTGAATATCTGAAAAATCCTGAACTGTAGACTTTTCAATAGTGAATTTTATGTTATATGATGAATATCCTAATTAAAAATACTGTAAATGGTGAAGAAAGTTGAGAATAAAAAGGCAAGCCACAGATAGGAAGAAAACATTTGCAAAACATAGATTTGACAAAGAACTTATATCCAAAATACACCAAAAAATCCTAAAAAAAAAAGTGAGAAAACAAATAATCCAATTTTAAAAAGAGCAAAATAATCTGAATATATTCCTCATAAAAGAAGATATAGAGAGGGCAAATAAGCATTTGAAAAGATATTCAATATCATATGGCATTAGGGAACTGAAAATAAAACAATAATGAGATGCCACTAGGCACTTATTAGAAAGGTTAAAATTCAAAACAGTGGCAATACCAAATGCTGGTGAGGTTGTAGAGCAACAGGAACTATCATTCATTGCTTATAAAAATGAAAAGTGTCACATGAAAAATGGAAGATAATTTGGCAGTTTGTTATAAAGCTAAAAGTACTCTTACCACGTACTAAAGACTGAATGTTTACATCTCCACCAAATTTATATGTTGAAACCTAATTCCCAATGTGATGGCATTTGACAGTAAGGCCTTTGGGAGGTGATTTGGTCATCAAGGTGGAGCCCTTATAAAGGGGATTAGTGCCCTTATACAAGGAATCCAGAAATCTCCAGTGCCATTTCTGCCATGTGAGAACTCAGGGAGAAGGCAGCCACCTATGAACTAGGAAGCAGGTCTTCACCAGGCACCAAATCTGCTGGTTCCTTGATCTCAGACTTCTCAGCCTCCATAACTGTGAGAAATAATGTTGTTTGAACCAACCACTTTATACTATTTTTGTTATAGCAGCCCAAATGGACGAAGACACCATAAACACAATAACTACACTCCTTAGTATATACCTAATGAGTTGAAAACTTATATCAATACAAAAACTGCACAAGAATGTTTATAATAGCTTTAACCAAGATGTTTTTCAATAGGTTAATGAATAAACAAACTGTGGTATATCTATACAATGCAATATTATTCAGCAACAAAAAGGAATAAACTATAAAGTCATGAAAAGATATGAAAGAACCTTAAATGCATATTTCTAACTGAAAGAAGCCAATCTGAAAAGGCTACATACTGCATAATTTTAACTATATAACATTCAGGAAAAGGAAAAACTGTGATTTGTCAAAACCCATAAAATGTACAACACAAAGAGTGAATCTATTGTGAACTATGGGCTTTAGTTGATAATAATGTATTGCTATTGGTTCATTAATTGTAACATTTGAAGAACATACTAATAGAACATGCAAATAACAGAAAACATTTGGGGTGGCAATGAGGGGGCATTAGAGAATTC